>NC_000009.12:129162005-129475823 GCF_000001405.40 Homo sapiens
TCAGGTGATCCTCCTGTCTTGGCCTCCCGAAGTGCTGGAATTACAGGCGTGAGCCGCCGTGTCTGGCCTGATTGTGAATCTCTTCTGAAGGAGGATTTGCTGATGGACTGGATTTGGCTTTGTGAACAAAAAAGGAGTCACGATGCCCTGGTTTTTGGCCTGAACAACTTGCTGGATGGTGGGACGGGGCAATGGCGGGGAGAAGCAGAGGTTGTAGGTGTCTCTCCGGGGTTTGAAAGGCCCAGACAGACGAGTTCTTAGATGTCAGTATCCCAAGAGTAGAGGCCAAACATGGTGGGACCCTTGACTTGCATTCGGCACGGAGGTCCTGGCTGGAGAGAATTGTCAGTGGGTTGAAGGGACCAGGAGAAGGTGGCAGGAAGGGAGAAGGGGCCAAGGCCTGAGCCCTGGGACTCGCCGGCATTTAGAGGAAGGGAGACTGGGAACTATGAGCCGGAAGAGAGGAACTACATTGCGTCTCTCCTCCAGCTGGTATCTACATTTTTTATTTTTTCACACCAAGCACGAGAGGTGTGTGTACAAGACGCACAGTGGCGGCCTGTGGCTGTGCAGCGCCCTCTCCTCTGGCAACAGAACCTTCTTCCCAATGGAGAAGCCACGAGAAAGGGTTGAGGTGGGGCCGGTCAGCCCCCTACTCAGGGGTGGACACATGCCCAGACCTGGCCAATCACAGGGGCCCTGCTTTCCTGTGCACTGTGATTGGTTCTGGGATGAGCTTGTGACCTGGCTGTGCCAATGAGGATCATCCCCAATGCCCTCTGTTAGATCAGGTGGGAAGATGCCCTGTGCCAGGGCTGCTAAGCTGGGAAGATGCCATCCTGGGGATGCCAGTGGCAAGGCCAGGTACAGGATCTGTGGGGTGCGATACAACATGAAAATGCAGGGCCCCTTGCTCAAAAAGCAGGAAAAAGTGCCACGAAGGGTCCATAGAACGCTTCCTTCCACCATCTCTCAACTTGTCATGGCATTTTAAATTTTCTATTCAATGTCATTCTAAGTACAGAAAGGTGTACTTAGAAAGGTGTAATTATTGTAAATAATTAGCATGAATTTTACCATTCATCTTTATATTGCGTAATACCAGTTTTATTTATATTTATTTATTTATTTATTTTAAGATGGAGCCTCTCTCCCTGTCACTCAGGCTGGGGTGCAGTGGCCAATCTCGGCTCGCTGCAACCTCTGCCTCCCAAGTTCAAGCAATTCTCGTGCCTCAGCCTCCTGAGTAGCTGGGATTACAAGTGTGTGCCACCACACCTGGCTAATTTTTGTATTTTGAGTAGAGACAGGGTTTCACCACGTTGGCCAGGCTGGTATTGAACTTCTGACCTCAAGTGATCTGCCCACCTCCCAAAGTGCTGGGATTACAGGCATGAGCCACTCTGCCTGGCTGTGTAATACCAGTTATAAATATAAATACCAGAGCATTTAATTCATGTGCAGAATCGCTGAAATTGCACAATTCATATTCTGTGGCTTGTCCCTGAGTGTGCCTTGAACTGGCCAGAAAAGACAAACACAAGCCAGGCTCAGGAAGGTTATAGGGGGAGGAGAAGACCCCCTGGTTAAGGTGGTTAAGATAGTGCTTCTCCGTATGGGAGATTGCCACAAGGGTGCACACCCTCCCAGCCCCCTCCACCCCTGCTATGCCTCCCTGCGTGCTCTCTCTAGATGGGGCCTGGCAGCTGCTGGATTAACCTTCCAACCAACCACTGGGCTGATGTCCTGAGTCCTGGTACCTCCCCTTCCCACAGGCCCCCACCTCAACCTACAGCAGAGGAGTGGTCTCTAAGGACCTCAGTACCCAGATCGGGGTAGGTGAAAGGTTCACCCCACGTCTAGACACGGTCTCTGGTTGGCTGCCAGTCAGGCTGTGGTGCTGCTAATGCACAGCAGTGGCGGCTGTCACCGTGCCCTGCAAGGTGCTGCTCACGGATGCCTGAACTCAACCCTCTCTACGCCTGTGCCCAGGTCCCTGCCGAGGATGGGAGGGAGAGGCCAGGCAGAGCCAGGGCACCAGAGTGCCAGGGGGCAGGGTAGCAGGGGGACCAAGAACCTGTCTCAGGGAGGTGGGGAGGTGGCAGGAGACAGGACTGCACCTGAGTCGAAGCTTCAAACACGCTCCACTGTCTCAGACTTCACTCAACACAAACTCAACGATAAAATGATGTTGAATTTCAAGACAGCAGAGCATTAGACTCCAAGCATGGGCTCATTTGAACATGGGGCCCTGTGTGACTGCACGATCCCTGGCCAGTGGCCTTCTTGTTCTGGCCGCAGAGAAAACCTAAGAAGAGGCCAAGGAGAGGTAACGAATAAGCCCTGATGACATCATGTGAGCCTCTGGATCCAGCTACGCCTGAGCCGAAACACCCATGGACTTCCCTGTTTCTGTGCCAGGAAATAAATCCGCTCTTTGCTTCAGCCAGCTTTAGCTGAGTTTCTGAGGCCTGAACAATATGGGACCCTGAGAGGAGAGGATCCAAGGCCCAGGAATCTCGACACCCGAATCCCTTTCTTGGCTTAAAGAATCTTGGAGCTGTCCATCAACTTGGAATGTCTGCAGGTTGCCTAGAGGTCTCACTGCCCCTCCCCACATGGATCTGTCCTGTTCTGGGGCCACGTCCTTTATCTGTCTTAGGCCTGGATTTCTTTTTATGAACAAAGGGAAGCTTTATTCCCCAGTCTTCCCAGTTCTCCCCAGGCTGTTTGATGTGGGTGTTAAAGGAGACACTGGACTTCCACACTGGGGGTGTGTGTGTGTGTGTGTGTGTGTGTGTACTGGATTTCCACTCTGTGGTGTGTGTGTGTGTGTGTGTATGTGTGTGTGTGTGTGTAGTGGCCTGGAGGGTGCCAGGGAGCTGGGAGGACAGCAGGAAGGATGCATGGAATGTTTAAGAAACATCAGGAAGGCCGGGCACGGTGGCTCACACCTGTAATCCCAGCACTTTGGGAGGCCAAGATGGGCGGATTGCCTGAGGTCAGGAGTTCAAGACCAGCCTGGCCAACATGGCGAAACCCTGTCTCTACTAAAAATACAAAAATGAGCTGGGTGTGGTGGCGCAAGCCTGTAATCCCAGCTACTTGGGAGGCTGAGGCAGGAGAATCACTTGAATCTGGGAGGCGGATGTTGTGGTGAGCCAAGATTGTGCCATTGCACTCCAGCCTGGGCAATAGAGTGAGACTCTGTCTCCAAAAAAAGAAAAAGAAACATCAGGAAATAACTGGATTTGGGGGGCAGAAGGGGGAGGAGTCAGAGGCCCAGAGGTAGTGGGGAAGGGTCTGATTGGAGGAGGATAGGCAGAGCAATATCTTACTGTTTCCTCTTTAAGCCACTCCCTAGAATGGAGTCCATTCATTCATTCATTCATTCATCCATCACTTCATTCATTCATTCAATCATCAAGCATCTATCCTGAGTGAATGTTGACTGTCAGGCACAGCCAGGTCCTGAAGATAATCAGACACCTTCCTGGGGACTAATCTTTTAAAAAATATGAGTCCTAATCTATGGAAAGACAAAAAAATCCAACAAAGTTTCTAAGGCACTTCCTCCTGTCTCTTCCCCCAACTCCAGAGTAAAAAGATCTTGATTGGGTCCCGCTGGAAAAGATGCATGTTACTTTTTTTTCTTTTGAGACAGGGTTTTGCTCTGTCTCCCAGGCTGGAGTGCAGAGGCACAATCACAGCTCACTGTAGCCTAGATCTACCAGGCTCAAGTGATCCTCCAACCTCAACCTCCCTAGTAGCTGGGACTATAGGTGTGCACCAACATGCCTGGCTAATTTTTTTTTTTTTTGAGATGGAGTCTTGCACTGTCGCCTGGGTTGGAGTGCAGTGGCATGATCTCAGCTCACTGCAACCTCTGCCTCCCATGTTCAAGCGATTCTCCTGCATCAGCCTCCCAAGTAGCTGGGATTACGGGTGCCTGCCACCATGCCCATCTCATTTTTTGTATTTTTAGTAGACACGGGGTTTCGCTATATTGGCCAGTCTGGTCTCAAACCCCTGACCTTGTGATCCGCCCGCCTCGGCCTCCCAAAGTGTAATTTTTGTATTTTTTGTTGAGACGGAGTTTCACTATGTTGCGCAAGCTGGTCTTAGACTTCTGGACTCAAGGGATCCTCCAGCCTCGGCCTCCCAAAGTGCTGGGATTACAGGTGTGAGCCACTACGCCTGGCCTGTTAAGTCATAATTTTGTTCAACAGGAGAGTCAGTAGGAAAACTGTCATGCATTTTGCAATGAAAAGTTATCTGGGCAGAGCTGACCAGTGCCAATATTGCAGCTCTCATTTACTGGGCACTCACTGTATGTCAGACTCTGAGCTGTAGCAGCCTTACTGCACAGGCAGGTGCCCCCATGCATGTCTTCATTTTGCAGACAAGGGACTGGAGGCTCAGGGAGGTGAAGGAAAGAGCTTATTGTCACCTAGAAAGCAGCAGAGCTGGCCAGGCGTGGTGGCTTACCCCTGTAATCCCAGCAGTTTGGGACGCCGAGGCGGGTGGATCACCTGAGGTCGGGAGTTTGAGACCAGCCTGACCAACATGCAGAAACCCCGTCTCTACTAAAAATACAAAATTAGCCGGGTGTGGTGGCGCATGCCTGTAATCCCAGCTACTCGGGACTCAGGAGGCTCAGGCAGTAGAATTGCTTGAACCTGGGAGGCGGAGGTTTCGGTGAGCTGAGATCCTGGGCAACAAGAGCAAAACTGTGTCTCAAAAAAAAAAAAAAGAAAAAAAAAAGCAGCAGAGCATGGTTTGTCTTGAGCTCTATGTGGCTTTGGAGGCTGAGCTTGGAACTGCCAGCCTGGGCTTTGGACGGGCACCCTGGGTAGGGGTGGTCCTGGGTAGAGATGGCCCTGGGAATCCCTCCGGTGCTTGGCCTTGTGCCTGGTGGTCCACAGTCTCACAGTCACTCATCTGATATTTAACAACTTACAATGAGGAGTGCTCCACAAGGAACCCTCACATAGCTTGGGATGCTCTCCCATGTTCCGTCTTTGCTGAGGGTCCCTTGGATGGGTGTGTTTGTGGGGCATAGTCTCTGGGGGAAGAGGGGCAGATCCTGGATTGGTCTGGAGCCCCAGCTGGCCCCGCACAACTAGGAAAACTGGTTGGGGCGGCTGACTCAGGGTGTGTTTATACTGGCGTACTCCCCGCCCCCTCCCTCCCTCAGGCACCCTCCCCTCCCGTCCCTGACCCGGGAGAGGAAGGAAGTTCCTATAACGTTCATAGTTGCCACTAGTTCTGCGTGTTGTGCATTGGGCACGGAGCAGGAAGACCTTCACAGGTTGTAACTGGTCCCAGCTTCCTTTGAGGAGACTGAGTCTCAGAAAAGTCAGGCTGCTCCCTCGATCCTACAGGGGCAAAGCTGGGATTGGAATCCAGCTCTGACTGATGCCCCGGATGGAACTCTCATCCACTGTGATTAGAATACAATCTGAGCACCTCCTGCTTTTCTTTCTGGCCCCATCTCCTGCCTCTCCCACTTGCCCTCTCTCTCAGCCAGTTCTATGAACATGCTAAATTTATTCATTTTCTTTTTTTTCTCTCTCTCTCCTTTCTTTTCTTCTTCTTTTTTTTTTTTTTTTTTTTTTGCCGGAGTTTCGTTCTTCTTGCCCTGGCTAGAGTGCAATGGTGTGATCTTGGCTCACTGCAACCTCCGCCTCCCGGGTTCAAGCGATTCTCCTCTGTCAGTCCCCCAAGTGGCTGGGATTACAGGTGCACACACCAGCATGCCCAGCCAATTTTTGTATTTTTAGTAGAGACAGGGTTTCGCCATGCTGGCCAGGCTGGTCTCACCCTGACTTCAGGTGATCTGCTCGCCTTGGCCTCCCAAAGTGCTGGGATTAAGGCGTGGGCCACCGCGCCTGGCCTCATGTGTTTAGTCTTCACCTTTTCCGTTCCTTCTGCCTGGAATGCTCCTCCACCGTTGTTTGTCCAGCTGCTATGGTAGAGACTTCTAGCGCTCATCCATGTGTACTCGCCTTTCCTTCCCAGTTACCCAAGAAAACTGCTTTTCCCAGCCCCCTTGCAGTTAGATGAGGGCCTGGGACTCATTCTGGCCAATGTGCTCTGAGTGTGAGTGAGGAGAATCACTTCCAGGCTGAGGCCATGAAGAGCCCTTGCAGGACTCCCCAGCTCTCATTCTGTGCCACGGTGGAGATTCTGGAAGCCTTGTGTTGAGATAGACGCAGGCTGAATTGCTGAGTCACCGTATGGAGGGCAGCAGCCTAGGAGACCTGGCAGTCTGACTCAGACTTTGCATGGTCAAGAAACAAATCCTTTCTACCTGCTGGAGATCTTAAAAGAGAAAGAAATCCTTGTGTTAAATCTTTGAGATGCAGGGATTAATTTGTTACTGCAGCATAGCCTGTCGTATACTAATAGAGCTGATCTGTTCAGGTGTCAGTTGAAATATCACCTTCTCTGATCAAAATATCTAAACTGGTGCCACCCCCACCCCCTCCCCCTCCAACCAGTCCTTTCTTTTTTTTTGAGACTTTTTTTTTTTGAGTCTCGTTCTGTCATCCAGGCTGGGGTGCAATGGTGCTGTGATCTTGGCTCACTCCAGCAGCTGCTTCCTAGGTGCAAGTGATTCTCCTGTCTCACTTTCCGAGTAGCTGGGATTACAGGCACGCGCCTCCACGCTAGGCTAATTTTTGTATGTTTGGTAGAGACGGGGTTTCACCATGTTGGCCAGGCCGGTCTTAAACTCCTGGCCTCAACTGATCAGCTCACCTCGGCCTCCCAAAGTGCTGGGATTACAGGCATGAGCCACGGGCCCTTACCAATTTTTCTAGCACTGTGTTTATTTTCCTGAAACACTTATCTACTTGTTTGTTGCCTTGTGTATTGTCTGCACACCTCCCCCCACCACTAGAATGTAAGCTCTATGAGGGGAGGGCCCTTCGTTTGTCTTGTTCATGGCTGCATCCTTGGTGCCTAGCACAGTGCCTGGCATATATAGGTACTCAATAAATATTTGAATGGGTGAATGTGTGTATATTTATTTTTTGAGACAAGGTCTCACTGTCACTAAGGCTGGAGCGCAGTGGTGCAATCATGGCTCACTGCAGCCTCGACCTCCTGGGCTCAAGCCATCCTTTTGCCTCAGCCTCCCAAGTAGCTGGGACTACAGGCGGGCACCACCATGCCTGGCTAATTTATTTTTTGTAGATGCAGGGTCTCACCATGTTGCCCAGACTGGTCTCGAACTCCTGGGCTCAAGCTAGCCTCCTGCCTCGGCTTCCCAAAGTGCTGGGATTACAGGTGTAAGCCACCGGGCCTTGCCTGAATGCATTTACTGAATGAATGAAACAGGCAGATAACCACACTCACAGGTAGACATGGAATTTGATATTGGTACCTGTGTTTTTCTTTTTTATTGGAGTAAATATATTTACTGATATCCACTTTATATCTAGTTCAGTTACACAATCTGTAAATATAGGTGGCACAGTGGCTCACGCCTGTAATCCCAGCACTTTGGGAGGCCGAGGCTAGTGAGGTCAGGAGTTTGAGACCAGCCTAGCCAACATGGTGAAAACCCCGTCTCTACTAATATAAAAAAATTAACAAGGCGTGGTGGCACACGCCTGTAATCGCAGCTACTCGGGAGGCTGAGGCAGGAGAATTGCTTAAACCTGGGAGGTGGAGGTTGCAGTGAGCCGAGATTGCACCACTGCACTCCAGCCTGGGTGACAAGAACTAAACTCTGTCTCAAAAAAAAAAAAAAAAAAAAAAAAATATATATATATATATATATATATGTGCATTTTTTCTTTTGGATATCACCATGGTCCTTCTACCTGTGTTTTTCTTTTCTTTTTTTTTTTTCTGAGACGGAGTCTCACTCTGTCACCCAGGCTGGAATGCAGTGGCAAGATCTTGGCTCACTGCAACCTCCATCTCCCGGGTTCAAGCGATTATCCTGCCTCAGCCTCCCAAGTGGCTGGGATTACAGGCACCTGCCACTACGTTCAGCTAATTTTTTGTATTTTTAGTAGAGACGGGGTTTCACCATGTTGACCAGGCTGGTCTCAAACCCCTGACCTTGTGATTCACCTGCCTCGGCCTCCCAAAGTGCTGGGATTACAGGTGTGAGCCACCGCGCCCAGCCTCTACCTGTGTTTTTCTTACTCGGATGGGACACAAAGCCTCAGATCATCAGAAAGCTGGAAGCAATGGTTTCTTTTCTGACTCTTGGAATATCAGAGCTGGCTTAGAACCTTCTGTCTTCTCACTCTGTCTTTACAGATGAGGGAATATGGGCCCCTTAGGGAAGTGACTCATCCCAGGGCCCAATTTAAGTCTGTGGCTGAGCCAGAACCTGTGTCTGGGTCTCTGTACTCCTGGTCCAGTGCTCTGTCCACTGAGCTTTGCCTCTTCCTCTTTAGTTTCAGCCCAAGTTCTGAAAATATTTCCTGAGTATGTTTGCCTCTTCCTGCCCACCTTGCCGCGTAATCCTGTGACTCTGAGCAAGTCAGTGGCGATTGATGGCTGGGACTGGGTGGGGCTGAGACAGCGGTCAGAGATGAGAGAGGAGAAGGAACGAGACTCCCTCCGCAGTGCTCCTCAACCATGTCCTGGAGCTGAGCTTGTTGTTTTGTCTCACACCTCTTAAAAAAAAAACCAGAGGACAGGAGTGTGGATTCCCGTTGACCAAGGCTGTCAGGTAGAGGAGTGTTTCTCAGGGGTTGAGCCTTCCCCCAGCCAGACTGGACCTAGCTGCTCCCTCCTCTCTGCTCCATAGAACACTGGACATCGATTGTAGCACCTGTCATGTCACATTTTTCTCTGGCGTACTGTTCGTTTTTCTTGTAAATACAAAGGTGATACATGCTTATTGTAGAAAATTTGGAAAATATAGACATGTATGAATGATAAAATAAAGGTCTCCTGTAATTGCCCACCTAGTAATAACCATTTCAGCATTTTTGAACTTGTATTCAGTCTTTTTTCCTCTAAACGTATGAATAGCTAAGGCCACCTGTACCCAAGATGTCCCTAGGCCCTACCAGCGGGGGACATCCCGGTGGCCATGTTAATGTTTCCTGCGGCCACTCCAGCCCTATCCTGCTGGCTAGCATCTTGGCCTGCCCTGAAGCCTTTGCAGTTGTATCTGGGAGTCCCTTGAGGAGCCACATGTGAGATCCCAGCCAGGTTCTGCTTCTGTCTCCCTGCAGCTATCCCTGCCCTAAGTCCCCTGAGGGTGGTCCCTGTTGCTGCCCTGGCCACGGAGCCTGCTGGAAAAATCCAGCCCCCTTGTTCGGCCTCCCCTCCCCTGATGATTCCTGAGTGACAAAACTGGGAGGCACCCGATGGCCCTGGAGCCTCTTCATCCTGGCCAGGAGCAGGGAGGGTGTTCCCCTTCCAGCGCTGCGTTGACCGCGTTGTCGCCCAGGTTCTGAAGCAGCCATGCCTGTGCTCCGAGTTCCACTGGGAGACACCTCCCTTAGCTCAGCTTGCAGCCCCTCTCTCTGAAGGACATCTTGGGTCTGCCAGCCGGTACCGACCACCCTCCTTTTCTGAGAAGCTTCTGTGAGCTTCCAGTGGGCGCTAGCTACTAACCACCCCTCATGTCCTGGCTGTACACTTAGGACATTACAGCCTTTCCCTGGGATTTTCTTTTCTTTCTTTTTTTTTTTTTTGAAATGGAGTGTTGCTCTGTGGCCCAGGCTAGAGTGCAGCGGCACAATCTTGGCTCACTGCAACCTCCGTCTCCTGGGGTCAAGTGATTCTCCAGCCTCAGCCTCCCGAGTAGCTGGGATTACAGGTGCATGCCATCACACCCGGCTAATTTTTGTAATTTTAGTAGAGAAGAGGTTTCACCGTGTTGGCCAGTCTGGTCTCAAACTCCTGACCTCAGGTGATCCACTGCCTCCGTCTCCCAAAGTGCCGGGATTACAGGCGTGAGCCACCACGCCCTGACCAATGCTTTTGTTTTCCCTGGGATTTTCTGAGTCGAAAATAAGAGAAGAAGGCAGTTCCTCTTGGGTGGCAAAGCTTTGAGAATTGGAGGCCAGGAGCTGCCACCTGTGGCTACAGTGGGAAGCTTGAGTTCAAAGAATAAAGTCACAGGAGATGGAGAGATAGCATCTTGGAAAAGATCTGTGCCTGGATCCTGCTGTGCCTGAAGCCAGCTGTGCCCCTGCCCACTGCACAGTTCTTGCCTTGAGCCAAGAAATCCCACCTTTTGCCCAGGCTGATGCCAGTGGTGCTGCTGTCCCCTACCACAAGTGAGTCTTCAGGAAACAGGGCTCTGCCTTGGATGAGGTGGGTACAGACACCACTGTGCTGTGTGTCTCTTCATCCCTGTCCCTGGAAACTGCAGCATGAAGTATTGGGGGTGAGGTGTGTGTTCCCAACCAGCTAGTTCAGGGATGAAGAGATCCCAGAACCCAGTTTCGGTTCAGCTGGGACTTATCAATGTGACTATTTAAACAACCTCGGAATCATTTGCCAGCTCGCAATGTAATGTTACAAATTCTTACCCACTCAACTGTGAGCTCCAACAGTAGAAACTGGCCACCTCTCAGTTGTGTGACCTTGGGCGAGGTTTCTCATTTCTGAAATGAGGATGCTTACAGTCTCTACCTCAGAGGGTAGCTGGAAAAATTAAACGAGCTAATCCAGAGAGAGGGGCTTGCTGTTCTCGTCATTTGCTGCTATTGTTCACTGTGGTCAGATTAGTGCCTCACACAGGCCAAGCACCAAATGGGAGCTTCATAAATACTGTCCACTGATTGGAGGGAGAGCTCCTGGTGTGCATCCCCTGTGCCAGAGGGACACACAGTCACACACACTGTATTTCTTGCTGCACACACACACACACACACAGCACCCAGCACCCAGATCTCAGTGCCCTGCACAGTGACTTTCCTGGGAGCCTGAGGCATCCCCACCCCTGGCTTCTCTGGAGGGCAGCCTGCAGCTCTGAGGCTCTGGGCTGTCATCCCAGCAGCTCCATGTTGCTGGGAGCGCAGCTTGGAGCCTGGCTCAGCCCTACACCACGTATCAAGGGCAGCCAGACCCGTGGTGTCCTAGGAGCCTGGGGGAGTGTGTTGGGGGGAGCTGCTTAACCTAGGAGGACCACGGACTTGCTGGAGCTCTTGCTTCTAGAGCTGCTGCTCTCTGGAAGCTCCCCCTTGTCATCCCCCGGGCACCCAGTCTCTTCTAATTCCCCTACCTCCCTAAGCAGCACCCCTAAGTCCTGTCTGGGGGCTCCACTGGTCTTTTTACTGGAGGGAGAGAGGCTTGTCTGTGGAGCTGAAATGGACTCCTGGTTTGCCTGCCCGCCTGACCCCATCCCCCTTTCAGACGACCCCCATGGCCAGGCAACCCCATCCACCCGCCTCCCGGACCCAGCCTCTCACTTGTGCTATGCACGGGAACATCGGTCTCTCTGGATGTTCTAGGCTGGTATGTTTCCTGCTGCGCCAGTGGCCCCAGGGATTGTGAGTGGGGTGAAGATGCAGCTTAGGAGCAAGTGTTGGAGACAGTGTGTGGCTGGGTGTGGCCCTCAGTGTGGGGTGTAGTGTAGAATCAAGGCTGTGCAGCCTGTTACAGTTTTGTGTGGAATGTCTTGGTGAGACGGGTAGATTGCCAGTGGGTTGCGTTTTGGGTCAAGGGGAATTATACTCAGGGCACTAACCCTTTGTGGGGCTGCCCAGGTCCTTGGGCCCCGAGAAGATAAGGGAAGGGGAAGGGCACCTCTCTTTAGGGTGCTCCCAGAGCGCCCCATCCCATCCCTTGGCATTGCTAGATTCCAGTGTGCGGCTTAGGCTCAGATCACCCGGCAGAGGGGAGGGGAGCCCTCGTCTGGGGTCCTGCTGAGTTCAGAGATCTTATTTCGCACCCCACCATCCACTCTCCTTTACCACAGGGATCCCTGGGGCGGGTGGGGAATTCCCAAGCCCTTTGGCCGGTCCCTTCCAGTGCCCAGCTCCCAACAAAGGGGGCCGACCACGTGCCCCTCCTCGACGTGGGCCTGGAGTGGGGACGCACGCGGCCCCGGGACCCAGCTCAGGCAAGGGCGAGATGCAGACTCCACGCAGCTCCCCGGGTGGACGCGAAGCGGCCCCCGACAGCCCCGCCGCCTCCGCCGAGCCTCGCCCACTCTCAGCCCCAGCCACTGCAGCGCGCCCGAAGCGGCGCTAGGGGGAGCTCTGGCAACTGGCTTCGTGGATTGAAGCAAAACCGTGCAGCCAACCGCGATTTCCTTGGACTTGCAGGGGAAAATGGGGAGGGAGGAAACGCACTGTTCCCCCTCCTCGGCAGCTCCAGACTCTTCCCGTGGGAGGCCGATGAAGCAGCCCTGGGGGTGAAGGTGCCTTTCCTCCCCGCGACTCACGCCCCCAGAGCCTCCTTTTTCCCCACCCCCAACGCGGACCTCCGCGGACCCCCGCATTCTGGAGAGTGTCCCCGAGAACTTCGCCTCGCGTGACACCGGGATCCAGAGCGGAGCAGTCCCCGGGGACAGGCTTGCGTCCGCCTCTCAGAGTCTGGCTTGGGGGCCTCTTGGCGGCAGCCCCTCCTGTCGCCGCGGGAGGCGCGAAGGCTGGGGTGGGGGGCGCGAGCCGTCCTGCGGGGTGGCTGCGAGGCTCGCACCGGCGAGGGCAGTGTGGGGGCGAGGGAGCCAGCGAGAGCGAGGAGCTGTGGGGAGTCGGCAGCAAACAGCCAGCAGGCTGCCACTTTGCTTTCTTTTTCTCGTTCTTTCTTTCCTAACCCCTCTTTGCAAAGCTGGAACTATCCCGCGCGCCCCTGGGCCCAAGCCGCGGCTCCAGATGTGGATTTGTTTCCAGTGGGGAGAACGCGAGCTTCCCCCGGGCCTTGGCACATTCTCCCACTCTGAGGTCATTCCGTAGGTGGTCAGAGGGGAGCGCGCGCCGGGAGCCTTCCTCCCTCCATCCACTGGGGAGGGAAGAGCGGCGGGTGGGAGGGAAGGAGAGGGAGAGGGGAGGGGCGCGAGGAGGGAGGGAGACGCCGCCAGCACACCACCAAGTGGCACCGAGCAGTGATAACAAACTCAACTTAAAAAAAAAAAAGGGAAAAAGAAAAGGAAAAAACTTCCCCAAGTTGCAGCCCGAGACATGCGGACGTGCGGGGCAGAGGCGCGGGGCAGGGAGTGCGGGTGGCCCTGAAACCCCCGGCGTCCCCCGGCTGCTTTCCCCGGCCACAGAGAGCTCAGACTCGAGGCCGACCAGGCCCTGCGCCTGTGCCTGGGCAGGAAATGTGCTGGAGGCTGGCTCCGCTTCCCGCTGGAGACCCCGGGGCGGCCAGTTCCCGTGGGGGACAGGACCCCCCTGGAGCGGGGGCGGCCGAGAGACGCGCAGCACCCGCTTCATCCCCAGCCACCAACATCACCCCCCATTCTCCCACCGCCGACCTTGCGGATGTGGGTAGATCCCGCCCGCCCAGGCCGAAGAGAACTGGGGTTTACATGGGGGTGGGCGGGGTCTCTCCCCACACCTCTCTATCCTCTCTGACGCCCCCAGACATCTGAAAACAAGGCACCACCATCTTCTGTAATCGACTTTTTATTAAGATTATAAATTTAAACAATCTGAACAGTTTTACCCGGTGATATACAATTCAGTATGCACAAAAATACAGGGTAATGAGGGAAAAGGGCCGAGAAAGGAAGGATTGGCAACTCGTTTTGGAGTCCACACGGTGCTGATGGCAGAGAACCAGAGGGGCTGCAGACGAACCCCACCTTTTTACAACAAAAGGCTTTTAAATTAAACAAATCTATCGAGCTGAAGACACAGGACGGGGTTCTCACAGGCTCGAACAATGCTGGTTTCATGAAATGCAACCGAAGGCTGAACCAAGGCAGTGCAACTTAGAAGCACACACACAAACACCACAGCTGACCAGGAACTTAGTGCAAAGTCTCCAACGCAGTCGGCGGTCCCGGCCCCTCCCTCCCCCGGGGCCGCCGGGGATCCAGGTGAAGGAATTGACTTCCTTTTTTGTTTAGTGAGGACCGCAGTGCTAGGCATGATGGGAAATGTAGTCCGCCGTGCCCGCCCCCCACCCCTTACCCAGTGTCCGAGAGTGTCGGGGTGTCAGGCGCCACCCCCGAGTCCGGGAGACGGGTGGAGGAGGGGAGGAGAACGGAGCCAGAGGGGCGGGGAGAAGAGGGGTTCAAGACACCCGCCCCGGGAAGAAAAGAAAAAAAAAGTTGAAGTGTTTTCATTTCTGCCTTCTCATTTTGAGAACTTTGGAGTCCGCCCCCAGAGAGGAAATGTGACCCAAACGTCCCTTTCGGAGATAGAGTTTGCCTTTGTTTTTGCTCAGAATTTCACAAGACCCATTCCTCACCCCACAGAGGGACTCGGGAGAGCGGAACGTCGGGCTTCCCGGGTCTGACAACTGATTGGAATCGGCTTCCCAGGTCCGGCGCCCTCCTGAGCTGCGCCCCCGGCGCGCCCCGGCGGCCAGGGCGCCCTGCCTCGCCCCCGGCTGCCCGGCACCTCCTCCGGGCAGCAGCCCTCCCTCACGTGGTAGGCTCCTCGCTAAACACCACTGCAATCACTACAATAAAAAGAAAAAAAGGAGTAGGAGAAACACAAAGCATACTTAAATAGGCGCTTTTTCTCTCTGCAAAAATAAAGTCCAAGATTTTAGATTTCTTTTTTTTTTATTTTACAATTTATAAAACATCAGCCGCCTGCCCCCGCTCGCCCCCAGCTCAGCCCCGAGTGGCCCGGCGCCCGCTCGTTCCCTCCTCTCGCCCCTTTGCCGAGTCTTTGTCTGGCCCCAGCCCCGCGGGGCCCCGGGTCCCTGTGCCCTCGGGGGTCCCTAGAAGGCGACAATGGCTCGAGTCCAGGCGCCGAGGCTGGCGAGCGCCTGCTTGGCGCACAGCTGCCCGTTGAGCGGCGGCGGCTGCTCCGAGGAGTCCGGCTGTCGGCTCACCAGCCCCGAGAAGCCGGAGCCAAAGATGGAGATCAAGTTTGAGATGTTGGACGCGTCCGGGGACGAGTCCGGGCAGAAGTCCTCGAAGCGGGCGCGCTTGCAGGGGGCGAACGGGGCGCCCCCGGGGGGCTCGGCCCCCAGCCCGCCCGCATCCTCCTCGTCGTCTTCCTCCTCCTCCTGGCCAGGGTAATACTTGCGCTTGCAGCCGGCGGCGGACGCCAGGCCCGGTCCCGGAGCGCCCTGGCCACAGCAGGGGCAGTGGGCGGAGGCGCAGCAGTCCTGGTGCAAGTAGCCGTTCTCCACCGTGGTCACCACGTGAGTGTCTAGGTCCAGCACGGTGGTCTGGCTGCTGCAGTGCAAGCCGAAGTCCGAAGGGGTAGGGTATGCGCCCCGGTAGAAGCCGGGGGAGGAGGCGGGGGCCGGGGAGGCGGGCGGAGAAGCGGCGGCGGCCGGAGGGGCGGCCCCTGGGGGCGCGGAGCAGGCGGCCGGGGCGCGAGGGTCCCGCGGGCAGAGCGCAGCGGGCGCGGGCGGCGGCAGCGGCAGCGGCAGCGGCGCAGGACCCGGCTGCAGAGGCTCCAAGGGCTGCCCGCGGTGGGGCGCGCCGTGCGGCGGCTGGAGCGCGGCGCACCCGGGCAGCTCCGAGAGCGCCCCCGCGCCGCCCGCGGGCGCTCCGGCCGCCGCCGCCGCCGCGCAGCCCCTGGGCGCCGGGTGCTGGTGCTGGTGCAGCTGCTGCTGGAGGTGCAGCTGGTGGAGCTGGTGGAGCTGGTGCAGCTGGTGCCGGGCGGCCGGCTCGCGCGCCTCCGCGTCCCCGCCGCCGCCAAGTTGGAGCGGGCCGAAGTCGGCCGCGCTGGCCGGCATGCCCGGCGCCGCGTACGCTAGGTGCTGGTGCTGGTGGTGGGGCGGCTGCTGCTGTTGCTGCTGCTGCTGGCGCCGGTAGAGCTCGGCGTAGCGCTCGCTCAGGTAGAGCTGGCGCGCGTTGCGGAGCACGTAGGACACCAGGAGGTTCTTGTGCAGCTTGATGCCGCCGCGCTGGGTTCGGGAGCTGTGGATCTTGCGCAGGGAGATGCTGATCAGGCTCTGGGCGTCCAGGGCGCACTCCATGCTCCCGCGGAGACGGCGGCGGAGCAGCCGCCGCCGCTGCTGCTGTTAACGCTTCTGCTGTTTCTGCCTCCAGCCGGCCGCCGGGGCGCGCCGGGCAGGGGTAACGGAGTCCGGGTCAGAGGTTCGGCTGCGCTCCGAAAGGAGCCGCCACCATGCGCCGCGCGCCACCCGCGGGCTCGCGCTCCCCAGACGGCGCCAAAGCAATGAGTCTCGGCCGGCCCCGGCCCCAGCTATTTAGCCGGGTGCCCGGGCCCCGCCCCACATGAGAAGAGCCAATAGGAGCTCTGAGAGTCTCCTGAGTGACAGGCGCAGCCCGCCCCGGGGCTACTCGGCTGGCCAATCAGACCAAGGCGGTTCCTTTGTGCTATTCAAATACCGAACGGACCCCGGGCCTCCAACGCCGCTGCTGCCTCGAATGTTCTCCTGGGGCTGCCGCGCCGCGCGGGACTCGGAGCCGCCGGGGCCGCAGTCTGCAGCATAGGTCGCCTGGCAGCGGCCACGTTGAAGCCCGCGGCTGCCCTCGCCTTAGGTCCCGGGAGCCGGGGGTCGGCTCACCTGAGTGCTGCGGCGACGGCTCCTCCCCTTTCCGCACGGCTGGGCCTCACCTGCGGCAGGTGCGCGCCGCTCATCGCTCCCCCAGCGGCGCGGCGCCTCCACCTGCGCACCTGTCGCCCCCCCGAGTGACCCGCGGGAGTCAAGGCCTCTCTACAGGAGGCTGGTGGAGCCGCCGGCTTGACACTGGGGAACATCAAAGGAGCGAGGTTTTGGGGGTACCCTCTACCGCAGAGAATGTAGGGCCTGACTCCTTGACTTTTTGGTCGAGGGGCCTCTGGGAATGCTTGCGGAAGGGAAGTCCTCCCCATTTGTCTGACAGGAAAAACCAAAACATCGTGAATTTTGACCTTCTCTGATGGAGAGAGTTCCGAGGCCAGGCATGACCCAGGGAGTGTGTGGACCTCGCGACCAGCTGAGGCTCAAAAGCGTCCTGGGAGCCGAAACGCTGAGTGCCCTAATCACCAGCTCTGTAACCTTTCCTTTCGTGCCTAACTAATAATAATGACAATAGGGACTATTATTATGGGCCTAATATGGGGCAGGCCCTTCCCAGCAACTCCCCAATGCCTCACTCTAACGTTTGTAGAGGAGGGGCCTGAGGCTCGGAGGAGTGGAGTGACTTGGGGAACCACACAGTTCCCAGGGGGCGGAGCTAGGAGCTGGGACAGGACCCTGCGCTCGAGACGGGAGGTGAATACCAAAGGCCCGGGGACTCACCGACTTAACTTCTGTTGACACAGCTTTCCTTCTTATCCTGAACCCTTCAGGTCCCAGCTGGGGACTGAGACAGTGGGAGAAGAGAGGGACAGGATTGCTGATTCCTGGGGGCGCTCTATCTGGACCAAGAGGCCTGAAGGGGGCTGGTTGCTGCTCCCAGGGGTTTCAAAGGTGCCTGGGGTGGGGGCTGCCCAGACAGCTCTGGAGGCTCTTGGAAATGGTCTGGAGGTTTGCCTGAGGAGGGTCCATGAGTGGATCCCTGAAGGATGAACGAGGTCTGCAGAGTCTCCCAGAGATAGGTGGACCTTGTGGGGCTGGACTCAGGGGGGAGGCCCATGACCAGACGTCCTGCTGCTTCACCGCCTCCTCAGGGGATCTTCTGAGTCTCTGCTTTTTGGGGCTTCCTTCTGAGTTCTCAGCACCTACTTCATCCCTTGGTGGGAGTGGAGAGACCCAGTAGCCCACCCTGTGGTCTCTGGGTCTTTCTTTAGTCTTAAGAATTTCCAAGATTTCTGCAAAAGTTTCTTAGCATCTACTCCATGCCAGGCGTTGAGAGTGAAGACAGAGTTAGCGGGTGTTTACTTCATTTTTCCGATGAGGAAACTCGGACACTGACAGCGTGAGACTTGCCCAAGATCACATGGCCCCAGGGCTGGTGCTGTGTCCTTCCCTTGGCCCCCTCGAACAATCTCAAACGCTTTGGGCCCCTGTGACCAATAGCACCTCTCCAGGCCTCCTCCCAGAGAAGCCAGGATTGAAATTTCAGGGGACTTCAGATAAAGGATGTCCTACCTACATTTTATTGGTGATACAGACCTACAGGCTGTGGAACTTGCTCAGGTGATAACACGTAGAAGTAAAAATACACTGCCCTTCACTTCCCTGGTGCCTGTCTTAAAGGCACACAAAGACTTTATTTATGGCCGGGCGCGGTGGCTCACGCCTGTAATCCCAGCACTTCGGGAGGCCGAGGCGGACAGATCACGAGGTCAGGAGATCAAGAGCTTCCTGGCTAACACAGTGAAACCCTGTCTCTACTAAAAATCACAAAAAATTAGCTGGGCGTGGTGGCGGGTGCTTGTAGTCCCAGCTATTTGGGAGGCTGGGACAGGAGAATGGTGTGAACCCGGGAGGCGGAGCTTGCAGTGAGCCCAGATGGCGCCACTGCACTCCAACCTGGGCAACAGAGTGAGACTCCGTCTCAAAAAAAAAAAAAAAAAAAGACTTTATTTATTTATGTTTGAAGTTCACCTTTGAGACATCACTAGCATGCAGAGGGATCTGGGAGCTCTTACCGGCTTTACAGCTGTGAGGACTCTGTATGCAACAGTGAAGTCTGGGATCCACAGTGTCTGGCACACTGCAAGCCCACAGCTCCAGAAAATATTATCAGCACTGATTTGGGGTCTTCTTTCTGTCATGGCCCAGTGTTTATTGGGGGAAACTAAGAGTTTACACACCTTGCTTGAGGTCACATACCAGCAAGGGGTGGAGTCAAGATCTGAGCCCAAACCCATCTGTTTCCAGGGTGGGAGTTCACCAGAGGTTCCTCCAAATCAGCTTCCGCTGTCAGTGGAGCCAAGGCCAGTTCTCAGGGCCCAGCTCTTGGTGAATATGATCTTGGTTTGATCGACCCCCACCGCTTTACTGCCAAGTGCTGTGGGACCAGGGCCCATAAGGAAGCAAATGTCAGTCTCAGCCTCAGCCCCTCATTCAGAGCTGTACCCCAGAACATGAATCTGGGGGCCCAGATGGGGAAACAGGGCAGGGATGGAGGTGGATTTCCACCTACAGGTTGGGGGCAGAAGGACCAGGCCCCTCACATGGGCAGCTCCTCGTGGCACCTCCTAGTCCCCCACAAGGTGAGTTTGGGGATCTTTGAAGTTCCTTTCATTCACTGGGGCCAGCTGAGAAGTGGTCAGCCTCTTCTGGGTGGCCCCATCCTCTGGGTCTGTTGGGGGCCCACACTCTGTCTCTCCTCTTTCTCAAGAACTGAGAAGTGGGCTAATGGGGAGGGCTCAGCAGTTGTGCAGCTTCATAAAAACCCTTGGTCTTTTTTGAGGTGGGCTGGGAAGGGGAGGCACCACAGCTGTCGTCAGGAAAACCTTGCTGAAGGAGGCAATGGAACAGCTGCACTATTTGGTGCCCGGGGGAGCGGTGTGGCTTGGGGGGCACATAGTAGGAATTCACAAACGTTTATAGAATGGGTGGTTTGCATGCCAGGCTTCTGCTGGGATGCATAAAGGTTCAGGGCAGCCAGTGTGTGCATGTGTGTGAGAATGTATGTGCCCACGTGTCAGGAGAAGGTACCCTCAGATCTGCACCCCACGAAGGGGAATAGGCCCAAACGAGACAAGGATGAAGGGCTGGCCTTATTTCTCTGTACACCTGAGAAAGGTTGGGGATCTCACCTTTCCCCCTGGAGCTGGGGAGGTTACATCTGGCACAGAGTCACTGCTCCCTGGAGGAAGTTAATTAATGCCTCAGTATTTACCAAGTGTCTGCTGGGGCAGCATGGAGCTGGGGCATGGAACCGCTGGGGACCTGGGCTCCCATCAAACCCCAGGTGGTGTCAGCCCTCCATCAGAGCAGTTAACACTTCACAAGTGCACATATGTCTGTGGACACCTTCTGGTCACCCGGGCTTGGTGGCAGGGGACATGGTTAGGAAGGCCCCTGATCCACAGTGGGATTTGCCCTGTTGGCTCCCGGGGGTTAACTTGGGGAAGGGGTCCATAGGCAAAAAACTGTATTGGGGTGTTGTGTTGGAGGAAGTGGGAGAGAAACTTGGAATTCACACATTCATTCATTTTTCATTTGCCTGAGAGATACTTCCAGAATCCTTCTCTGGAGTCCCTGGGAATGGGTCAGGGAACAAGATGTGATTCTGCCTTCAGAAGGCCACGATTCAGAGGGAAGCAGACAAGCTAGATAGACCAGAAAATACTGAGAGCTAAGTCTGTGATTGGAAGGACAGGGCTGGAGGAGGGCAGGTCCAAGGTCCAAGGCTGGTCTGGGAAGTGAGAAGCTGAGACCTGGAGACCAGGAAGAGGGGGGATCTTCTAGCAGCGAGAACAGCAACGAAGGGGCCCAGCCAAAGGCCGGGTCCACAGTGGGCCCTGACCTGTGGCATGAGTGAATCAATGAACCTAAGGATGCAGACAACATTGCTAGTTTGAAGGGCCCTGGAGACCAGATTGACCCCCAGCCTCAATTTCCAGATGGGTAAACTGAGGTCTGGAGAAGAGGAGGGATGTGCTCTGTGTTCAAGACATGGGACCACAGCTGGGGTTGGAAATCAGACGTCTCACCTCCGGGTCCTGCCTCTAGCTGCCCTAGTGCACTGTGTCTCTGGCTGGGAGTGTGGCTTGTTCCAGAGGGGTGGGGACCGAAACCCAGGGCTTCGGGCAGTGGCAGGGAAGGCAGAGGGTGTGGCTGGCCACAGGGGTCACTGTTGAGTCTTCTCTTTCTTAGGCTGAGGAGCCAGTGGCGCTGTAGCTGGTGGACACTGGGGAACGAGGCTAGGGCTGCGGATCTGGGGTAGCCTCCGCTGGCCCCACAGAACTTGCTCCCTGTCACTGGCCCGGGTGGAGGTTAATGACCCCCGCCCTTCGCTGTTGTCTGTGTTTTCCTAGCATAGTCCTGGGCAATAGGCCTAGTGCCCAGAAAGCCACTGTGGCCCTGGCTTCAAGGACCTTAAGTGTAATGAGAAAGACTGACAGTGGTTTGGCTCTTCTTGGAGCTCTCGCTCTTACCAGGCACTGGACCAAGTCTCCCTGAATTTCCACACCAACCTTTGAGGCAGGTTCAGTTATAATTCCCATTTCATGGATGGAGCAACCGAGGCACAGAGAGCTTGGGTGAGTTGCCTGTTCACACCGAAAGGAAGGAGACGTCACAGGGCTCTGGGGGTGGGGGGCGGGGCACTAGGAACTTCGGGAGAGGAATGAGGCTCTTTCGTTTGTCGGTCCTCTGGGTGAATTCTGCACTTGTCCATGGAGTGTGCATAGGGTACAGATGTGATATCTCACATCTGGGGTCCCTGCTCCAGCATCTGGCAAAGGCTGCGTGTTCATTTGTTCATTCATTCATTCATTCATTCATTTATTCACCATGGGCTGAATGCTGGCTAATGTGTAGGGGCTGTGCTAAACTGTGAGGAGCAGGGCAGGCAGATGTCACTCCCCTGAGCCATGCTGAGGCATCCTTGATTCTTTGGAGCCAGATCTGATTGACTAGTGGTGTCTGCCTGGAGCCCTGGGTGCTCCAATTGATTAGTGATGTCTGCCAAGGGCTCAGCTGGAGCTTTTAGGGCAAGCCTGCTGGGAGGTGCTCTGGGGTGAGGATGGGGTGTCCTTCAGTGCTCTGCACATCTGGGTGGCCTAACAGATAGGGTGGAGACTGGGGGGATGGGGGCTGGAGAAATGGGTTCTAGCTTCAGATTGGCCTTGTTATCCTTAGGGAACGCAGATTGCTTCTCTCGGGCCTCAGTTTCCTCATTTGTCACCTGACTCACAAGTGCTTTGAACGTTGAGAGGCACTGTGAAGGGATTAGTACTGAGCTGAGACCGGAAACTTCCCCTGCCCTCTTTTCTCCTTTCTCAAGATCCTGCCTGGAGCTGAGCACTCTGGGCAGGCCAGAGTTAATCCTGGGCCGGGCTGGTGTGTGTGTGTGTGTGTGTGTGTGTGTGCAAGAGTGTGTGTGTGAGTATGCGTGTGTGCATGTGAGTATAAGAGTGTGTGCATGTGTGTGCACATGTGTGAGAGAGAGTGTGTGTGTGTGTGTGGTGGTGGCAGCTCAGCTTTCCTGGCTGAGTTGTTTATAACTCACTCAGTACAGACCTTTGTCCCTTCCCCAGCTCAGCTGGGAGTTTCTAAGGAGTGAGAAGCTCCTTGAGTCTTAGGAATCCTATAATTTTTTTTTCTTTTTTTTTTTTCATTTGAGTGGTGGGAGCTGGCGTACGTGCCTCTCTCCTCCCCACTCCCCACTCCATGAGTAATAACTGTAGACACCATCGTGTCAGGCCCAGGACAACGTGTAACATGTATTATTTGTCATTAATCCTCCAAAGGATCTCACGAGGCGATGGTACTGCATTCCCCCTTTCCCAGACTGAGACCTGGGGAAGTGAGGTTGCACACCTGGAGCCACACCTCTCTCGCTGCTATGTGGGTCCCATCCTCTGGTCTGAGCTTCATCCATCTTTGCCAGCTGTGCTTCGCCCTGGCTCTTTCCACCATTCATTCATTTCCTCACTTGCTCAGTGGTCCTTTCACAAATATTAAGTGCCTACTGTGTGCCACAGCAGCCCCTGCCATCGTGAGCCTCATGTGCAGGCATTCCAGATGGAAAAACAAGCAAGCAGTAAGTAAGCAGATAAATAAATAAGCTTGCGAGGAGGGGATAAGGGAAGTCAGCCAGGCTTGGGGTGGGGCCTAGAGGGAGGGGAGAGTGTCTGGCTCCCAGGCCTCCCACCACCGTCTGGTGCTCCCTGGTGGGCCTGTCCCCCTTCTCAGCTCCCAGACTCTCCAGCCGTCGGTTCTGAAGCTCAAGCTGCACTGGTGCCCCTCCTGCTCCCCACCCTAGTGAATTCTTAATGCTACTTGCACGGAACAAAGCAGTTTTGGTTTTCGTTTTGAGAGCATTTCTCAAAAAATCATTTCTCAAGTGTGTGTGAGGAGAGAGTAGGAGAGCACAGCGAACCCCGGCTGTCTGCCCTCAATTCCTCTCCCAAGCTCCTTTTCATTCCTGTTTAATTTTTTTGAAAAAATGGGGCCAATTAGAATTTCAGTTCCTGACCTTGTGTTGGTGAAAGGGCACCAGGCAGGGCCCTTGACATCTGTGTCCTGTGTCCACCCAGCCCCTTGGGGGCTCAGGCGCTGTCATTGCCTTCGTCATACAGATGAGGAAACTGAGGCATAGGAAGAAGTTTCCGGTCAGGGGCCTCCCACCGAGTGGCGGACTGGAGCGGGGCATGATCCATACTCAGACCTCTCAGCCAGCCTCTTTCCGTACTCCACACTGGCTAGCCCATCACACACACACACACAGACACACACACATGCACACGCACACATCCTACACATACACAAACATGCATGCACACACACGCACCCAAATGTACACATGCTCACAGAAACATACACAAACACATGCACACACCACACATGCACACACAGACACACAAACATGCACACACATGTGCACACACAAACATGATGCGCACACCCACACCCACATATACACATGCTCACACGCACACACACCCTGCACACACCACATATGCACACACATGCACACACAAACATGATGTGCACACAATGCACTCACATATACAAATGCCCACACACATGCACACACACACCCTGCACATACACAAATGCATGCACACACACAGACACACAAACATGCAAACACATGCACACGCACACACCCTGCACACACACACACGGCACACACACATCGTACACACACAGCACACACACGCACATGCACTCACACACACACTTGGGGCTAAGTGAGCTGCCCACAGTCACAATGCCGGCCTCAGGAGGGTAGAAACGAGGGAGGGCGCCTGGCCTGTGGCTTCAAAGGGGCAGAGAAGAGGAGGGAGAGAGATGTGCATTGGGGAGAGTGGAACCTCGTGGTTTGAGGAGGGGGCAGGGCCTTCTCCCAGAACTGACCCCAGAATGTGGCACAGTGGGTCTCTCTGTCTTGTGTCCCGGGTGATGGCCCCCAGTACCCTCTCCTTAGTTTATTTCCTGAGTACTTGCCGTGTCCTCGCCACTAAGTTTTTTGCTTGATGAATCATCTCTGTGAATCCTCCTGATAGAATCTGCAGCAGAGGTACTTTCATTACCACGCCCATTTCACAGGCCGGGAGGCTGAGGCTCAGAGAGGGTAAGCGACTGCACCTTAGACTGGCTTGTCTCCACAGCCAGCTTGCTTAACCCTGACACCTGGCAGGGGAGGGGCGGGGGGCAGGCACTTAACGGGAAGCAGAAGGTGGCTTCCAGGACTCAGAATGGAGGCGCGGGAATATCTGTGTAACCCTGACAATCCTCTACGCTGCTCTTGCTCATTCTTGCAGCCTGGTTTCATGGGTTCCTAGTGCTCTGCTCCGTGGCTGCTCCTCCAGGGACAGCTGCAATGGCCCAGCCTGGTGTCTCATCTTCCCTTCTTGCTGCCTTCATCCTTCCTCATGGCAGCGTCTCTCCTCAGTTCCTGATTTTTCTGCTTGGCAACGAGGACATCTTATTTATTTATTTTATTTATTTAAGAGGGAATCTCACTCTGTTGCCCAGGCTGGAGTGCGGTGGTACGATCTTGGCTCACTGCAACCTCCACCTCCTGGGTTCGAGTGATTCTCCTGCCTCAGCCTCCTGAGTAGCTGGGATTACAGGCGCACGTCACCACATCCGGCTAACTTTCGTATTTTTAGTAGTGATGGGGTTTTGCCATGTTGGTCAGGCTGGCCTTGAACTCCTGACCTCAAGTGATCTGTCCACCTCAGCCTCCCAAAGTGCTGAGATTACAGGTGTGTGAATTACAGGCGTGTGAGCCACCACACCCGGCCCAACGAGGACATCTTTAGTCCTATTGCCTCATTCGTAAGAAAATGGAAGGGATTTTTATAAAGGGCTGTGTGAGATGAGCTATGCTTTGTTGCAGTAACAAATAATTCCTGCTGGACAGTGTGGTTCACCCAGCTACTCTGAAGGCTGAAGTGGGAGAATCTTTTGAGGGCAGGAGTTCAAGACCAGCCTGGGCAACATAGTAAGACCCCTGTCTGTAAAACAAAAACAAACTTCCTGCATCTTTGAGGCTTGATCCAATGAAAGTCTCCTTCTTTCTCTTTTTGAAGGATGTTATATGGGGAAGCCCTAATTGGCATCCCTCCCTTCCATTGGCCAGAGCTGGGTCATGTGTCATCAGCTAGCTGCAAGGGAGCCTGGGAAATTTAGTCCTCAGGTGTGCTCCAGGACTGGCAGCCCTATTTCTCCACATCCAAATGACCTGGTTCAGTGAATACACAGCGTTGCCACTGACACAGGGCCTTGAACAATGAAAAAGTGGATCTTTGACTGGTTCATTGATCACAAAAATAAGCTATGATGCTCTCAGCTGGTGGTAGGGGTGAGGGCATAGTGGGCACCTCTCATCACACAGCTACTAAGAAAATGTTTATTTTTTAACCTGTCTGTCCATCTCCCCCATTAGACTGTAAATTCCCTGAGGACAGGTCCATAAGTCTCTGCTTGGCAGCTTCCTTAGTCCTTGACAAATAATAGATGCCCAATTAGTATTTTCTCAATGAACAAACATTGCCTTCTTGAAAGGATTTTGGTGAACAACTGTTTAGCTTCTCATGCATCAGATGTGTACAAAAATATATTTTCACATCACAGCAGTCTAGCATGAAGCCCTTTTTTTTTTGAGACAGGGTCTTGCTCTGTTGCCCAGGCTGGAGTGCAGTGGTGTGATCGTGGTTCACTGCAACCTCCGACTCCCGGGCTCAAGAGATTCTCCCGCCTCAGTCTCCTGAGTAGCTCGGAATAAAGGTGCACGCCAGCATGCCTGGCTAATTGTTGTATTTTTTTTTTTTTTGGTAGAGATGGGGTTTTGCCATGTTGCCCAGGCTGGTCTCAAACCCCTGGGCTCAAATGATCTGCCTCCTTAGCCTCCCAAAGTGCTGGGATTACAGGCATGAGCCACCATGCCTGGCTGAAGGCCCTCTTTTAAAAAAAGTTTTAATCAGTCTTGTCCTTCTGCTAAGGTTGAGCACTGCTGTTTAATCAACAAGCATCATTCTTTTATTTTTCTTGAGACAGAGTCTTGCTCTGTCGCTCAGGCTAAAATGCAGTGGTGCGATCTCGGCACACTGCAACCTCTGCCTCCCAAGCTCAAGTGATTCTCCTGCCTCAGCCTCCCAGGTAGCTGGGATTACAGGCGCCCAACAACATGCCGGCTAATTTTTGTATTTTCAGTAGAGACAGGGTTTCACCATATTGGCCAGGCTGGTCTTGAAGTCCTGACCTCAGGCGATCCACCCGCCTCGGCCTCTCGAAGTGTTGGGATTACAGGCTTGAGCCACTGCACCCGGCCCCATTCACTGTTGATTCATTCACTGATTCTTTGATGACTAGAGGGATGGATCGATTCACTCCTTCAGCGGACATTTGTTGAGTATCTACTATGTCTGATGCCCTTTCCAAGACAGAAGAGAAGGGGAAGGGACAGTGGCTTGCAATATACCCACAGAGACGGGGTTTTCTAATTGTCTAATGAAATCGATAATATTTAATTCTATGAAACCACAGCTTGATGGTCTCACCGTAATATCATACACTGAATTTAATCTATTCTAAGTCACCACCTTCCTCCCATATCTAACATCTCTAAAATTGAGAAGTGTCTTACCATTGATAACACCTTCGATTTGGCAAAGTCAGGCCATTATACTCATTGGACTAGTTAACGTTTATCTATCTATCTATCTATCTATCTATCTATCTATCTATCTATCATCTATCTATCTATCTATCTACCTATCTGATGGAGTCTTGCTCTTGTTGCCCAGGCTGGAGTGCAGTGGCGTGATCTTAGCTCACTGCAACCTCTGCCTCCCGGATTCAAGTGATTCTCCTGCCTCAGCCTCCCGAGTAGCTGGGATTACAGGCGTGTGCCACCACACCCCGCTAATTTTTGTATTTTTAGTAGAAACGAGGTTTCACCATGTTGGTCAGGCTGGTCTGGAACTCCTGACCTCAAGTGATCCTCCTGTCTTGGCCTCCCAGAGTGCTGGGATTACAGGCGTGAGCCACCACGCTCGGCCTGTTCATTTACTTTTTTATAGCCTAAGTGAACACTGAGATAATGAACATTTACAAGGCAGGCATGACATACAGCATGCCCCATCATCTCACACTTAGTGACTAGTTAGTTCTGTCCCTGTGTTGGTTAGGGCGGCCTATTAGGGTCACGGAGAGGGGAAGGGAACCATTGTTTCTTTCGAACTGAGTATATATTTGGCAGTGTGCTTGTTCATGACACAAGATTTTTAAAAACACCCCACCAAGCGCTTGTATCATCTCCATTTTACGGGGGATTTTAAGAGACCAGGGCTTTGCTGGAATCCCTCATTGGAAGAGCTGCGGTTCCAACCAGTGCTGCCCTATTCCGGAGCCCATACTCTGAATCACCCTCCACTGCTGCGTGCAGATGCCCACGCTGGGATGCAGTCGCCAGCCCCATTTCGAAAGAGGGAACTGAGGTCCACAGAGCTCACCTGCTCTTCTTAGACTCACAACGTCAGAAAGTCATAGGGCTGGGGTGTGAACCCCAGTCTCTTATTTCCCAGAACCCAAATGCTAATGGCTCTACTCTCCTGCATCTGGCTTCCCCAGGGCCTTAAAAATGAGGCTGGACTGACAGGGGGAGGGTCCTGAGACCAAGCCTGGAAAGGGAGTCTCTTTGAGCCCTTCTGTCTTTAAGATTCGGGATGAGGATGCCCGGGGCATGCCCGCCATGCCCACTAGGTTAGTTTTGGGCCAGAGGGAATCAGATTCTGATGAAGCTGAAAAGGCAGCTGATAAAATGAGTGACAGCAGCCTTTCTTACAGCATCAGAGGGGCCCGGTGATGGGAGGCGATCCTTGTGAACATTTTAGTGGGACTTAAGCAGTTTTGGAAACTCCATAACTAAATTTGATTGTAAACAAGCATGAGAATAGGCTGGGTGGGGTGGCTCAGGCCTGTAATCCCAGTGCTTTGGGACAGCAAGGCAGGTGGATTGCTTGAGGCCAAGAGTTTGAGAGCAGGCTGGGCAACATAGCGAGATCCCATTTCTACAGATAAAAAAGACTTAAACAAGGCCAGGTGCGGTGGCTCACACCTGTAATCCCAGCACTTTCGGAGGCCGACGCGGGTGGATCACGAGGTCAGGAGTTTGAGACTAGTCTGACCAACATGGTGAAACCCAGTCTCTACTAAAAATGCAAAAATTAGCTGGGTGTGGTGGCAGGTGCCTGTAATCCCAGCTACTCAGGAGGCTGAGGCAGGCGAATTCCTTGAACCCGGGAGGCAGAGGTTGCAGTGAGCTGAGATTGCGCCACTGGACTCCAGCCTGGGCGACAAAGCGAGACTCCATCTCAGAAAACAAACAAAAAACAACAACAAAAAAAATCCAAAGACTTAAACAAAACTTTAAAAAATGTGTATAGCTCTGACAGTAGGCTTTGTGCTGAACTCCCTGGCATGGGTTCCACCTCTTCTCTGTTGAGGAAGAGTCCTGCGGTTTAGGTGGTATTGGCCTCACTCCCCAGTTCCAGGACTGGCAGCCCCATTTCCCCACTGGGCAGGAGTGGGACAGAACCCAGGTCTAAAGACAACCAACACAGAGTTTAGGTACTATTTGATTCCTATGAGGTAGGAATTTCCATCAGCTCCATCTTACAGATAAGAAAACTGAGACTCAGGCTGGCTGCAGTGGCTCACGCCTGTAATCCCAGCACTTTGGGGGGCTGAGGCGGATGGATCATTTGAGGTCAGGAGTTTGAGACCAGCCTGGCCAACATGGTGAGACCCCGTCTCTACTAAAAATACAAAAATTAGCCAGGTGTGGTGGCGCATGCCCGTAATCCCAGCTACTTGGGAGGCTGACGCGGGAGAATTGCCTGAACCAGGGAGGCAGAGGTTGCAGTAAGCCGAGGTTGGCCACTGCACTCCAGCCTCGGTGACAGAGTGAGACTCTGTCCCCCCTCCAAAAAAAAATGTGGAGAGGAGACACATGGAGATGACTTGAATCTAACCCACAGCTTGGAACGTGGTTTGGCTGATTCACAACTTGGAACAAAACTACCCAGTTGAGCCCAGGCTAGACCAGGCAAACTGCAGTCAACTTACAGACCCATGAATGTGAGAATAAATGTTTGTGCAGGCCTTTGAAAATTTGACATTGTTACACAGCATCCTTACGGCAAAAGCTGACTGGTACATAAATATTAAGTGACTTGATTAAGGCCATACATCTGATTTGTGGAAGAGCCAGAGTCTAGAATTTTGGCCTCCTTGGACTCGCCAGCCAGCGCTTATCTGGATGCTTCAGGAAAGGCATCAAATTGCAACCAGTAATGAGAAGAGCACCGGAGGTGACACTCCCTGTAGGCATCGGGGCTTTTTCTAGCTTTCTTTCTTTCTTTCTTTTTTTTTTTTTTTTTGGAGACGGAGTTTGGCTCTGTTGCTCAGGCTAGAGTACAAGGGCACAATCTCGGCTCATGCAACCTCTGCCTCCCAGGTTCAAGTGGTTCTCCTGCCTTAGCCCCCCGACTAGCTGGGATTATAGGCATGGACCACCATGCTGGGCTAATTTTGTATTTTTAGTAGAGATGGGGTTTCACCATGTTGGCCAGGCTGGTCTTGAACTCCTGACCTCAAGTGATCCGCCCACCTCAGCCTCCCAGAGTGCTGGGATTACAGGCGTGAGCCACCGTGCCTGGCCGTAGCTTGCTTTCTTTGTCTAATGGAGACAGTAAACCTGCTGTACAGAAACACATCGCTGACTACTCTTTGCATTTCATCACCATAGGCAAGTTTGGAGATGGATAATTTTTGGAGGGAAAACTATTAGTAATTTTTCTGTTGTATGAGCTTTAAGGAAATTTGGCAAGACAACTACAGGTTCTCAGAAGTTTTTTTTTTTTTTGAGACAGAGTCTCACTCTTTCACCCAGGCGGGAGAGTGGTGGCGTGATCTTGGCTCACTGCAAGCTCCACCTCCCGGGTTCACGCCATTCTCCTGCCTCAGCCTCCCAAATAGCTGGGACTACAGGCGCCCGCCAACATGCCCAGCTAATTTTTTGTATTTTTTAGTAGAGATGGGGTTTTACTGTGTTAGCCAGGATGGTCTCGATCTCCTGACCTCGTGATCCACCTGCCTTGGCCTCTCAAAGTGCTGGGATTATAGGGATGAGCCACCGCGCCCAGCTGGTTCTCAGAATTTTTTTGCCTTCTCAGAGGCTGTTTAATTGGTAAGCCAACTTTCTGTTTAAAAAGTCTCTTTCTTAAAAACGTGATACATTTTAGATGCATTTGTGAATATGAATTGTCCTTTGAGTGTTGCTTTGGCTGCATCCTATAAGTTGTAGTATGCAATACTCTCATTTTATTTAATGTCCAAATAGGGTGAAACATCAAAATAGTATGTAATTTTTTTTGAATCCCCTCTTTATTTCAGGAGTTATTCGGGAGACGGTTTTCAAGTTTCCACCAAGTTAGATTTTTAAAAATAAATTTCTGTGTGAGGTTGAGGTGAGAGGATCACTTGAGGCCAAGAGTTTAAGACCAGCCTGGGCAACATAGTGAGAACCTGTCTCTACAAAACATAAAAACTTAGCCAGGTGTGGTGGTGTGCACCTGTGCCTAGCTACTTAAGAGGCTGAGGTGGGAAGATTGCTTGAGCCTGGGACATTGAGGTGGCAGTGAGCTATGATGACACCACTGAACTCCAGCCTGGGCAACAGAGTAAGACCCTATCTCAAAAAAATTAAAAACCATCACCACCACCACCAACAATCAATCTCTAGCTGTTAATTTAACATTTCCATTTCATTGTGTTGAGAATGTATCTTATTTAGGAACCCATTGAAATCTTCTTTGTGCCCTAATACCATGATAATTAAATGTTCTGTGGGATTATTATTTTCAAGAGTGCAAGTTTTTGACAGCTCTGAATACCTGCAAATACTTGCAATCCAAGGACTCCCCTCTGCTTCCTGGCATCATATACAAGGATTTGAACTGAAAATTGGGGGGACATTTGTTTTAAGAGAAAATTCCCCAAGTTCCAGCCCAGCCAGGTGTCTGTTTCTGCTGGTGACTTTGGGCTCTTCTGAAGAGCTGGGTTTTGTTGGTTGGCTCCTGTGGTGTTGTTATAACAAACATGAATGAGTCCTGCAAACAGGAGGTCCAAATGGAAGAAGCACTTAATTAATATTTGACTCCTGCTGGGCATGTTTAGGGGTGGGTAGAGGAGGCTGATTTTTGGTTTTCTGGTTTATTCACTTTTCTGCTTTCCCCTCTGCTAATTACTGCATTACGCTCTCCTCTTTATTGATACAATTTGCATTTTAAAAGTGATCTGGGAGATGCGGAAAGACTATTTGGCCACAACGAACTTTTCACAAATCAAATGATCCTCCCCAGCTTCTTGTACGGGCAGTTTCCTGGTCTGCACAGCCATGGCCTCAGTGCTGCGGCCCCATTAGTAGTTTGGTACACCTGGTTGAGAGCGCGGCTCTGCCAGTGACTAGTGTGGAATAACAGTCACCAGGGTTTGCTGGGTTCTCACCTGCTGCTAAGCGCTCCCATCTCATCGCCTTCATGGCTCTGCTGTGGGGGTGGGACTTACACTCCCCCATTTTCCAGGGAAGGAAACCGAGATTTGCACAGGCTAAGCCAGTGCTTCTCAGACCTGGCTGTGCCTCAGAATCACAGCAGGGCTTGTTCATGACACAGAGTCTCAGGAGGGAGGGCCAGGTCACACTGACCCAAACTTGAGTCTAATCCGCACTTCCCTCTTGTCCTCCCTGTCACCTAGCACTTCCTGCCTCCCAGGGGCAGCTGGGGGTTCTCTGAGTTCCAGAAAGAGGGAGACATGGGAACAGGTGAGGACGCAGGGGACAGAGCTGCCTCACGTGCCATGCTGGGGCCCCTCGAGAGTACCCACCTCATTCCCTGCTCTCCCTGAGGTGCCCTGAGACCCGACTGAGCCTCAGCCAGCCTCTTGTCTCCTCTCTCAACATCCAGGGTGGCGAGACTCCAGCCTCCCTCTCTCCGTCCCTCCCCAAGCCCTGCCTGTGCCATGCCCTGAGGAAGACTCTGGAGGAGTGCATGGTCTTATGGGGGAGACAGTGTCTCGGGTGAGCTGCCTCTACAGTCAGCCTTTCCCCACACTCAGAGGAGAGCACCCAGGAGCCAACTCTCAGCCCTCCTGTGGGTTCTTTGTGCCTAGAATACAATCCCCTCTCTGTTCCCAACCCTTCAAACTCTCCCCTTCCAAAGCTGCTTCCTCCAGGAAGCCTTCCTTGATCTCCCCGTTAGAACCATCCACTGTTCTTTGTCCCTGTGACTGTGAACATCTCTGCTTAGCAAACATGTCATGGATCCAGGTTCACACTGGTGTCTGTTAATCCTGCTATCCTCCCCACTCAGTGGCCAGCTCCTCCTGGTAGGCGAAATCAGTGGTGGGGGCACCCACTTTGGAGGCAGAAGGACCCAGGGTCTGGATCTGGGACTGCCTCGGGCATTTTTCCCTGGGGAAAAATCATTCTCTTCTTGTAGGTCTCCCCTTACCTACCCCCGACCTGACTTAGGGTAGCAGCTAACTGCCGCTTTATCCCTTCAGCTCTCCCGTCCTGGTGCTGCCACATGCCCACCCTGGAAATTCAATGGAGTTATTTAACCCCTGAGCCTCAGTTTCCTCATTTGTTAAACAGGGATAAGAGGAGCCCACCCAAGCTGGTAATCCCAGAACTTTGGGAGGCCAAGGCAGGAGGATTATTTGAGACCAGGAGTTTGAGACCAGACTGAGCAACATAGCAAGGCCCCATTTCTACAAAATAAAAAACTAGCCTGTAGTCCCAACTACTAGGGAGGGTGAGGTGGGAGGATCGCTTGAGCCCGGGAGTTCAAGGCTGCAGTGAGGTATGATTGAGCCACTGCACTCCAGCCTGGGTGACAGGCAAGACCCTGACTCTAAAAAACCAAACCAAACAAAAAAAACAAATAAATAAAGTAAAAAAAGAAGAGCACTTGTGTGACGGGGTGGCATGAAGATTCAGAGAGACAGCGCATGGCGCTTGGCACGAGGCACCCGTCAGTGCCAGCCCTCCTCCGATAGTGACCAGTCCCCAGATTTATCAACCCCCCACCCCATGGCATTTGGATTTGAAGGTGAGAGGAGCCCTCCTTCCCGTACCCGAAAGAAGAGGAGGAAGAATCATGGGGTTGCTGACCCTGAATCTGGCTGCTTCCCTAAAAGACCGTCCACAAAGACCACCAAGTCCCACACACTAACTTCTCAGGGAAACTGAGGCCCAGAGAGGGGGGGGCACTTGCTCAGGGTCACACGGTGTGGCCCTGGAGGAATCCAGGCTCTGTAGGTCTGATAGAATCATGCTGGCACTCTCCCCTTTGGGGCTGAGTTTGCAGTTCAGGTCTGGAGACTCCGGGCCGCAGGGCACCTCAGGGGTCTGTTCTGCCGCATCGAGCCCTTCACTCCTGCATTCAAGCATGTTTCTTAAGTGGCCGCTCTGTGCTGGCCCCTCTGCTGACGGTGAGGGTCTCCGACGTGGCCTGGTGATGAGTTGGGATTTGTGGTTAGCTGCGACTCACAGAAACCCAACAATGATGACTTGAGCGGGAAGCACACGGTGCTGTGGGAGGCAGTCAGGCCTGGGCAGCCTCTGGAGACGCCCTTCTGGCCACCTAGCACGTGGCTTTCCTCTTTGTGGCAGAAAACGGCTGCTTCACCTCCAGCTCTCAGGACAGCATTCCAGGCAGGAAAATTGGGGTGGTGATTGGGAAAGGGTGAAGGGCAAAGTACAAAAGGCCCCTGCCAGGTGAATTCCTCTTTTTTTCAGAAAAACAATTGATTTCCTGGTCATTCTTAGCAGGAGACTCCTAATTTCATCTCATTGCTAGAATTAGGTAAAGCAGCCCAGCTAGCTGCAAAGGAGTCTGGGAAGTGAGTATTTGTATCTGGGCATATTTGCCCACTTGAACAAAACAGGGTTCTGTTAGGAAGGTAGCTGGGGACAAAATGGACACCGAACTGTCCAGCAGCGTTCTTACTCAGCGAACAGGGTTTCTGCCCTCAAGGCGCACCCACATCTGCTTGGCCACATACATTTGGACCTTTTTGCTGGAGCACGAAGTAGGATGTTGCTGGCATGTGCCCTGGAGGGATGCCCAGCAGTCTCCTACCATCTCCAGAGGGAGTGTCCTGTGCCCAGCACAGTGCCTGGTGCGTGGTAGGGGTCCAATCAATATTTGCTGTGACTCAAGGGAGGAGTTTCTAGATAGTAGTGTTTCTGGTGCATTTTCCATGACCCAGACCAGCTTTAAAAATTTTTTTGCATTGTATTTATTTATTTTATTTATTATTATTATTTTCTGAGACAGTCTCACTCTGTTGCCCAGGCTGGAATACAGTGGCATGATCTTGGCTCACTGCAGCCTCCTCCTCCTGGGTTCAAGCGATTCTCCTGCTTCAACCTCCTGAGTAGCTGGGACTACAGGTTCACGCCAACACACCTGGCTAATTTTTATGTTTTTAGTAGAGACAGGGTTTCGCCATGCTGGCCAGGCTGGTCTCGAACTCCTGACCTCAAGTGATCCGCCTGCCTTGGCCTCCTAAAGTGCTGGGATTACAGGTGTGAGCCACCGCACCTGGCCTTTCTCTTTCCTTCCTCTCTCCCTCCCTCTGTCTGTCCGTCCCTCCCTTCCTTCCTTCCTTCCTTCTTTCCTTTCTTTTGAGACAGAGTCTCACTCTGTCGCCCAGGCTGGAGGGCAGTGGTGAGATCTTGGCTCACTGCAACCTCCGCCTCCCGGGTTCAAGCGATTCTCCTGTCTCAGCCTCCTGAGTGGCTGGGACTATAAGCACATGCCACCACCACGCCCGGCTAATTTTTGTATTTTTAGTAGAGACGGGGTTTCACCATGTTGGTCAGGCTGATCTCGAACTCCTGACCCTGTGATCCACCCATGTTGGCCTCCCAAAGTGCTAGGATGACAGGCGTGAGCCACTGCACCCAGCCATTTTCTTTTCTTTTCTTTTTTTAGAGACAGGGTCTTGCTGTGTTGCCCAGGCTGGAGCAGAGTGCAGTGGCGTCATCATGGCTCACTGCAGCCTCGTCCTCCCCGGCTCAGGCAATCTTCCCATCTCTTGAGTAGCTGGGACCACACGTGCATGCCACCATGCTTGGCTAATTTTTAAAATTTTTGTAGGGGCTGGGTGTGTTGGTTCATGCTTGTAATCCCAGCACTTTGGGAGGCCAAGGTGGGTGGATCACTTAAGGTCAGGAGTTCAAGACCAGTCTGGCCAACATGGTGAAACCACATCTCTACTGAAAATACAAAAAATTAGCTGGGCGTGGTGGCGGGCGCCTGTAGTCCCAGCTGCTCAGGAGGCTGAGGCAGGAGAATCGCTTGAACCCAGGAGGCAGAGGTTGCAGTGAGCCAAGATCTCACCATTGCACTCCAGCCTGGGCAACAAGACTGAAACTCCGTCTCACAAAAACAAAACAAAAAAATAAATTTTTTGTAGACAGATCTTGCCATGTTTGGCGAGGCTGGTCTCAAACTCTTGGCGTCAAGTGATCCTCCGCCTTGGCCTCCCAAAGTGCTGGGATTACAGTTATGAGCCACTATGTATGGCCCAGTCCAGCTTTTGTATTGGTTTACATGAGGCTTTTAGTTTGGATCTTTATTCAATGCCTCTTCTGTGGATGAGATGGTGTGGGGTACAGAGGCAGGGGTGCTAAGACCAGCCCCTCCTGCAGGGAGAAGGCCACGATCCTCCCTGACTCTTGTGGGGGCTTCCGTAATGCCCAGTACTGAGTCCCCTACCCTGGGACCTGTGCTCTGCCTCTGGAATGGAAGCCACTCTGTAACCCCTAAAACCAGAGAAATTGGCAGCTGCTCCCTTGGCTGAGAACATCGCTGACTCCAAGTGCCCCAGTGCTCTCCACTCATCATTTCACAGACGACCCTGAGGGAGGCAGGGCCAGTGCGGCCTCATTCCACAGACGAGGAAACAGTCTCGGCCACTTGGCCAAGGTCCCAGAGCTTGTAAGGAGCAGATCTGGGATTTGAACCCAGGTCTGTTCAATGCCAGAGTAACTGCCCTCTGTCCGGGCTGGCTGACACCACCCGTCATTTATTAGGCAGCAAATGGTTATCCCGTCCTCTGGGCTTAGGGCTTATGGCTGTGTTTGCGGGGTGGGGATGGAGTGGGAGGCGGGAAACATTCCTAGTGGTGGGAAACCAGATGTGGGTGCAGGGAGAGACGCTGGGAGAGGTGCCAGGTGTCAGGGGCCACGCTGTGACATCTCCTCCTGGTGGAGGGTTCCAGCCCAGGGCAGGGGACGGAAGCTTCGGTGGCCCCTACGCTGAGCCTGGCATCTCTCGGGTCTCCTAGTGCTTAGAGCTGACACGGGGATCAGTGCTTGGCTGGCGCTTGCCAGAGGCAGTGTTTCTCTCCTTCCTTCTTCCCTTTTTTTCTGAGACAGTGATCTTGGCTGTGGCGCCGAATCCGCTCTATGGGAAAAACTTGTTTTTGTCGGTAAACTCGAGCGTTATGACTCAGAAGACACCCAGGGAGCAGCCTCGTGGTGTCAAGGGGCCGCTCTGCTAATGAGCTAATGCTTAGGAAGTGCTTTGAAGACGAAAAATTCCACACGAGGGTTGAGGGTGTGTGCTGTTATTTGGGGGAGAGGGTGAATAGGAGGATGAAGTGGAGGGAAAGGGGCAAAATCTTGCTAAGGAACAGCCCCCCGAGACCCTCGGGCTGCGCGGCAAGGCTGGCTTTGCGTGTTGCTGATGCAGGCGTCTGTCTGGGCAGAGGCACCAGCTGCCCCTTTGTTCAGAACAAGGCAGATCTGAACTGGGTGGGACACGCGGCTTTGATTTAGTTTTTCTTCCGGGGGAGGGGGCGGGCTGGGGTGGGAAGGGATGGGACTTGGGTGACTCCTGTCGTCTAGCCTGAGATCTTCCAGTCTGGAAGCAGCTGCTGTCATTCATTCATTCAACAAACACATCGACCTGCGCCAGGCATGGGCCATGGAGCAGGAAACGAAGATAGTCCCTGTCCTCTTGAAGTTTATGGCCTGGAGGGGGAGATGACATCTAACAGATGAAGACGTCAACCACCTTGCAGTTAGAATTGTGAAAGGGTGGCGGCAGAGAGACACCTAAAGTCATGGGTGCGGGAACCACAGATGTCCCAGCCCAGGTCTGGGAGTGCCAGGAAGGCTTTCCCAGGAGGAACAGCTCAAAGGAAAGAGTGGGGGTTTCCAGCTCCCAGGCAGAGAGACAGGACACATCAGCAGAGAGATTGGCATTAATTAATACACTGAATAAATGGCCGGGCCTGGTAGCTCACGCCTGTAATCCCAGCACTTTGGGAGGCCAAGGCGGGTGGGTCACCTGGGGTCAGGACTTTGAGACCAGCCTGGCCAACATGATGAAACCCCATCTCTACTAAAAATACAAAAAATTAGCCGGGCGTGGTGGTGGGTGCCTGTAATCCCAGCTACTTGAGAGGCTGAGGCAGGAGAATAGCTTGAACCTGGGAGACAGAGGTTGCAGTGAGCCAAGATCGCGGGACTGCACTCGTCTGGGTGACAAAAGCGAAACTCTGTCTCCAAAACAAAACAAACAAAAAAGACACTGAATAATTCATCCAGCAAACCTTTATTGAGTACTTACTATATGCCACACACTGGGGACACAGAGGCACTCAACACAGGCAGCCGGACTCCCTATGGAGCTGCCGTTCTGTGCACCAAGCAGATGAAGAAGCAGGTAGAGAAAGCAGCAGACAGCAGTAAGGAGTGGTGGGGAAAAGAAACCGACTCATGGGGTAGAGGGGCCTGGGGAGGCTCCTACAGATTGTGCGGCAGAGAGGGAAGGCGTTTTTCAGGACGTGGGGTTTAAACTGAGACCGCCAGAGTGGTAAGGAAGAGCCAGCAGCCTCTAGCCGGCCCAGCCAGTGCAAAGGTCCTGAGACAGGAATAAGTTCAGTGTGATCAGAGAACTAAGAGAGGCCAGCGCAGTGGCGGGCACGCAGTGAGCCCCAAGGAGAGTGAGAATGCAAGTTCTGCAGGGGTTCCTCGTGAAGGGCTGGCTGTGTAGCATAAGTATTACGTTCATTGTAAATAAAGAAACTACTAATACAGGGGCTTATACAGACAGAAGATTTTGCTTTAGCCAATGATAAGCCTTCGGTGGGTAGTCGGGTTGGTGTAGTAACTTACAGATGGCACGGCCACCCCTGCTCTATCTTCCCTTTCACTGTCTTCAGTGTGGAGGCTGTGTCCTCACAGTTGCTGCCTCATGGTCACAAGATGGCTGCGGCACCTCCGGGCCTCACATCCATGTTCCAGGCAAGAGGAAGGAGAAGGAGCAAAAGGCCGAAGAGCAAAGAGTGAGAGGGCCTTTTCCTTGCCAGCTCCATCTCTTTATTCAGAAAGGGAATTGCTCCTCAGGGACTTTTGTTCTAACTTACTGGCTAGATCTGGGTTACATGGCCACCTTGGACAGCAAGGAGGCTTGGAAAATCGAGGTTTTCTTTTGTTTGTTTGTTTTGTTTTTGAGATGGAGTTTTGCTTTTGTTGCCCAGGCTGGAATGCAATGGTGCAATCTCGGCTCACTGCAACTTCTGCCTCCCGGGTTCAAGTGATTCTCCTGCCTCAGCCTCCTGAGTAGCTGGGATTATGGGCCCCTGCCACCATGCCTGGCTAATTTTTTATATTTTTAGTAGAGATGGGGTTTCACCATATTGGCCAGGCTGGTCTTGATCTCCTGACCTCAGGTGATCCACCTGCCTCATCCTCCCAAAGTGCTGGGATTACAGGCGTGAGCCACAGCGCCTGGCCCCCAGAAAATCAAGTCTTAAAATTTTGCTGGTCTCTATAGTAGAAGGAGGAAAGGGAGAAGAGCTTGGGTTGACTTTTGGGGTGCAATCCTAAAGGCCTGCAAAGGCCCGAAGGAGGGAAGGCCTTGGTGAATTCTGGGGACAGAAAGCCCCAGGGGTCAGGGGCAGGGGTCAGGGTGAAGAGTGCAGACTTCATCTGGAGGACCGCAGGGAGCCATGGTGCGTTCAGATTTGCTGAAGCTGCTATTTAAACTGAGCACTGGAGACACGTCACCGAGGGAGGCCCATTCCCTGCTCACCTCAGAGACTTGACGGGGGCATCCTCAGGGCTCCGATGAAGCCCTGATTCCTTGGAGAAAGGCTTGCAGCCCCTCTCCTTCCTGGATTGCACACCTCCAGCCCTGGCAGCCTGTCCCCTGGTTGGCACCCAGCAGCAGGCCACAGATGGCTTCTGGCTGTCCCATGGCGTCGCATCAGGGCATGCAGCGGATAGTGACTCACACTGGCACCTCTTCTGCTTGGAAAATGCCCTACACATCCATCATCTTTGGTTTTTCTGCTAGAACGATGGCATGAGGTGGGTGTATTTTTCACTGATGGGGAACAGGCAGAGACGCAAGCTCCCTTGCTTGAATGAGGACTGTGCTCGCCCTGCAGACTCTGGAAGAAGGGCTCCATGCTCAGCCCGCACTGGGCATCTCTGCCTGCCTGCTCAGGGTAGAAGGGCCACTCTCTTAGGGATGATTCAAGGGTCTTGGAGGCCCTATGCGGTCAATCTTGTTTTCCTGCCACATCAAGGGAGTGTGCAATTTTCGAGGCCCCGAGCCCTGTGTTTTCACTGAGGGCAGACATAGGGCATTCGCTGTCTTTGCCCGTGGAGCTGTTCCTCACACTAACCATGCAGGGCTGGGTGGGAGACATGTATGGGGGGTGGGGTGGGGTGGGAGGGGGCCAAGAAGACATGTAAGACCCGGGGCCCTGTCCTTGGGAGTTTAACATCTGGGTGGGCCTCCTTGGACCAACTTCCTCTGATCTGCTTGTGACTTCGGGAAAGTCCCTTCCTGTCTCTGGGACAATTTTTTTTTTTCTTTTTTTTTTTTTGAGACAGAGTCTCGCTCTGTCGTCAAGGCTGGAGTGCAGTGGCATGATCTCGGCTCACTGCAACCTCCGCCCCCTTGGGGCAAGCGATTCTCCTGTCTTAGTCTCCCAAGTAGCTGTGACTACAGGTGCGCACCGCCATGCCTCCCTAATTTTTGTATTTTTAGCAGAGACAGGGTTTCACCATGTTGGCCAGGCTGGTCTCGAACTCCTGGCCTCAAGTGATCCACCCACCTCGACTTCCCAAACTGCTGGGATTATAGGCACGAGCCACCACGCCTGGCCTCTGGGCCAATTTCCTCATCGGTATAATGAAGGGGTTGGCAGGGCTAGTTCTGAATTTTCCCAACCCACCCATAAAATTCACCCTTCAAATTCTAAAGATTCCATTCCGTGGTCTAACTCTGTGTGTCTGTCCTTGGTTCCAAAAGTCCCCGTCCTTGTGGCCCCTGTTGTTTTGGACCCATCACAGGTAATTATGTATTTGTGTGATTAAACATCCCTGGCCTGTCTCCCTGCCTGGGCTGTGTGCTCAGCAAAGAACCATGCCTGTCTCTGTCTTTGTCCTTTAAGAGATCAGCACAGGGCCTAGCGCATAGTAGGTGCTCACTAAATACTGTAGCAGCTGGTATTGTTGGGAAATGATGCTGGGAGAGGCTGCTGCTGGAGAGAAGGGAGCCACCGACCGCCCTGCAGGCAGTCAGCGCCCTCAGTCCCTTCCTCCTCGCGGGCCGCAGAGGCTCCCCTTTCCCCGAGACGATAAGAATGCCCAGACGCCCCAAAACCCAGGCCGCGCCCCTCCGGGTAGAACTACAGTCCCCAGAAGGCCGCGAGGGGCGGAGCCACCAGCGCCCGCCCCGCCCGGGCCCGCCATGCCGCACAGCATCATGGGAGTTGTAGTTCAGGCCCTGTCCCCCGGGCAGCCGCTGGCGCGGACGTTCGCGGAGCAGCCCGGCGCCCGCGCGGCTCACGGGGCCCTAGGACCCCTCCCCTGGGGGACCTCCACCCTCCGCAGGCCTTTTGAATTAATCCTACTGCGCCGGGGACCCCAGGACAGTTCTGTCGCGTACTCCCGGGACCCTTTAAGGGGCGGGGCTGGGATCCTGCCCCACCCTTGACTCCCCCACCCTCCTCTCTCAAACATCACCCCGGGCGCTTTAAAACGCTTGATCTCGCTGGAACCTTTTCGGTCTCCGTTAGCCACACCTTGATTGTCGAGTGTGTGTCTGGCCCTTTGGGGACAGCGCTTAAAGTCGGGGTGGGCGGGGGAGGGGATCACCGACATTCAGTCTTGAGTGACACACCAGATGACCCCACCGGAGAGGAGGAGGGTGGCACAGGGGCCTGACGGACCTGGGGTATGGGCAAGGCTTCCAGGGGCCGGTGACATTCAGACTAGGCCTGGGTTGGCCAGGGCAGGAGCAGGGAAGGGTGTTCCAGTCAGAGGGAACAGCATGAAGGAGGGCTTCGAGGCTTTAGGGGAAGCAAAAGAAGGCCTGGGAGGCTGGCAGGCAGAGAACGGCTGGGGAGGGGCCGCTGGGAGGGGTGGAGAGGTGAGTAGGGCCCGTGGGAAGCACCTGGCGAAGAGTGTTTCTGATCCCCAAATCCAGTATGCGTGCCGGGTTCTCGGGCAGAGTGGCCAGGCGGAACGTGACCAGGGTTCAGTGGCAGAGCCTGGAACCAGCCTGGGGGTCCTGCTTCTCAGGCCCCGGCGTGTCCTTAGGGGAAGGGGAAGGAGACTTCCCAGGGCAGGGCTGCAGCAAGAGCTGGCACAATGCCATCCTCAGGGGGCACAATGCCCCCTCAAATCCCAGAAGCAAGGGGTTTGAGGAGGGAGTATGGGATATATGGGGAGGAGCAACATCCCTGCTGCTTGGAGGGGGAAACTGAGACCCTCACAGATTTTTGCTGAGTGAGCTTCTGTGAGGTCCAAGAAAAATCTTTTCCTCCCCGGCCTCTAGCTGTCAGGAGCCCGCCATGAAAAATAGGGGAGGGTCATTTTCACACCCTCCCCCATTCCAGATGTGGCAGGAGCAGGAAGGATTTGTGCCAGATGTTGGGGTCTGCGGGCCCAGCAAGTTGCCTGGGGCTCTGCTATTGAAAAGTGAACCTTAACTGGGTTGGCTGCGCTAGCGGTGATGGCCGTGAGATCCTGGGGGATGTGCTCCGTGGCCCTGGTCATGTCTGAAGGGAGAGGCAGGGAGCCCAGGCCTCACTGTCAGCAGCACCTGACTTTTGCTTCCACGGTCACCCTGGCAGATCCTTCTCAGCCTGCTTGACTCAGGGCATGACTTCCCTGCCTGGATCCCAGGCTTCCTACCCTGCCCCTCGGGCCCCTGGACTTCTCCAGAGTGTTCTGGACACGAGTGGTCCAGCAGAAATGAAGCTCCTTACCCCACTGAAAACGTCGGGTGTCTGTGCCCTGGGTGAGGATGGCACCCAGTGTGGCCTCATCCCCCAGATCAGAGGCCTGGCTCTGCTGGGGTTTGTCTTTGATTAATAAAAAATGGGGAAGCAAATCAATTAGCCCTTCACAAATGCAACTCAGATGGCAGGAAAAAAAATCTCTCATGATGCTTGGGGGCCTCTTCTTCACAAAAAGATGGGAACACACAGAAAGTGTTGGCCCGAGACCCCCGCCTCCCATCCTGATGGGAACTGCACACGTGCTTGAACAGGGAGAGGACACTGAATATGTACAGATTAAAAACTTAGGGTATGTGGGGCCATGGGGGTGCGGGGAGGGGTGAGGGGGGCGTTTGTTCTTCAGGAGCCCCTTCTCCACTGGCAGCCCTGGCTCCTGAGGACCAGGCACAGTCTTCACCTCTCTTCACCTCTTTGATTGAATTTCAGGGTCGATATTCTGGAAGCCAAGTGGTTTCTCCAGATGTCTGCTGGCTGTGTTGGAATCTCTGGAACGCTGGCTAAATGCAGATTCCTGGGCCCTCTTGCTCTGACATCCTGATACGTGGAATCCAAGGTGGGGCCCAGGAGTTTGGATTCTTTTTTTTTTTTTTTTTGAGACGAAGTCTCTCTCTGTCGCTCAGGCTGGAGTGCAGTGGCGTGATCTTTCACTGCCAGTCTGCCTCCCAGGGTCAAGCGATTCTCCTACCTCAGCCTCCAGAGTAGCTGGGACTACAGGTGCATGCCACCATACCTGGCTACTTTTTTTGTATTTTTAGTAGAGATGGGGTTTTGCCATGTTGGCTGGCCTGGTCTCAAACTCCTGACCTCAAGTGATTTGCCCACTTAGGCCTCCCAAAGTGCTGGGATCACAGGCATGAGCCACCATGCTCAGCCAGGAATATGGATTTTTAAGCAGCTCTTGAGGTAGTGGTGGTGGGCACTGAGTGGAGACCACTGCTCCAGAGTGGCGGGCAGCAATGGAGCCTCGAGCTCACAGCTCTGGAGTCTGCCAGATCGGGGTCCGGTCCCAGCTCCACTCTGACTGCAGGACATCTGTGATGTCCCCTTTCTAATCCTTGGGTCCTTGTCTGCAGAATGGTGATAATACCAGCCTCCTCAAGGGGTGCAGATAGAGAGCATGCTGTTCAGTACTGGGTAGCTGTTATTATTACTTTTATTGTTATTGGGAGGGAAGGAGGAGGAGGTGGCTGCTTTTGAGTTTTTTGTTTGTTTTATTTTTATTTTTTGAGACAGAATCTTGATCTGTCACCCAGGCTAGAGTACAGTGGCACGATCATGGCTCACTGTAACCTCTGCCTCCTGGTTTCAAAAGATTCTCCGGCCTCAGCCTCCCGAGTGGCCGGGACTACAGGCGTGCGCCACCACACCTGGCTAATTTTTGTATTTTTTGTAGACATGTGATTTCACCATGTTGGCCAGGCTGGTCTCGAACTCCTGACCTCAAGTGATCCACCCACCTCGGCCTCCCAAAGTCCTGGGATTATAGGTGTGAGCCACTGCGCCTGGTCTGCTTTTGAGTTTTTTGATTGCTGTGGAAATGCCTCTCAATACACAGTATGGGCGAGGTGCCCTTCTCCCTACACGCAGGGAAACCTGCGCCCCAGAATCAGGGCCTCATCAGAGCTGGAGACTCACCCAGGGCCTAGGGGTGTGGCTTGGAATGTCTATGGGGTGGGGTGGGCCGGGTGGTTACCCCTGTGGGAGGAGGGTTGGGGATGCACGGCAAGGATGGGCACGACAGGACCCCCAACCCTGCTCTAGAGAGCCCTCCAGGCCCCCTGGGCTGGGGGACCGGCTTTCTCCTTCTGCCTGGCCATTTGACTGTTGCGCAGTGCAGCTCCTTGTGATGCATTAGCTTGTCTGTTTCCTCTTTGGGCCGAGTCCTCTGAGCAGGGCCCTCTGTCTACTCTTTACCCTCTGGCCAAAGCAGAGGGTTTCTGTCCTCCAGACCTGGCCTGCAGATCCGCCATGGGGGTGAAATTGGGACATGGGTGTGGCTGTGTTTACCTGCCCAGCACCCCACCCTCTCAGTCACCCTCAGGTCCCTTTTTGAAGTGGTCCCCTGTCCTTCAGGAGCACACCTGTCATCCCAGGCTGGCCAATCAGCACATGGTGAGCATGCAGTCATGTGACCCAAGGCAGGCCAGTGAGATGCAGGCCTGGGACCTGGGAGCAAAGAAAGGGGAAGGGAAGCTCTCTTTTTGCCAGGGAGCCTAGGCTGGTAGGATACAAGGTTGGAATTGCCAGGGTCAACTGTGTGGGCAGCCTGCGCAAGATGAAGCCAACACTAGACAGCAGAGCTGAGAAATTGACAGGGGATGGCGGGAGGGAGACATTGTTTGAACACCTGTGTATTAGTCCGTTCTCACATTGCTGTAAAGAAATACCTGAGACTGGGTAACTCATGAAGAAAAGAGGTTTAATTGGTGCACAGTTCTGTAGGCTGTACAGAAAGCATAGTGCTGGCATCTGCTTGGCTTCTGGAGAAACTTACAATCATGGCGGAAGGTGAAGGGGAAGCAGCCATGTCACATGGCCAGAAAAGGAGCAAGAGAGAGAGAGAGAGGGGAGGTGCCACACACTTCTAAACAACCACATCTCATGAGAACTCACTCAGTATCACAAGAACAGCACTAAGAGGACGGTGCTAAACCACTCATGAGAAACCCATCCCCACGATCCAGCCACCTCCCACCAGGCCCCACCGCCATCATTGGGGTTGACAATTCAACGGGAAATTTGGGTGGGGACACAGATCCACACTATATCAACCCGGATCCAGCCTTGCCTGACACGGTCTATCCCTTTTGGCTTAGGACAATTTGAGTTGGCTTTCTGTCCTTGCGACTAGTTCTGATGAATGCAGAAAGCTTATTTCACCCATATGTCTGTCCTTCTGTCTACCTATCCATCCCATATTTACTGAACACCTGCTCCGTACCAGCCCCTGTTCTGGGGCCTGGCCCCAGCCCTCCGTTTGAAGGGACAGGTGACAAAGTGACGAGCCTTTTAGAGCATGGGACACTAGGAGCTGCTGCAGAGGTGAGCCCTGGTGGCTGTGGCTGTGAGAGTCTTTGTGTTGTGGGGAAGGGGAATCCAGGCAGGCTTTGTGGAGGAGGTGATCTCTGGGGTGGCCTTGGAGGCATAGGCAGGATTTTACTAGTTTGGGAGTCTGGGAGGGGATCTTTCAGAGCAGAAGGCATCAAAAAGACAGGTAGAAAAGACCAGGAACACTGGAACCCGGCTGCCTGGGGTGGAGGGGTTGGGATTTTATAAACGGTTGGGTCTATATAATAGTCATACCTGCTCACTGCCACTACTGGTCATAAAGAACCAACATCTGTTGAGAAGCACCACGCTAGCACTTGATGTTTATTTTCTCATTAATTCTCTCCACCTCCCTTGAGGGGATTCATGGGTACTATCTTCATTTTGCAGGTGAGGAGGAGATGGAGACTCAGAGAGGTGGCGGCCTTCTCAAGGTTTTGCAAACACGCATGTGGCCCAGCAAGTCTCTCTGACTTTGACCCCAAGTTCTTTTTTGAAAAAAATTAAGTTAATTATTTTTTAGAGACAGGGTCTCTGTCACCCAGGCTGGAGGGGAGTGCAGTGGTGTGATCATAGCTCACTGCAGCCTTGACCTCTGAACTCAAGTGATCCTTCCACTTCAGCTTTCAGAACATCTGGGACTATGGGCATGCGGCTCCATGCCCGACTTTTTTTTTTTTTGTTAGCGATGAGGCCTCACTTTGTTGCCCAGGCTGATCTCGAACTCCTGGACTCAAACAATCCTCCCACCTCAGCCTCTCAAAGTGCTGGGATTATAGGCGTGAACCACCTTGCCGGGCTTGACTCCAAGTTCTTAACTGCTCAGGCCCACACAGGCCCTTTTGCAGCTCTGCATCTCTGGCCACGCCTTGGAGGAGGTTGAGGTGGAGGCCACAGAAGCAGCCCTGGAGAGTTCTGGAGTTTCCATTGCTGGGGGCCATAGAAAGAGGCTTGCCCTGTAGGCTCCCAGGATCAGCTTGGAGTCTGTCACGTTGATCGCTGTGGGACCCTCCCACCCCCTGCTCTCCTCCAGCCTGGCCCCTCCCACTTCCTGTCTTCCCCACAGCCGCCCCTGTGATGGAACATTTGAGGGTACATCTGCCCAGGCCTCTCTGTTGCTGAACGGCCTGGAATGGCTCCCTATTGCCCTTGGGTAAAGTTCAGACCCTTCCCCTTGGCCTGCAGGCTCTACCTTCTCCTGTCCGGCCTGCCTCTCAGCCTCTTCTCTGGAGCCCAGCCTCCTGCGGAACCATGGCCACCCTCCCCCTGAGTCCCTGGGAGCCACACCCCTTTCAGCATTTCTTTCTTACTCTCTAGGAGCCGGCTCAGGTGTCTCTCCCTCCAGGAAGTGGGGCTTGTGCCCTTTGGATACCTGCACTCCCCATCACCGCACTCCCCATCGTGGCACTTCCCTTGTTGCAGTTTTATGGAGTGTGCGTCTGGCTCTCCAACTAGACTTGAACCGCTTGAGTGCATAACTCGGGACTTGACCATTTGCGTCTCCCTACGGCCAGCTCAGCCTCCGCACACAGGGACCTGCAGAGAGTGGATGTAGCCACTGCCCCAGCGTCCCTGGGCTCTGAAGAGAAGCCATTGCCCTTCAAGAGCCACCCTCATTTCCTGGGCACTGGTTGGAAAAAACGAAGAAAAAGAGACACCCAGCTCACCTCCAAGTTTGCCTGCAGGTGAATATCTTGTTGAAAGAGAGGGGACTCCCTGAGTCTTGCTGGGTTGAGGAAGCTGATTGGATTTCCGGACTCAGAGGAGGGCTGCAGAGAGGGAGGAATGGGGGGGATGGGCAGCTGGCTTTCTGGATGGGTGCAGGACAATGACATTGATGGGGAAGCTTGGGGTGGCTCTGCCGTTGCCCACTGCTTGGCTGGTGAACTTGCTACATCTTGGCCAGCACTATCCTCTTCTGGCCTGCACCCTGCCAGACACAGGCAGTACCCCAAATACCCTGTCCCTGTGCCCCGAAGTCTCCATGACCTTCAGATCCCAAGGGACAAGTGGCTCCACGAGGCAGGGCCTGTCCCTCTGGCTCACACTATGGAGTCCACAGAACCTAGCCCGGAGCCTAGTGCACAGTAGGTGCTCAATGTATTCTATTTGAATGTTGCATGAGTGAATAAATGCAGGAATGTCAGGCTGGAAAACAGGTATTTGTACACCTGTTTTCATAGCAGTGTTATTCACAGTAGTCAAAGGGTGGAAGCATCCCACGTGTCTGCTGATGGGTGAACGAGTAAACAGAATGTGCCCCAGCCATACAATGGAATGCGATTCAGCCTTTTTTTTTTGAGACGGAGTCTGGCTCTGTCACCCAGGCTGGAGTGCAGTGGCACGACCTCAGCTTGCTGCAACCTCTGTCTCCCGGGTTCAAGTGATTCTCCTGCTTCAGCCTCCTGAGTAGCTGGGATTACAGGCATGTACCACCACACCTGGCTAATTTTTATATTTTTAGCAGAGACAGGGTTTCACCATGTTGGCCAGGGGCTGGTGTCGAACTCCTGACCTCAAGTGATCCTCCCTCTTCGGCCTCTCAAAGTGCTGGGATTACAGGCGTGAGCCACGGCGCCCGGCCACGATTCACCCTTAAAAAAGGAAGGACATTCTGACACATGCTACGACTTGGGTGAACCTTGAGTACCTGAGTGAAATAAGCCCATCAAAAAAGGACAAATATTAGCCAGGTGCTGTGGCTAATGCCTGTAATCTCAGCACTTTGGGAGGCCAAGGACGGAGGATTGCTTGAGGATTGCTCAATACCAGCCTGGGCCACAAAGCAAGACCACCCATGTGAGGTGTTTAGAGTAGTCAAATTCATAGAGACAGTAGGATGGGGAGTGCCAGGAGCTGGGGAGAAGGGGGAATGGGGAGTTAGAGTTTAATGGGGACAGATTTTCAGTTTTACAAGATGAAAAATGTTCTGGAGATGATGGTGGTGATAGAGGCACAATGTGGATATGCTTCATGCCACTGAACTGGACCTAACCATTTATGTTTTGTGTATTTTATCACAATAAAAAATGAAAAAAAAGCATCTTTTCCTAAACTTTTTATTATTTGAGCTATTTTTTTTTTTTTGAAACAGAGTCTGGCTCTGTTGCCCAGTCTGGAGTGCAATGGTGCGATATTGGCTCACTGTGACCTCCGCCTCCTGAGCTCAAGCAATTCTCCTGCCTCAGCCTGCCGAGTAGCTGGGATTACAGGCGTGCGCCACTATGCTTGGCTAATTTTTTTTTTTTTTTGAGACGGAGTTTCGCTCTTGTTGCCCAGGCTGGAGTGCAGTGGTACAACCTCCACCTCCTGGGTTCAAGTGATTCTCCTGCCTCAGCCTCCCGGGTAGCTGGGACTACAGGCACGTGCCACCATGCCTGGTTAATTTTTGTATTTTTTTTTTTTTTTTTAGTAGAGACAGGGTTTCACCACGTTGGCCAGGATGGTCTCGATCTCTTGACCTTGTGATCTGCCCGCCTCGGCCTCCCAAAGTGCTGGGATTACAGGCATGAGCCACCGCGCCTGGCCAATTTTTGTATTTTTAGTAGAGATGGGGTTTCACCATGTTGGCCAGGCTGGTCTTGAACTCCTGACCTCAGGTTGTCCGCCTGCCTCGGCCTCCCAAATTGTTGGGATTACGGGCGTGAGCCACCATGCCTGGCCTATTATGTGAGCTATTTAGCTTTAACATCTCATTATGGAAAATTTCAAGCACTGACCAAAAATAGAGAGAATAATATAATGAACCCCATGTGGCATCACCCACTGCACCAACGATCCTTCCCCATCAGTCTGATTTCATTCTGTCCCCACCTTCTCCCTCTCCCTGTTTGCTTTGAAGCAAATCCCAGACATATTGTTTCATCTGGAAATACTTCAGTGTGTAGCTTTAAAAAATAAGAGCTTTTCAAACTTAATACATCGCTACAATACCTAAAGAACCAAATCAATATCATCACATTTCTCAAAAGTGTAAACATATTCGTACATCATTATAGATATAAAACACCTGTACAGTGTCATCGAATTGCCAATGCTCTGACTTCTCATTTATATTTAATATATAAACACATATTTATTTATTTATAGAGTACATTTAATATATAATTATATTTATGTGTTTATTGGGTGATTGCATATTATGTCACATATATAAAACACCCAGTCATATGTAATTATCTGCATTTGAGCCAGGTCTAAATCAGGTCCACACACTGCAATGGATTGAGAAGTCATTTACATCTCCTCTTAGACAGACTTCCTGCTCCATGTTTCTGCCTTGTATTTGTCCTGGAGAGCTCGCTCAGTCTGGATCCTGCTGGATTTGTCCCCGGGGTGGTGTGTGACTGCATCTGTGCTCCCTGTATGTCCTGTAGATTGGCATTTGGTGGAGAGGCTTGATCAGATTCAGGTATGCTGTGTTTGGTAAGATGACGTCGCAGGTAGTAGGGCGCCCTCCCACCGGGGAGGGGGGGCTGTCCTCCGGTTTGTCCTTTCTGGGGAGGCTGCAGGATATTGAAGATCATCTCCTGGACCTGTGAGTTCTTGAGGGGCTGCAAAATGGAGAGAATCCGTGCTACTGTTCCCTCTTCGACTATTAGCTGGAATATTCCTAGAGAGAAACTCCCCATCTTTTATTTCATTATTTCATTATTTATTTATTTATTTTGAGACAGAGTCTTGCTCTGTCACCCAGGCTGGAGTGCAGTGACGTGATCACGGCTCACTGCACCCTCCCCTCCTGGGTTCAAGTGATTCTTATGCCTCAGCCACTGTGTGCCCGGCTAATTTTTTTTTTTTTTTTTTTTTGTAGAGATGGGGTTTCACCATGCTGGCCAGGGTGGTCTCGAACTCCTGGCCTCAGGTGATCCACCCACCTTGGCTTCCCAAAGTGCTGGGATTACAGGCATGAGCAACACCTGGCCCCTGCCTCCTTTTCTTAACCAAGGAGGAAGCTGAGGTTCCTAGGCAACCTGTGACTTGAGTTCTGGGTCTCAAAGTGAAGGATTAGAAGGGCCCTGCTGGGCTAGGGCTAGACCCACACTGTTTTCACCACTGGTCTCTGCTGCCGTCCAGGAGATGAAAGGGCAGATGTCTTATTGGAATTGACTTGAGCTGCGGCCTTGACTTTCTCCCCTGAACCCTGTAGGCTGCCCCGAGCTCACCTGGCTGATTGGTGTACATCTCCCCTGCCTCAGTGTACGGGAATGTTTGGTGCAGGTTCCAGCGGGCAGTGGGCGTTTCTCCTTCACTTCAGCTGCTCCTTCTCCGTGCTTACCACACTGGCTCTCTCTCAGCCTTGGCCTCTTAAGAAGAACAAGCCCTGGCTGGGCACGGTGGCTCATGCCTGTAATCCCAGCACTTTGGGAGGCCAAGGCGGGTGGATCACCTGAGGTTAGGGGTTCGAGACCAGCCTGGCCAACATGGTGAAACCCTGCTCTACTAAAAATACAAAAATTAGCTGGGCGTGGTGGCAGGAGCCTGTAATCCCAGCTACTCAGGAGGCTGAGGCAGGAGAATCGCTTGAACCTGGGAGGCAGAGGTTGCAGTGAGTTGATATCGCGCTGTTGCACTCCAGCCTGGGTGACAAGAGCGAAACTCCGTCTCCAAAAAAAAAAAAAAAAAAAGAAGAAGAAGAACAAGCCCTCCCTTGACCTCTTCTCCAGGGGGCAGCCTCACTGTCAGGCCTGCTATGTGCTCCCCATAACCCCAGCCCTTAGGTGGGTTCCTTAAGCCTGCCTGGTGTCTGGTTGTGGACACTGAACTCCACCCTCTGCTAATCTTCAAAATCAAGTCTTGCACCAGATGCTAACATTTCATTTATTAAACTGATCATTTTTTCATTTAAAGTTTCTTTTTAAAGACAAGTTAACAGGTCATGGAGGTGTAACTGGCTTGCGATAAATGGCAGATTGAAGTGTACACTTTAATAATGAACTGATAATTTATTGAGCACCTATTATGTATCAGGTATTTGCCCGGCAGCCTGTGGGGGCTGAGCAGCTTGGATGTCAGACAATCTGGGTCAGAATCCCAGGCAGAATCACACAAAGCAGCTATGTGACCTTGAGCCAGTGGTGTGAGGCCCTGGATTCTCACCTGTGCAACCTCTTGGGGTAGATCGGATATTATTCCCAATTTTCATTCCCTCCTGGAATAGAATTATACACCCATGCGCTTTGCCGTGTGACTTTGCAGTAGCTCCCACTGGAGTAGGCAGAGCATATTTCTCTACCCCGCTGAAGTGTGGGTTTGGCCATGTGACTTGGGATATTAGTGGATGTGCCAAAGGCATAGGCTTGAAATATGGCTGGGTTTTTGGCTTGGTGGTTTGAGCTTCTCCCATGTGCTACAAGACTAACGTGTCCCAGGTAGCTGATGGTTCCAGAAGAGGGACTCATGGAGCTGACCCGAATCTGATCCGTGGCCTGCAGCGAAATCGAGCTGACCCACAGAATGACCCACCCCCGCTGACCCACAGGCCTATGAGAGATGGAAATAAACATGGCAAGCTACTGGCTTGGTGGGGTTGTTTGTTACACAGTCTTATCATGGCAGAAACCTGACCATTCCACATGTATAATAATAGCACTCACTACCCAGGATTGTTTGAGGATTAAATGAGATCATATATTTAAAGTTACAAATTTAATGTATTAAAATACCCGTGTTAGAGTGGGGCATGGAATAACTCTATACAATATGAGATATTATTAAACACGGCCGAATGTGGTGGCCCACGCCTGTAATCCCAGCACTTAAGGAGGTTGAGGTGGGTGGATCACATGAGGCCAGTAGTTGGAGACCAGCCTGGGCAACATGGTGAAACCCTGTCTCTACTGAAGATACAAAAAAAAAAAAAAAAAAAAAAAAAATTAGCTGGGTGTGGCGCACACCTGTAGGCCCAACTACCCTGGAAGTAGAGGCAGGAGAATGGCTTGAACCTGGGAGGTGAATGCTACAGTGAGCCGAGATCACACCACTGCACTTTAGCCGGGGCGACAAAGAGAGAGTCCGTCAAAATAAGTGTAAGAGTAGAGTAAATGTTTCTCAATGTATAACACGACACGTTGACACATTCATTTAACTCATTAAGATTATTTTTTCTCTTCTAAGCCTTGAAGCACAGGCTAACTGTGTTACCTATAGAAACATTGCCTATAGCTCACAGCCTGGGACATGACTCAGAGAACTGAAAGCTCTCAGCATGGAGACCCTAATGTCCCTCTCCTTCACCCCCATCCCATGCATGAAGCCTGCCATCCTGTCCATCTCTGGGGGTTCCTCAACCTTTGCTTGAATCCTTCCAGTGATGGAGATCTCCCTACTTCCCATGCCAATTTCAGAATCTCCCTCATGGTGAGATAGGCTCTCTCTCTCTCTTTTTTTGTTTTTTGAGACAGAGTTTCGCTGTTGTCACCTAGCCTGGAGTGCAATGGCATGGTCTCGGCTCACTGCAACTTCTGCCTCCAGGGTTCTAGTGATTCTCCTGCCTCAGCCTGCCGAATAGCTGAGATTACAGGCATGCGCCACCACGCCTGGCTAATTTTTGTATTTTTAGTAGAGACAGGGTTTCACCATGTTGGTCAGACTGGTCTATGAACTTCTGACTTCAGGTGATCTGCCCGCCTTGGCCTCACAATGTGTTGGGGTTACAGGCGTGAGCCACCGCGCCTGGCTGGCTCTGTCTCTTTGACTCTCTTGAGTTGGATGTTGGATGACTCTCTTGGGCAGGGCTGGGGATGATTAACACCAGGTGTACATGCTCTGGGTCAGATCTGGATTAAATACTGGAATCCACACTTACAACTGTGTGACCTTGGGCAAGTGTATTCACTTCTCTGAGACTCCGTGTAAAGTGGCGTTAGGGGAGACAGAAAATCCACCTCCCGGCTGGGCGCGGTGGCTCACACCTGTAATCCCAGCACTTTGGGAGGCTGAGACGGGCGGATCACTTGAGCCCAGGTGTTTGAGACCACCCTGGGTGGTGAAATCTCCCACCTCTACGAAAAAAAAAAAATCAGCTGGGCATGGTGGTGTGCACCTGTAGTCCCAGCTACTCAGGAGGCTGAAGTGGGAGGATCACCTGAGCCCAGGGAGGTCGAGGCTGCAGTGAGCTGAGATTGCACTATTGCACGCCAGCCTGGGCAGCAGCGAGACCCTGTCTCAAACCCACCCCCACAAAACAAATAAAACAAAAATCCACCTCCCAGGATGTTGTGTGGATCAAACAAGAGGCGCCCAGTAGGTTCTCAGCAAAGGAGGGCATATCGAGGTGTGTCTTCCGGCTAAGATTCCCCAGGTTACAGAAGTCCCCACGTTCCCTCGTTCTTCTCCTGTCCTCCTCTTCTACTTCATGGTTCCCTTCTCTAGTTTTTTTTTTTTTTTTTTTTGAGACAGAGTTTCACTCTTGTCACCTAGGCTGGAGTGCAATGGCGCAATCTTGGCTCACTGCAACCTTCGTCTCCTGGGTTCAAACGATTCTCCTGCCTCAGCCTCCCGAGTAGCTGGGATTACAGGCACCCACCACCACGCCTGGCTAATTTTTGTATTTTTGGTAGAGATGGGGTTTCACCACATTGGCCAGGCTGGTCTCAAACTCCTGACCTCAGATAATCCACCCGCCTCGGCCTCCCAAAGTGCTGGGATTACAGGCGTGAGCCACTGCACCTGGCCTCCCTTCTCTAGTTTTGAGCATCACCCACGGTTTTGCAGGTTGCTTTGAAACCTGGCACGTAGAGACTGTCAGTTGGCTAAGGTGCCCCGGGGCGCACTGGTGCCCGCTGAGGTTGTGATTCACACACTCATGGTGTGCCTGGCCCTGGCCTGGACCCTGCGGATGCTGGGCAGACCCTCTGCCCTCAGGGAGCCCACATTCTGGCGGTGAGGGGGAAGGTGGGCATCAAACCAACAGATACGACGGGACTGAGGGTGTGCCATGGAGAAAACAGAGCTGGACAGGGCATAGGAAGCGAGGTGGTGGCAGAAGCCTGCGGAATTCATCTTGGGGTTCCACTAGGAGAGATGCCATCTCCGGAACAAGGAAGGGGTGCATCCGCTCCTCTCCCAGGTTGGGTCAAACTGGCATGTGCTGTGCTGGGCTGAGCATCAGTGGCCTCTTGGGAATGGCAAAAGCAAAGGGGTGTATGTCCAGAGAGGGGAGACCTGGTGGGCAGGGGACTGGAGCCATGTCACCTCGGGCATCATAAGAATGGCTGCCATTTAAGGTGGGAGCTAGGCTCTCTATATATCTTCTTTTCTTTTCTTTTTTCTTTCTTTTTTTTTTTGAGATGGAGTCTCACTCTGTCCCCCAGGCTGGGCTGGAGTGCAGTGGCGCAATCTCGGCTCACTGCAAACTTCGCCTCCTGGGGTCAAGCGATTCTCCTGCCTCAGCCTCCCAAGTAGCTGAGATTACAGGCATGCACCACCACGCCCAGATAATTTTTGTATTTGTAGTAGAGACAGGGTTTCACCATGTTGGCCAGGCTGGTCTCGAACTCCTGATCTCAAATGATCCACCTGCCTCGGCCTCCCAAAGTGCTGGGATTACAGGTGTGAGCCACCACACTCGGCCTCTCCAAGCATTTTTACATTTATTTCTCACACCAAGGTACCCTTCTACCCTTATCCCCATTTTACAGAGGAGGTTCAGAGTGCTAAGGGGAGCTGCCTGAGTTCACACTGTGAGTAGTGGAAGAGGCGGGATTTGAACCAGACCTGCTGGACTCTGGAGTGTGTGCTCATGATCTGTCTGTGAAACTGGAACTCAGCCCCTCAGGCCTGGGTAGTTGTGCGCTGGTAAGTGTACAACAACCAGCTCGCTTAAGAGAACAAAAGCCTGTTTTGTAGCACGTGCTGATTTTTATGGTGTCAAGACTCCTGCCGGGGTTGATTTCAAGCCAGTAAAGGCAATGTGGTGTGGACGGGAGTGACCAGCCCTGGAGTTTGACTGGTTGGAGGGTGGGTCGGACAGGCAGCTACAAATGTGGAAGGCCCAGGGATGCTTGGGAAGCCCTTGGAATCTGGGCCTGTGACTGTGGTTCTTTGCAAATGTTAACTGAATTTCTCCAAGGAGGCCATGGTGTCTTCCAGGCCCCGGGGGGCCTCTGCCCCATGCTGCCGCGTTGCAGCACAGGCCTCCATTGCAGTGGGCAGGCAAAAGAGGCTCTGGGGCGGCCTCTGTTCTGCAAGGTCAGGAAAGGGCAGGTGGACTCAGGAGGCCGGGTGCTGTCAGGGAACGGCTTGGTACTAGACTCACTCACACACGCCTGGGTGTGAGTCCTTGGTCTGCCACCCACAAGCCTGTAAAATCTTGGGTGCAACATCCGCCTTCTCCAGGCCTCGGTTTCTCCCTGAGTCAAAGGCAGAGGTAGGACCCATGACCTCCTGGGTCCTCGCGGCTTAGGCCTTCCTCCATCAAAGCCTCCGCGCGTGCACATGGGCTCCCAGCCGGCTGTGAGCCCTGCCTGCACACGCTTCCCTGCCTCTCCTCCCGCCGCATTGCTATTTAAAGTGGCGGTGGTTTGGCTCACTCTTTTTTTAAAAACCATTCCCGTACTCGAGCCGAGTTCCACAAGGCCAGCTGTCACCACTAAAAATGTCTGTCGTGTGACAGCCACCAGCAAAGAGATGGGAGGAGGCAGGAGGCCCCGGATGGGACCACAGAGTGGCTGGAATTAAAACACACACACACACACACACACACACACACACACACACACACACACACCCAACAACACTGTGAGGAAGAAACAAAAGATGGGGGTTGCCTTTCCTCTTCCTCCACCCCTCCTTTGTGAGATGCTCGTTGGCCCTGCTGGGGGACTGATGGCAGGGGATGCCATGCCACTGCGGTGACGGGGTGGCACAGGGTCTGGCAGACAGGCAAATCTTTGCTGCCCTTGACTCCCCTGTGCCGTCCCCGTGCTGGGCACTACACCCCTGTGGGTCCTCCGAGCAGCCCCCACCTGTGCCTCCTGCTTTCAGCCTCCCCTGCCATCCTCATTCCACCCACACCAGGAAAACTGAGGAGGTGACCTGTGCACAGTTGCAGAAAAATGATGCTGTCACAGCAAAAGACTGATGCGGGCTCCCCCAGGAAGGGAAGGAAAAGAACATTTGGTTAGCCCCTCCTGGGGCCACACCTTTCCACGAGTCACATTTTTTTTTTGAGACAGGGTCTCGCTCTGTTGCCTAGACAGGAGTGCAGTGGTGCTGTCATGGCTCACTGCAGCCTCAACCTCCTAGGCTCAAGTGATCCTCCTGCCTCAGCCTCCCTAGTAGCTGGTACCACAGGTGCATGCCACCATGCCTGGGTGAGTTTTAAATTTTTTGTAGAGATGTGGTCTCCCTATGTTGCCCAGGCTGGTCTTGAACTTGTGGGCTCCTGGCTTAGCCTCCCAAAGTGCTGGGATGACAGGTGTGAGCCACCGTGCCTGGCCTTGTGAGTCACTTTAGAAGTGATTAAATGTTTGCAATAAACTTGAAAAGGAGCCTCCATTACCCCCATTTCACAGACAGAGAAACTGAGGCTCGTGGTGGAGGAACTGGCCTGGAGCAGTACCCTGCGGGGATAGGCACAGACAGGCTGAGTGTGGCTCTTGGCTTTGGACACAGTCACTGCGGGGGCTTGAGCAGGTGATTCTCCAGCCTTAACCTCCTCGGCTGTGAAATGGGGCAATAACGCAGCCGCTCCTGAAAGACGTGATGATGAAATAAGACCAGGCATATAAAGGAGCGGGGAAGGACAGTGGGGCATAGAATGTGCTGGAAGGTCAGGAGCTGGAACAGGACTCAGTGCTCTCAGATTCCAGAGGCCAAATTCTTTCCACCGCATGTTTGTGGCCTCTGGGGGCTGCTGGAAGCAGGGCCTGGGGGAGCCCTGGAGATGGCGGCGGAGAGAGGCTTTTACTCTCTGATCCCCCTCAACCAAGATGTGGCCACGGTGGACCTTTGGGGGCCTGGCCACTGGTCTGCGCCTGTGACTTCCCTCATGGAGGCTCTTGACCCCAGTTTGGGATGTCTTACTTTAGGGGGAGGAGGGGGATAGGCAACAGGAGACCCATGTGGACAGAGACTCTTTGAAAAGAAAAAGGAAAAAAATTTCCAGGTAGGAATTTTGTGTCTCTAGAATCATTTCCTTCCTCTTTTCTTGGGGCTCTTCTGGCCTCACTTCTTTCTCCTGCTGGGGTAAGTCATTCACACTTTAGTAAGAATTATACTAGCCACCCTGTGCAGAGCATAGCCTCTCTTCTATGCCAGTAGCTTGTCTCTGAGTGTTTTTCTCTTAAAAAGCTTTGTCCCTCTGGAAGGAGTGTGTCCATCTGTTCAAAGCTCTTTAAACATTTATTTCTTTATTCATTCAACAGACATTGATTGAGTGTCTGTGGCCCGATCCTGGGTGCAACATCAACCAACTCCGGATGGTGCCTGTAGGTGCACAGAGTTGGGCTGATGGGAGTGGCTCTGTGATGATTCTCACGCCCCTGCAGGGATCTGTTAAGCACCTCTGGCCTGGACTCCCTGATTCAGATGTGTCCGCAGTGGGGAGCCAGGCATGACCCTTCGCTCACTGGAGTCCTATTCCAATGGAAGGGACACGCGGCACTCAGTCAAATACGTGCTCAGCACGACGGCAGTTAGGGATAAGATTATGGAGCAAAATAAAGCCGGGTTGCGGGGGGGCAGGCGTGGTGGCTCATGCCTGTAATCCCAGCACTTTGGGAGGCTGAGGTGGGCGGATCACTTGAGGACAGGAGTTCGAGATCAGCCTGACAACATGGCGAAACCCCATCTCTACCAAAAAATACAAAAATTAGCTGGGCGTGGTGCCACACGCCTGTAATCCCAGCTACTCGGGAGGCTGAGGTGGGAGAATCGCTTGAACCCTGGGAAATGCAGGTTGCAGTGAGCCAAGATTGTGCCACTGCACTCTAGCCTGGGCGACAGAGCAAGACCATGTCTCAAAAAAAAAAAAAAAAAAAAAAAAAGGGTTGGCCAGGGAAGGCCTCTCCAAGAAGATGACTTTAAAAAAATGCATCCATTTATTTGCATAGTGCATTCACATGGCTCAAAACCCATGTTTTTGAGGCCAGGCACAGTGGCTCACACCTGTAATCCCAGCACTTTGGGAGGCCAAGGAGGGCGGATCACCTGAAGTCAGGAGTTCAAGACCAGCCTAGTCAACATGGTGAAACCCCTGTCTCTACTAAAAATACAAAAATTAGCCAGGCATGGTGGCACATACCTGTAATCCCAGCTACTCGGAAGACTGAGGCAGGAGAATAACTTGAATCCAGGAGGTGAAGGTTGCAGTGAGCCAAGATAGTGCCACTGCACTCCAGCCTGGGCGACAAGAGTGAAACTCTATCTAAACAAAGCAAAACAAAACAAAACCCCAGAATAGAATAAAAACCACAAACAGAGGCCCCGCTCTCACCTCCGTCCCTCTGCTGTGTGGTGCCCTATCTCAAGAATCACTGTCCTTAGTTTTTAAATAATCTTTCCGAGTTTCTTAGGCAGCTGTAAGTAACTATAAATACCGTTTGTATTGAAAACTCAGCACTGACAGGTACTGATATTTTAATTGAGACCTGAAGGATGAGACCCTTCAAACCTACGAGAGCTCCTGGCAGAAGGAAGGGCGGTGGGCAGAGCTGAGTGCATGGCTCCTGGGGGCACAATGAGAAAGAGGAGGTTACTTGGAGTTGTCAGGTGGGGCATGACCCAATGGACACCGGGTTTAACAGGATCCCTTGGGCTGCTCGGCGTTGGGACAGAAGCAGAGAGAAGTCAGGAGTGTATGGACAAGCACAGTCATCCACTGAGTGAGTGTTTGGTGGGTGCTGGCACGCATGTAGTTTTTATAACACCCCTGGGGGCAGCCCTGTGCAGAGGAGGAAATTGTGGCAAAGAGAGCTTAATGAAGCCACCGAAGGTCACGCCACAGGCAGTGAGAGCAGAGCTTGGGTAGAAGCCCAGGTAGTTGACTGGGAGCTTGAGCTTTTTTTTTTTCTTTTTTTTTAGATGGGATCTTCTGCTGTCACCCAGGCTGGAGTGCAAAGGCACGATCTAGGCTCACTGCAACCTCTGCCTCCCAGGTTCAGGTGATTCTCCTGCCTCAGCCTCCTGAGTAGCTGGGATTGCAGGCGCCTGTCACCACACCTGGCTAATTTTTGTATTTTTAGTAGAGATGGGGTTTCACTGTGTTGGCCAGGCTGGTCTCAAACTCCTGACCTCAAATGATCCTCCCTCCTAGGCCTCCCAAGGTGGGGTGAGCCACTGCGCCCAGCCACATTTCTTAATATTTTAACTTCTGCACACACCTGCTTCTCCTAACTGGCTGCAAGTGGCACCAGTGGGAAGATGATTGGGTGAAGGCCACATAGCAGGGAAGGGGCGAGGAGGGACTTGTCCCCACATCTATCAGGCTCCAGGGCTGAAGCCCTCCCCCAATAGAGCAGTGACCCTCTGCCAGACCTGTTGTGCCAGAGTCACCTGGGCTGCTGGTCAAATGCAGATTCCCGGGCCTGGGTTGTGGCCCAGGGATCAGAGTCTCTGCAGGAAGGGCCTGGGAACCTGTATTTCGAACGAGACTGTCTCTCTCACCTCCTTGCTTACTCTGTGCCCTCACATCCTGAAATTTGCATCCTGAAATTTGAGACCCCGAGGCGGTGGGGATGGGACCTGCCTGGTCACCCAGCTCAAACCTTTCCCTCTTTTGGGAAAGCCCAGCTCAGCCCTTGCTGGGAGGGTGGGTGGCAGCCTGGTCTCTGTGGGCCAGGGCAGGGTTCTGGGCCTGGCGCCTCCTTTCAGAAGCTGATCGATCCCAGGGATGGGCTCTCTCCTCCCTGAGCCGCCAGCCCCACCTGCCTTGGAGGGCGGACCTCACCTCTCACCGAGAACCTCAAGAGTCGGGCATGTTAAATCCTGTGGTCTTAACTCAGCTCTGAACCCCACCCCCAGCACGGGGACCCCGCCGCACTGCAGGGCCAGGGTGGCCTCTGAAATGAACCCAAGCCTCACCGGCCTCCACTGAAGAACATCTAGGCTCTTGAGTGGGTGCCTGAAAACCCATTGCCAGCTGCCCAGTGACTGTACTGCCTCCCATCTCAACCCCTTGCCCCCACCTGTGTACTTCTTGTCCTTTACGGGAGGCAGTGCACGGGAGAGCACAAAGCTCGGGCACTGCGTGCAGGTTCCAGTCAACGTCCCTGTCACAATGTCTAGGACCGCCGTTCTCTGATACTTGCTCCCACCGCTGGGCACAGGATATGTCTCCTTCCCATCTCTAGAGCCCAGAACGCACTCCTGTCTCCCGCCTGCTCCCCGGCTCCCCCTCCCTTCCCCGAGTCTCTCTGGGATGTAGCTTGGTCCTCAATGGTTCAGTGGACTCACTGCGAGGACAAGAGTCAGGCGGACCCCTGAGGCTTGGAGTCTCCTGGTGGCCTCGACCCTGGCTCTTGAGCAGCTGTTCAGTGCTCCTCCCTGTCCCCTCTGAGGCCGCCGTTTCCCAGGTGTGTGTCCCCGTCTCTGAACTGGGACTTGTCGCTCTGCTGCTGCTTTTTTTTTCTTTCTTTTTTGAGACAGAGTTTTGCTCTTGTTGCCCAGGCTGGGGTGCAATGATGCGATCTCGGCTCACAGCAACCTCTACCTCCTGGGTTCAAGCAATTCTCCTGTCTCAGCTTCCCAAGTAGCTGGGATTACAGGCACGCGCCACCACGCCGGCTAATTTTTGTATTTTTAGTAGAGATGGGGTTTCGCCATGTTGGCCAGGCTGGTCTCGAACTCCTGACCTCAGGTGATCTACTTGCCTTGGCCTCCCAAATTGCTGGGATGACAGGCGTGAGCCACCACGCCCGGCCCGCTCTGCTTCTTTAACTCCTTAGTTTTCTCATCTGTGAGAAGGGGTCACAAATGTGGTGTCACTTGTGGGTCACATGACGTGGAAGAGGCCCTGGCACAATGCTCAACAAATGGCCCATGTGGTGCTGTGATCCTAGGAGTTGGGGACTCGGGTTCCTAGGTGGCTGTGGGAGAGGGCACTTCAGTGGCTCTGGAGTCCCAGAGCCCCGGCGAGGTGGCCTGCAGCCTCCAGGCCAGGAAAGCGAAGCCAGCCCTTGAGCCTGAGCCGCCTGCCCAGAGCCGGTGCCCTTTGCTGTGGTGCTGGAGTCAGAAGGGCCTCTCAGTTCCTCCCTCCCTCCTGCCTTCCGCAAGTATTTATTGAGTTCCTGCCGTGTGACATTGGAGTGGCCTTGTCTTTGTGGAAACAGATGGCCCCGAGCCAGCTGCCCTCTCTCCTCTACACGTGGCTGAGGGGCTGCCGGGGCTCTTGAGTGGTTCCTATCCCAGGGCCAAGGCCAGGCCTTTTAAATTAATTAATTAATTCATTATATTAGAGCTGGGGTCTTGCTATGTTGCCCAGGCTGGTCTCGAACTCCTGGCCTCAAGAGGCCCTTCTGCTTCAGCCTTTCAAAGTGCTGGGGTTACAGGCGTGAGCCACCACACCCAACCCGAGGCCAGGCCTTTTGCTTCATGTCTGGGTGGGCTCCTGAGAGGGGCAGAGGACCAACCTCTCACCAGGCCCCCACAGCGGTCCCTGGGCCCAGGCAGGGTGCTGGGGCCTCTCTTTGTTCAGGGTGGGCTCTGAGTTCATCTGTTGGTTCTTCATGGATTCACCCACACACATACCACTTCTTCATTTGTGTTTTAGGATTCATTCTTGCCCCAGGTGTTTCTCCAGCACATTGTGTGCTGGGCCCAGTGCTGAGTGCTGAGAATGCATGGGTCACAGAGCCAGCCCTGGCCCTTGCTCTGTGAGGAAGGCAGGGGGGCCTGAGCTGGTGACTGAATAGGGGACAAGGGCACTGTAGAATGAGAGAGCCCCGGGCGCCCCCACCTCCTATGAGGGAAGGGAAGATTCACAGAGGAGGTGACCCTGGGCTTAAGCCTCACAGGAGGAAAGGGGACTGCCTAGTGCCGCTGAGTGAGGAGAAGGTACTAGGGCCCAGAGGAGCGTTGGCCAAGGTGAATAGAGGAGAAGCGAGCAGGAGATGGAGGAGGCGAGCCTGGGAGGCAAAGCAGGTCTGGATGGGACAGGTCTGGGTATCTGTCTAGGAGCCCAGGGGAGCCACTGATGTTATAGGCGGGACTGGAAGGGGGGGTGACCATGCCAACCTGATGGCCTGGAGACGCAAGAGGAGGCTGCAGCGGCCAGGACCCCAGGTAGGCCTGTGCCCCCCTCATTCTGGGTCTGTACCTAGATGGAGGCCCCTCCGCTCCCTGGGCCCAGGGGCGTCCTGTGGTCCAGGCAGGCACCTCCCCTGACCCAGGCGAACCAGCCCGTCCTCCTCTCCTTCGACTCATGGGCAGGCAGGACCAGGAGGCAGCGTAGGAGAGAGGCCGGGGCTGCCTGATGACAGGCGCAACCCCGTTCTCTCTGGGTGCTCCTTAAATCTTGAAATAAATTAGGCAGAATCAAAATCAGACTCTCTTCATCAGGAGAAATTACTCATTTCAAATATTTGCAGCCGCTTGAACTGAAATGGAGCGAGATGAGGACTGAGATGAATAATCTGGGCCCTTTTCAAAGACAGCTTTTGCTCAGCACTTTTCCTGATTCCTGAGCCCCTCCCCCAGACTCCCCTGTCCCCTCCCTCTCCCCCTTGGGACCCAGCCTCCATCAGCCTCCATCTTCTCTCTCAGGGCTCCCTTCTATCACCCCCAGTCCTGGACCTTTTCTCTTCCTCTCATTCCCTTTTCCTTGATTTCATTCATTAAAGCTGCAAATATTTGCTGAGCACCTCCTCCGCCTGGCACCGAGACTGGCCTCTGGACACAGTGAGACAAGATGGCCCAGCCCCTGCCCTCATAGGGCAGCAGGGGCCCTTGGCTGGGAACTTGCCCGATCCACAAGCAGAGTGCTCACCCTGTTATTTGCCCTGTGTGGCACCACTTCTTTTTCTCCTCCTTTCTTCTTTCTTCTTCTGTTTCATAGAGACAGGGTCTTGCTATGTTGCCCAGCCTGGTCTTAAACTCAAGCAATCGTCCCCCGTCAACCTCTCAAGTAGTTGGGACTACAGGCATGAGCCACTGCATCCAGATAATATTTTTCTTTCCATTTTTTAAGAGACAGGGGTCTCACTTTGTTGCCCAGGCTGGTCTCGAACTCCTGGGCTCTAGTGATCCTCCCACCTTGGCCTCCCAAGGTGCTGGGATTACAGGCCTGAGCCACCACGCTCAGCTGCATTTCTTAATATTTTCAAAAATTTCCTTTCCACACTTACAAAAATGAAAGCTTATATAAGCACCTCTCCAGAGGCCTTTTGGAGGCTGGGAGAAAATCTGGAGAATTCCAACCCCTCCCCTGACCCCCTTCCTCCTCCACATCCGCTCGTGGCCTGCAGGCTGGGCAGTGCTTGACGAAAGCCAGGCCTGCCCACCCTTGCAGCGACCACAGCAGGAAGCTGACAGGCGTGCTGGGTTGTACAGGGAGGGGGCGTGGTTGGAGGCGAGAGGAGCCGAGGCCGCCACACCCCACATTCTTTGAAAGATGCTTCCAGGCTGGATGTGGAGGCCAACCGCACCACCTGGCTCCGAGGGTCCTGGGCTGTCACAGCCGTTCTGCCAGCTGGTGGGGTGGGCAGGGGGCATGCCAGCCCTTCCTCTCTTGGATGGGGAGTCCTGGAGTAGAGGAAGGAGAGAGAACAGGAAGAGGGGAAAGAGGGAGAAGGAGGGAGAGGAGGAGGAGAGAGAAGGGGGAGGACACAGGGAGAGGGGGGATTTGCAAGATGGGGTTGGGGAACACCCCACTGTGAGAAGGCACAAGGCTTGCATGACTGGTGTATGTGGGGGAATTGTGGGGTTTAGGGTCTGATACCCCCATGAAGGCACAGGGATTCGTGCCTCTGTGATCCCACAGATCTTCTTTTTTTTTGAGATGGAGTCTCGTGCTGTCGCCCAGGCTGGAGTGCAGTGGCGCCATCTGGGCTTACTGCAACCTCCGCCTCCCAGGTTCAAGCGATTCTCCTGCCTCAGCCCCTGAGTAGCTGGGATTACAGGCACCCACCACCACGCCTGGCTAATTTTTTTGTATTTTTAGTAGAGACGGGGTTTCACCATGTTGGCCAGGCTGGTCTCGAACTCCTGATCTCGTTATCTGCCCGCCTCAGCCTCCCAAAGTGCTGGGATTATAGGCTTGAGCCACCGCATCTGGCCAGATCTTCTTTTAAATTTTTTTTATTAATTATTATTATTATTTTTTAGATGGAGTCTTGCACTGTCACCCAGGCTGGAGTGCAGTGGTGTGATTTTGGCTCACTGCAACCTCCACCTCCCAGGTTCAAGCGATTCTCTTGCCTCAGCCTCCCGAGTAGCTGGGATTACAGGTGCCCGCCACCACGCCCGGCTAATTTTTGTATTTTTAGTAGAGATAGGGTTTCGCCATGTTGGCCAGGCTGGTCTTGAACTCCTGGCCTGAAGTGATCCGCCCTCCTTGGCCTTCCAAAGTGCTGGGATTACAGGCGTGAGCCACCTCGCCCATCCTGCCGGGTCTTGATTGATAGGTTGTAACTGGGACTGGGCTCTGAAACCCACCTTGACCTCACCTAAGTAGTTTTCCCTCTGCAGAGCTGTGGAAATGTTGACTGAATACCCCTTGGTGCACAGGTGCTGATGGCAGGGGCAGGCGTTCAGGGACCAACGTGTTCTGGAAATGAACCAGTCAGTGTCTTTGGACTCCAGTGTGGTGCGGGGGGTCCGGATGGGTCCTGTGGGGGTAGGGGTGGCTTTGAGGTTCAACCAAGCATCGAGGGCAGTGCCTGAGAGGACCCTGGAGGCCAGCCCAGCCTGCCGGTCTCACTATGGGGTCCTTTGGGGGACTCAGAGGATGACTGAGGAGGTATCCACCCCCGACCAAGGCCTCTGGGATTCCCCACCCTCTGCAGGTTCAGCCAGAGCTCCCAGGAGCCTAGACCTGGGAGCAGGGGTGTGGAAGAGGAGGGAGAAGCCAGCTTGGGTACGTGGGGAGGCAGAAGCCTGGAGAAGGCCAGGGCTCTCCGAAAGGGAACAGTTACACTCGCAGGGCTCCCGCGTGGGGTGGGGTGTAGACAGGCCAGGCACCGGGCTGGGAGCTTCATACTTAGTGATGTTCCCCATCCTCCCAGCACCCCCGGTGGAGGGTGTGATGTTTCCCATAATCAGATGAGGAAACTGAGGCTCAGTGAGCTTGTGGCTCACCCGCGACCATGTGGTTGATTCAGAGCAGAGCTGGGGGTGGACGCCAAGGCCTTGTGTCTACTCACTAGCCCGTGTAGCCTCTTGAGGCCGCGCAATTGTAGTGACACCTATATAGTGGTTATGTGGCTAGGCATTAATTTACATAGACCACACAGCTTCTCTTAATATTCCCATTTTACAGATGGGAAAGCTGAAGCACAGAGAGGTTAACTCACTTGCCCAAGGTCACACCACGAGCAAGTGGCAGTAGTGGGATTCGAAGCCAGGAAATCTGGCTCGAGAGGCCAGGCGTGAACACGCTAAGTGTTCTGGGGGAGGCAGACGACTTTCTCCTTCCTTCCGTCTCTGTTCCTTGCTCTCTTTCCATCTACATGTGAAGGGTGTGCAGGGCTGCTGACCTCCCTGGACTTTTTAGAGATGGCTTTTTTTTTAGAGCCTGTCTGGCTCTGTTGCCCAGGCTGGAGTGCAGTGTTGCGATCACAGCTCACTTCAGCCTACACCTCCTAGGCTCGAGTGATCCCCCCACCTCAGCCCCCCGAGTAGCTGCGACTACAGGCGTGTGCCACCATGCCCAGCTAATTTTTTTTTTCCCGAAATGGAGTCTTGCTCTGTCACCTGGGTTGGAGTGCAGTGGTGCGATCTCGGCGCACTGCAACCTCTGCCTCCTGGGTTCAAGCAATTCTCCTGCCTCAGCCTCCTGAGTACCTGGGACCATAGTCGTGTGCCACCACACCTGGCTAATTTTTGCATTTTTAGTAGAGACAGGGTTTCACCATGTTGACCAGGCTGGTCTTGAACTCCTGACCTCCTGATCTGCCCGCCTCCGCCTCCCAAAGTGCTGGGATTACAGGCGTGAGCCACAGCGCCCAGCCTAGAGATGGTTTTCATGCAGCAAAGTGTCACTTGTCCCACTGAGCATTGTTTTCCTCATCTGTAAAACAAAAATGAGTCTGATCTTGCCAATTCCACTCCACCTCTTTTGGGGAGGAAAAAACTTTTACTAGGACGACTTAGTAAAATGCAGACACCATGAATGGACCCTGCGGTGAGGGGAAGGAGGAGAAACAAGATAATAAATCTGATAAATAAATGAACAAGATTTTGCATTTCCTGACTGTGGTTGGTGAAATTCTAGGAAATAACTTTATTGTCCTGACAGGAGTCCTCGGTTCCTTTCACAGACCTTCCTCAAACATCCACTGTGTGTGTGCCTGGGGCTGCGGAGACCCAGGACAAAGCCGAGAGTCAGACGGGCAAGGCACCTGCTGTCACGGAGCTCATGGTCATCCTCTTCCTTCCCTCCTTCCCATGATATTTTTTGAATTAATTAATTTTGTTTTGAGACAGAGTTTCCCTCTGTCACTCAGGCTGGAGTGCAATGGCATGATCCGGGCTTACTGCAACCTCCGCCTCCTGGGCTCAAGCGATTCTCATGCATCAGCCTCCCGAGTAGCTGGGACTACAGGCATGCACCACCACGCCCGGCTAATTTTTATACCTCCCATAATACTTACTGAGCACCTGCTCTTTGCCAGGTGTGGTGCTGGGTGCTCAATGCTGCAATACAGCAGTGAAGTCCTTGAACTCCCGGGCTCGAGTGATTCACCCTCCTCAGCCTCCCAAAGTGCTGGGATTACAGGCGTGAGCCACCTCGCCCGGCCTGCCGGGCCTTCATTGTTACGTTGTAACTGGGACTGGGCTCTGAAACCCACCTTGATCTCACCTTAGTTGTTGCCCCAGCACGAGCTCACAGTCCAAAGGGGGGAGACAGACCTTGAATGCCTCATTCCTGAAATAACCAAATGAAATTATGATCTGCCCTAGGTGCGGGAAGTACAGGGTGCTCAGGGCAGTGTCCCCTGGGGACCTGGCTTGTTCTGGGGTGGTGGCGAGGGAGGTCAACTTGGAGCAAGTCTGACATGATCAGGTGTGCGCGCTAAGCGGGAGGTACTCCGTGAATGACACGGTTGCTGCCCCAGTCTCTTCTTCTGGGGTCTTATCTCTGCAGTGCCTGAATCACCGCTGGTCTGTTGCTCAATCTGAAAGCAGAGAGGTCTTTGTCCTTCGTCACTGCCCAGGATTCTGAGCCTGCTGTGAGGTTGGGAGGCAGAGGCCGGGGAGCTCTGCCCAGCAATGCTCCTGGGAACCCTCTGAAGTCAATGGTTGAGTTGTGGGTTCCACTTGAAATGCCATGTAAATTTTGGGGTCTTTTTGATCTGAAACTAGGGGTTTCTCACCCATGAAGAGGAGGAACTGGGAAGGAGGCAGGGACTCCAAACAAAAAGAAATGGCTTTCAGGCCAAAGCCTGGGATGGGGTTGAGGTTATAGAAGCCAGAGATTCACGGAGAGACCCTAGGATCACTGCAGCCGGGGGGTTCCCCAGGCCCCAGTGTGGGGCCTGGCAGAGATCGGGGCTCGGTCACTGCTTACAAAATGAATGGAGGAACCCCAACACAAAAGGACCCTTCCTGACCCTTTTTACTCTCTGATGGGGTGAGGGCGCCAGGGTGGGATGGATGGCGGGGGGTTTTCCTTCCATGTCTCCCTCTTTGTTACCTTCATAAGACAACATCTGACCCCCCACTCCATCATGGTTTTGGTGGCTGTTGATGCCATGGTCTCAACTTCCTTCTCCTGCTGAGGCTAGAATAGAGGCAGGAGCCACACCAGGCAGATCTCTGCTGTCCTAGACTTTGGCCAAAGGCACTGGGGAGCTATGGATGATTCTTAAGGGAGGGCATGACATAAGGAGTTCTTCTTGTAATGGGATTATGGTTGCCACATAAAATACAGGCCACCCAGTTCAATTTGATTTTCAGATAAACAATGGATAATTTTTTAGTATAAGCATGTCCCAAATATTGCATGTGACATACTTAACACTAAAAAACTTACGTTGTTTATCTCAAATTCAGATGTAACTGTGCATCATATATATGTTTTTATATATGTATGTGTGTATATATATGTGTGCACAATCTTGGCTCACTGCAACCTCTGCCTCCCAGGTGCAAGTGATCCTCCCACCTCAGCCTCCTGGGTGGCTGGGACTACACTTGGCTAATTTTTAAAATTTTTTAGAGACAAGATCTTTCTATATTGCTCAGGCTGGTCTTGAACTCCCGGCCTCCAGCAATCCCCCTGCCTGGGCCTCCCAAAGTGCTGGGATTACAGGTGTGAGCCACTGTGCCCAGCCTACATCCTATATTTTTATTTGCTAAGCCTGGTGACCCTAAATGAGGCCTTTTCCAAGCTCTCCCTTGACCTCTCGTCGCCCATGGTGTGAGAAGGGAAGGAGACCACAGGATGGCCATCGGCTTCCATAATTTCCTGGGTTTGTCTCACCCCATCCTTGGCATCAGGACTTGTTCCTGAAGCTGAGGGGCCGACTGGAAGGGCCAACATAGGGTGAGTGGTTGGGGTCCAGGGTAGACAGCTGTCACCGCGTGTCAGAGTGTGTGGTTCATACGGTGGCACCAGTGCTGTTCTGCTCTTGATAGAGATCTGGAGAGTGGTAGCCGGGGGTGGGGGGAGCCTGCCCACGCCCTCCCACCCACCCCTCACCGGAGTCCTGAGAGCAGATGCCATGATCAGCCCGTGTTTCACTGGAGGCTGCCGAGGCTCAGAGAGCCCCGCTCGGCCCCGGCACAGCTCTGAGTAGTTGGGTGGGGGCTGGAGGCCCCTGGGTCTGTCTGACTTGGAGCCTGTGACTCAAACACAGGATGTTCTGCCTGCTCCCAGCCTTGGGGTCTCCCCGCCAGCCCATTGAGCCCTGAGCCCTGGCCTGGCCTTGGCCTCTCCTTTGGCTCCCGCGGCCTGCCCTGGCTTGGGGGCACTGTCTGCCCATCTCCTTCCCACCCCCGTCCCCCAACCCCAAGGTGAGGTCTCATGGAGAGCGGCGTGTAAGATGGGAGGGCCGTACCGTCAGAGGACGTGTCTCCAAAGAGCCCGTTGCAAGGGGCCACAGACCCTCAGTCTCCCTGAAGAACAAGGCTCACAGTGCTTATCTGTTGAGCACTTGACACCGCCAGGCCTTGGAAGCCTCACACTGACCCTGCTAGGTAGGTCTCACCAGGGCACCCATTTTATACACGGAAAAACTGAGGCTCACAGAGGTGGGGGCCCGGTGAACCGTGGCAAGCAGAGAAGGAGGGTGTGCCAGACTGCAGAGCCTGCCCTTTCCTGGCACACCTCCCTGGCATGTGGGGGTCTCGGGGGCTGGCTCCGTGGCTTCTCACAGCACCCAGCGGGCCGGGGCAGCCTGGGATAGTGGGGAGGAGCCCCAGGCCTGGACACCAGACCATGGTTCTCTTCCTGTGACGTAAGCCAGTCACCTGTTGCCTTCCCTACAACACAGAAATCAGGGTGTTAATGTCTTAGTGCAGGGGTGTCCAGCCCTGGCTTCAAACTAGAATCACCTGGAGAGCTTGAACAATCACTGCTGCCTGGGGCCCACCCCTGGCAGTTCAGATCGAGTTGATCTGGATCCGGGTGTCATAGATCTTAAAGGCTTTCAGATGGTTCAGAACCACGGGGTGTGGAGAGAATCATGAACTGGGGTCAGAGCTGAGGAATGTAGGTGCACCTGGAAGATAAAGAGAGCTAACTCTCTATCATCTTTTCCATATCTTGAGAGATAGAGCTGTCATCTTTTATGGAAAGCTCTATTAAATTACAATCTGTAAAAAGAGAGGAACCCCCCTCCTCCTTCCTGAGAAAATCCCTGGTTTTCCCTCCAGCAGAACTCTGTGTAGGGTGATCGACACTTTCCATCCCACTACCTCCACATCCATCCACCCATCTGTCATCCATCCATCCACCCAAATATCCACCCATCCATCAATCCACTAATACTTCCTTCTTTTCACCCATCCGTCCATTCCTTCCCACACACCTATTCATCCATCCACTCACCTATCCATCCTTCCATACAATCTCTCACCCATTCATCCATATATCCACTCACACATCTATCCATCCATCCATCCATCCATCCATCCATCCATCCATCCATCCATCCTCCCATCCATCCACCTACCCACCCATCCATTCATTCATTCATCCATCTGTCCTCTCATTTATCCTCTAATCCTTCCATCTGTCCATCCATCCATCCATCCATCCATCCATCCATCCTCTTATCCATCCACCTACTCATTCATTCATTCATCTATCCTCTCATTCATCCATCCATCCATCCATCCATCCATCAATCCTCTTATCCATCCACCTACCCACCCATCCATCCATTCATTCATTCATCTATCCTCTCATTCATCCTCTCATCCATCCATCCATCTGTCCATCCATCCATCCATCCATCCATCCATCCATCCTCCCATCCATCCACCTACCCACCCATCCATTCATCCATTCGTCCATCTGTCCTCCCATCCATCCATCCATCCATCCATCCATCCATTTTGTCACTCATCCATCTATCCATGCACCCATCCATCCATTCATCTATCTATTCACTCATCTCTTTTTCTTCAACTAAGACTTGTTGAGCCCTGTCTTGTGCTGAGTCCTGGACTGGAAGCTGGGTATAAAATGATGAGTCAGACCTGGTCCTTGCCAGTAGAAGCTTGGTCTCATTGGGGAGACAGACATGTGAGAAACAATTCCAACAGAACATTGTAGGTGCTATAATAGAGATCTAGAGAGGCTGAGAGTGGGAGTGCAGGGTGGAGGAAGTGTTGACAAACATTAGGATTGCCCATTGCTCTTGGGAGGATGCCCAGATTTCTGTGCAATCAGCCTCCCATTGTCTTTGGGTCTTAGTTTAAATGTCACCTCCTTGGGGACAGTGTCCAGATTACAGCCAGGGCATCCCCAAAGAAGAGTCTGACTGGTAGCTTTGGGGTTCCATGGTGTCTGCCCTCGGTCATGTGACACTGATGAGCTGCTCTCTCCTCGCCCTTTTGGCTTGTGGTCTGCTTTCATTTTTCAACTCACTGCTGTAAAATAAGGGAAAAATGCAATACAATGTTTTGATAGTTCCCACTCATAACCATTGCAGTCAAAGATGCTGATGAAGACCCACAAACACAGGGAGAGCCGTTTGCAGGCCTGGTTCAGAGGGAAGAATTTTACTAATTCTACCTCTTACACCCTCATTCCAATTCAGGGAGGTAGAGACCATCCTTATCCCTACTTCAGGGTGGGGGCTGTCAGGCAGAACCAGGCCGTGTCCCGGCTTGTTTGGTCTCATTGTAGGCACTGTTTTGACTTTCCAAGTCTGTCCACTTCCATGAAATGGGCGAGTCATAGGTGCAGAGATCAAGACTCCAAGAGATTGAGTTGTGTGGCCAAGGTCACCAGATCTGGGACCCACCCTGAGACTTCACCCCTCACTGCTTGTGCCACCAGCCATCTCATCTTTGCTCTCTGGCTTCCAGCCCCTCTGCATCTCTGGCCAATGGTCTGAGAGGTGAAGGGACACGTGTCCCCTCTGGGCTGAAGCACAGAAGAACCAGAGCTGACTTCCCTGTAGTCTGTTCCCCTGTTCTAGTGACTGAGAAGATCACTTGTTCCAGATGAGGAGCTACAAGATGGTGGAGCCCCTGGCCTGGATCCCTGTGTGGCCATGTGGAGCAGAGCAGTGGCCATATAGCCTTCATGAGAGACAGACTTCTGTTATGTTGATCCACTGAGATTTTGAGGTTGTTTGTTCCTGCAGCAGAGTGTCACGTAGCATGGCTAACACAACACTCTCCCACCTCCAAGGTGCCTACTCACTATGTGTGAGAAGATGGGTGAGCACCGTCCACATCCTCCACCTGTGCGGATCCTCAGGAGGTGCTCATGGCCACTTTCTGGAATGGCCTGAGTGAGGCTGAGCCATACAGCTGCACAGGATATTCTGGCTTTTGCTGACGTGGTCTCTTGTCCACGCTGGGTCCTTGGCAGGGCTTGGGCCCTAGGCTGGCAAGGCTGCTTCCCTTCTCTGCTGGGCCTCTCTGAACCTGGCAGAGCCACCAGAACCTGGGCACAGCTGGGGTCCCTCCTGTGTGCACCCCTCTGGAGCCAAGCCCTTCCACAAAAGTCCCAGCTGCTGCTGGCAGGGTGGAGGGACATCTGGGCCACACAAGCCTTGGTGCCTCTGCCAGTGCCAGAAACCAGGCATCACCCCACAGCTAATGTAGGCCTGGTTGGCAGGGAACATGGCCTGCTGGGAGCTCGTGCCTCTGGGCCTCTCCAGCCTCATCCCTGCCCACCCTGCCCCCACCCCCATGCCATCCTCTGTCTTGGATCCTTTGCTCCAGCTGTTCCCTCTGCTGGAACACCTTTCCTGCCCGGCCTCCTTTCCCCCAATCTGGACGCCTTCCTCACCCTGGAAAGGCCCTTCTTCCCTCTCCCATTGCACTATGCCACTTGGACATGGACCCTGTCACTTGGCTGTGTACCCCTTGGTTGGCTTGCCCATCTGTTCTACGAGGGTATGGTCCTCGAGGGCAGGAACTGTCCCACTCTTGGGACTGAGCCCTGGCTTGGCCATGCATGGCGTGAGTGGAATGAATGAATGGACGCCCGCTCTGCTTGGGAGACTGCACCTGTCCATTAAGCACCTGCTCCAGGCCAGGCCCGTCACCACCCCCACCCCCCACTGTGCTCGGGCTCCTTTTGGGCCACCATGAGCTCATGAGGTCATCGCATAGGCTCATAAAGTTGTTGTTATTGTCGTTGCTATTTTTCATCCCTGTCTTAGCCTGGTTGCCCTGAAAACAGAGCCTGTGATGAAGACTCAGGTGCAAAAGGGAAGGGCTCCGAGGGGGCTGTGTGAGGGGGTGGGAGAGTGAGGCTGAGCAGGAGAAGCCCATGTTAGGGTGTCATGGGGCTGGTCACCACTGTGGGCAGGGTGGCCTCCATCCCTACTGGGCCCCTCCAAGGGGTATATGGAAAGCAGCCCTCATCCCTCCAGCGTCCCAGCCCTCGTTGGTAGAGGTTGCCCTGGGCAACCCCGAAGTGCAGGCCTTTGGTGAGGACTCCCATTGGTGCCCCTCACCACTGTGTTGTCAGGGGGTGGGTAGGGGATGCAGAAAGTGAACTGAAGGACACACAGTGGGTGCAGGGGGCCACGCGCCTGCTGGGGTCTGTCCCCTTCCTGGAGCTTGCCTGGACGCAGTGATGAAGCTGCAGGCATGTGACACATTTGCTTCAGCTCCCATTCTACAGACAAGTCAACTGAGGCCCAAAGGTGAGGTCATTGGAATAGTGCCTACAGTCACTTTAAGGATGCAAAAGTGCTTTGAAGACTGTCAACTTCATTCTTTCATCCTTTCAAACCACATCCTGTTGCTGCAGGTGGGGCACGTGAGAAGCTCACATCCCTGCCCCAGCAGCTTAGGTCCTGGGGGTGGGACTGTGGGTGCTCACGATCCTCAAAGCTGCAGTGCCCAAGGTTAGGGAGCCACTGCTGCTGCGGGGCGGGGTCAGGCAGAGCCAGGCTGTGTCCTGGAGCCATCGGCCCCGTTGCAGGTGCTGCTCTGACTCTTCAAGTCTGTCCTCTCCCATGAGACGGGTGAGTGACAAGGCTCACCTTACACGGCAGTCTAGGGGGACTCAGTGGGTCTTTGCTGAGATAAGTGTGCAGTTGGGAGTTCTTGGAGCTGGGCAGCCCTGGGGCTGCAGGGACAGGCTCTGGGGTGGGTGGGGAGGATGCTGGGTGGGCGAGCAGACTCTGGGGGAGGGCAGACCCCGTGCCAAGGACTTTTTGCACCTTTTCCTATTTCACCCTCCCAGTTGCCCTGTGAGGCACACACGTGATCATCCCATTTTACAGATGCAAAGGAAAAGTGGCTGCGAGGGCCAGCTGCTTGTTCAAGATCATGCAGCCAGCAGTGGCAGAGCTGGGGACAGAGCCACGGCTGCTTACCACGAGACCACGGGCCTCATAGTGGAGGCCTCAGTCCCCAGCACAGTTCCTGAGACACAGGGCTTTGGAATGACATGGTGTGTTCCTGGGGGCTAGGGGTCCTGGGAACACGGGGCAGCCGGGGGTCCTACCCAAAGCCAAGCCTGTGTGTGGTAGGGGCTGCTTTCATTCTCTTTCCCTCCCCTCAACCTCCCCCCTGCCCCCGGCCCCTCCCCACAATCATTTTTTCTGCTTGCCCTGCAAGGATGTAGCCCAGCGGCTGTTTTCAGCTCTGGAAGTACCGTGCCTATAGACAGCGCTTGGCCAGGGCCTGGTTCTGGGGCCCCTCCCAGCCCTCTCCCCTTCAGATATTGAGGTTCCTCTTCCAAACGCTGGAGGAGTCCAGGGGCTTGCTGCCGGGCCAGGCCTGATTCTAGCCCACCTCCCTCATCTCCAGTCCTCACCTCCATCCCTGCCCAGGTAGTGAAATTTTAAACAGGCACATTCCTTCTGCCCAATTTTCATTAATTGGATCTAAAAGGGTTTCTATTTTCTCCCTGAACGCTGATTGATCCTGCCGAGGTAAACAGCACCGCCAAAAACAGGGAGGGGGGTGCTGCCGAGGGAGGGAGACGGGATAACTAATGTTACTTGACATTTACTCAGAGAGAGGAAGGGAGGAAGGGAGGGAGGGAGGTGAGTCACACGCCAGAGCCTCAGCCCCCAGATTCTGCAGAAATGAACAGCCATGAGGCAGGCGGGAGCGAGAGGGCTCCGAGAAGCTTCAGTTCCCCCAATTTTGCAGGCTTCAGGGACCCCTGGGGGTTCTCCACTCCTGGGAGGAGAGGGTCTCTGCGTCCTTAAATGGCTGTGCATTTAGCTCTGAAGGTGGGACCCCTGAGGACGCAGGCAGGCTGAGCTGATGGCTTTTCTGTTTGTGACACGAGAGATTCGAGTATATGTGAATGTATCTCTCCCTGGGGGAGCTCTTTGCAGGTGGGGGGTGGTGGAGGTGGCAGGGAGGGTTGGTGCTTGGTTTCTCCCCCTGCCAGAAAAACCCAAAAGCTCTACCCAGCAATCTTTGTCCCTGGCTGCCTCAGTTTCCCAACTTGGTGCTCTACCCACTAGAGTTTATAGGAGGCATAACTGTGGTTTGGGAACCTCGGATCAAGGGGAAGATGACAGGTAACCAGGGCTTGCTCTCTGTACTGGGATGGAAAAGCTCTGGCCCCACCATTACCACCTGTGACAATGGCCTACTATGTGCAGGGAAGTCATCTCTTCAATTGTTCAACAAGTGTTTGCTGAGCAGCTGCTAGGAGCCAAGCTCTCTGCTGGTTGCTGGAGCTCCAGGAGGGAAGAGCCTGCCTGGCTCCCACCTCCCTGCCTGGCCTCTGTTCTTTCCCATCCCTCCCTTCCCTCCCTGTTCCCTGGAGCTGTGAGTGCCACCCCCGGCAGGCCTGCCACCCTGTGAGATCTTCCTCCTTTGACCCCTGCCCTTAAGAGCTGGCTGTGTTACCTCCTCTTCTGGGAACCTGCTGGTCTCTTTGCCCCTAGAAGATCCTCCTTTCCTCTGAGTACCAATGGCCTCGGTTTTCTGGGACTGCCACATCCAACATTAAGCCCATCCTCTCCCATGTGCGCCTTCTCTTGAGTCCCATGATTTTTTTTTGTTTGTTTGTGAGACGGAGTCTTGCTCTGTTGCTCAGGCTGCAGTGCGGTGGTGAGATCTTGGCTCACTGCAGCCTCTGCCTCCCGGGTTCAAGCGATTCTCCTGCCTCAGCGTCCCGAGTAGCTGGGACTACAGGTGTGCACCACCACGCCCAGCTAATTTTTGTATTTGTTTTTTTTTTAGTAGAGGCGGAGTTTCACCATGTTGGCCAGGCTGGTCTTGAACTCCTAACCCCAGGTGATTGTCTCCTCCCGGCCTCCCAAAGTGCTGGGATTACCAGCCTGAGTCACTGCACCCGGCCAAAATCTTTGAGTTTTAAATTTCAATTATTGTAATGTTCATTTCTAGAGCCTCTATTTGGTTATTTTACGAATTCACTATGTCACTTTTCATAGCTTTTATGTTCACTGGTGTTACTTTAAGCTTGTATTTTTACTTTTTTAAGACATCGTAAGCATAACTGTTTTACAGACTGTGTCTGCTAATTCCAATATACAAAATTTTTTGTGGTATGCTTCTGTTGTTTCTGTCTGTTTTTTCTCATGGTGTCTTTTTTTGTGTGTGCCTAGTTTTCTTTGTGTGTTAGCCATAGTGTTTGAAAAATTAAAGTGCAAGGATAATTTAAAGCATGGATGAAGCTACCTTTCCCCAGAGAGCATTATTTTGTTTGTTTGTTTCTATCACATATTCCAATGTACTGTCTGGACCCACCTTAACCCAAGCCTGAGTTTCCCTGAGCTTATAATATATATAATAATATATTATATATTATATATAATAATATATTATATATTATATATAATAAATAATATATAATAATATATAATATATAATAATATATTATATAATTGTAATATATATAATATATAATATAAAAAATAATATATAAATATATAAAATATATAATATATATTATATATAAATATATAAAATATATAATATATATTATATATAAATATATAAAATATATATAATATATATTATATATAAATATATAAAATATATAATATATATTATATATAAATATATAAAATATATAATATATATTATATATAAATATATAAAATATATAATATATATTATATATAAATATATAAAATATATAATATATATTATATATAAATATATAAAATATATAATATATATTATATATAAATATATAAAATATATAATATATATTATATATAAATATATAAAATATATAATATATATTATATATAAATATATAAAATATATAATATATATTATATATAAATATATAAAATATATAATATATAAAAAAATATACAATATATAATATATAAATATATAATATATAATATATAAAAATATATAATATATAATATATAATATATAAAAAAATATACAATATATAATATATAAATATATAATATATAATATATAAAAATATATAATATATAATATATAAAAAAATATACAATATATAATATATAAATATATAATATATAATATATAAAAATATATAATATATAATATATAATATATAAAAATATATACAATATATAATATATAAATATATAATATATAATATATAAAAATATATAATATATAATATATAATATATAAAAATATATAATATATAATATATAATATATAAAAATATATAATATATAATATATAATATATAAAAATATATATAGCATATAAAAATATATTATACATTATATATAAAAATATATTATATATAATATATTATATATATTATATATATATATATAATTTTTTTTTTTGAGACAGGGTTTTGCTCAGTTACCCAGGCTGCAGGGCAGTGGCGCGATCACGGCTCACTGCAGCTCAGGTGATCCTCCCACTTCAGCCTCCCAAGTAGCTGGGACTTCAGTCATGCACCACCATGCCCGGCTAATTTTTGTATTCTTTTGTAGAGACGGGGTCTTGCCATGTTACCCAGCCTGGTTTCGAACTCCTGGGCTCAAATGATCCACCCACCCTGGCCTCCCAAAGTGCTGGGACCATAGGCATGAGCCACCGTGCCCAACCACGAGACTTCCACATTCCGTGGGTCCTGGGCTTTTATTTCCATCCCCTTTGTCCTTCACAGATCGGAGAGGAATGGCTCTTCCAGGCTTGGGATAGCTTGTTAGGCAAAAGTGGCTCCATGCCTATGCCTTTCTCTAAGTTCTTGTTTTTCCTTCAGGTCTGGTTTAAAGATTTCTTACTCTTTGATAAGCTTTTCATGCTTTGAAAAAAATATGTATTAGATTGAGATATTTCAACTTTTAAAGTTATCTTCAGCTACAATGCTGGTCACAATAACCTAGTCCACCATGACCAGAAGTCTGACTTACTTTTCTAAACAGGAAGTATGGCCACAATTCTCCCCCGCTGAGAAGCCTTGAGGGGTGCCTGCTGTCCTCCAGTAAAGACCCCACTCTTGACTGGGTCTCCCAAGGTCCTGGAGGATCTGGGCCTGGCCACCACCTCCTGCAAGCTCACCTCTCGGCTCCCCTCCCTGGTGTAGTCTGCTTCCATGACACTGAGCTGCTCTGGTCCCTGAAGGCCACTCACCTCTGTAGGTAGACAGGCGCTATTTGGTTCTTTCAGATTGAGGCACTTTTCCCTACCTCTTGGTCTGCTAAGTCCTCTTTGCCTTCTAGGTCTCCTGTTAGATACCACCTCCTCCAGGAAGCCTGCCCTGATTGCCCCACCCCAAAAACCCCTTGTGAGGTCATGTGTCTCTTCTGGGCTCCCACAGTTCCCCATACATCCTCCACTACAGCACTGACCACATTGGACTGTAATTACCTGCTTCTGTTAGACTGTGGGCTCAGCCAGTATTTGTTGAATAAATGAATGAATGGGTGGACAGATGGGTGGTTGGCTTCTCATTCTTCCCTGACATTGTTCACCACCTGAACTAGCAGTGCCTGATGAGAAGTCCTGTCCTTCTCTCATCCCCCTCCACCTCCCCGCCCAGTCCTTCGCACAGAGTGGCTCAAAGCCCCTTCTAGCACACACTTCCCTGACCCCTAAATCAAGAACTGGGGGCTGTAGGTCCCAGGAAGAGGAAAATATACAAGACAAGGCAGAGTCTTAATTCAAATACTCGGGAGCTCCATTTCCTGCAAAATTCACACTTGTACACACAAATTCCAAAACCGCCTGGCAAAAGAAGGCAAGATGGGAGGTGTCCAGGACAGTGATGATGTCCAAAAGGGCTGTGTCTCTGACTTGGGCTAGGATCCCTCACTGTGGGCCTGTGCCTCAGTCTACCCATCTGGAAGGCAGGGGAAACCATGTGATCTCCCTGACAGCACTGATGGGGTGGGGCAGATGGGGCATTCTCACCAGCTTTTACTGACTGCTTTCCCTAGCATATGTCCCCCCGCCCACGTTCCAACCCCTCTGCCTTTGGTGACGCTGTGCCCCTCTCCAGAAAACCCTTTCCCTCCCCTCACAAGTCACAGCCACCTCCTCCTTCAAGACCAAGCTCTGCCTCCCCTGTACAATGGGTGCTGACCGCCCTGGCCCATGCAGGCCCTGGCCAGCATCACCCTCCACAGGATTTGTGGTTTGGAGCCTTGATTGAGCACCACCTGTATGAAGGGCCTGAGCTGCGTACACAGCATTGAGTGAGACCTGCAGGGCCCCAGTTCTCCTGTTCTTGGGGTGTGTCCCAGACTCACCAGGGAAGGGGAGGGTTCTCACAAGGGCTGATGGCTCAGCTGGCCTCTTGGCAGTTCCCACCTCCCCTGATCCCTGGCTGTCACTCAGAGCTGGCTGGTGGGACTCAGAGGGTAGGGGAGGTGGCAGAGGAGCAGGTTTTCTTACTAACATTTGCAGGAGTGATGATAACATCCCCAAATATTGTAAGGTGCCTTAATATATATCAAATGTTTCCCCTATACCTGGTCACAATTACGGAAGACAAGGTGGGGCTGGGGGCTGGTTATTTTACAGATGAGGAGACCCGAGACCAGAGAGGGACCGTGACTGCCCAAGGTCACATAGATCTTTGGCCTAACTTGACACAGCATTCATTCACAGCCTGAGCACCGCTCTACGGAGCTCCTGGACAGATCTGCGTGTCCCCTCCTGGGAGTCCCATCCACTGGAGCCGCAGAGTGGGGGCAACACTGGACCCTGCATGCTGGTTGGGAGGGGAACTGGAAGAGTGGGCTTCATTCCACGTATAGGGGGAGCCCCAAAGAGTCTGTAGCCAAGGAAGTGACAGGGTCTGATTTGCTTTTAGAGGATCTCTGAGGCTACTGGGAGGAGAAGGCGTGGAGCTGGGTGAGAATGGAGGCAGGGAGGCCTAGGAGGGGCTGGCGGTGATGAGGCTGGGGTTGAGGAGGAGGCCGCAGGAAGGGAGACAAAGGGAGGCATTTGGAAAGCATCCAGAAGTCGCGTGGCTGGGACCTGATAACAGGTGTGAGCCAGGGGCTGAGAGGCAGGGAGGACTTAAGGTATGCAAGGACAGCTGAGGGAGGATGGGTGTCATTCGCAGATTGGAGGAGCCCTGGAGGAGGAGCCAGTCTGGCTGGGGTGCAGGAGGGCAGGGTGACAAAGATCCAGTTTTGGCCAAGGTGCCTTTGGGTCATGAGTGGGGACATGCAGTGTCTGTGAGGGTGGCTGGGATTTCGGGGCAGCCATGATCCAGTCGAAGCCCTTCCCCAGCCCCTGGCCTCCAGCAAAATCAGGACTTGGGGCCTGTTCCTTGGGGCCTCGGGAACACGCAGATCTCATTCCCCGCCCCAGTTTCTCTGGAAGGAAAACACCCAGGGCCTCGGTGGAACCGGCATTAATTTCCCCTGTTCGGCTCATCATTCCATCATCACGAGAGAGCCAAACAGATGACCATTTCGTCATTGCATATGCCCATGCGGGGCTTCCGTAATCTGATCACTTAATCACATGCTTATTCCATGAGGACGGAGGCACGGGCAAGCTCTGGGGCCCACTCCTTGGGCAGCGCATTTTGGACCAAGTCCCTTAGCGTTCCTGGCTGCCTCTGTTTCTCTGCCTGCCTTGGGAATCCAGACAGCCTCATGACAAGAGGAGATGAGGCAGTGGTTGCGGAAGAGCCTGGTCTCTCAGCCACAGCAGCCACGAGGTGCTGGCAAGCTCTCTGCAGCCTGTGCTGCTGGGAGGTAGAGGCTTCGGCAGCTTGTCCTCCTTGTGGCCTAACACACGCTGCCCGTCTCCCCACTTGCATGGAAGCCCCAGGAGGACACGCAGTTTGTCTCTTTGGTTCATCAGTGCCTGGGACAGTGCCTGGCACATGAGGGAGCTTAGGTGAAGTTTATCGAAATTTCCCATTTGTCTTTTTGTTTTGTTTTGTTTTTAAGACAGTGTCTCGCTCTGTCGCCAAGGCTGGAGTTCAGTGGTGTGATCTCAACTCACTGCAACCTCCGCCTCCTGGATTCAAGCAATTCTCTGCCTCAGCCTCCCAAGTAGTTGGGACTACAGACACACGCCACCACACCCAGCTAATTTTTTTTTTTAAGAGATGGGGGTTGTACCATGTTGGCCAGGCTGGTCTTGAACTCCTGGCCTCAAGTGATCCACCTGCCTTGGCCTCCCAAAGTGCTAGGATTACAGGCATGAGCCACCAAGCCCGGCCATGGCCCCATTTGTCTTAAATCCAGTGCTGGGACCTTCTGTTTCTTTCTATGTAGGACCCTAGGGCTGTGAACAGCTGCTGACCACCCGCCTTTCCATAAAACAGGGCTAATGACAAGAAGGACTTCCAGGAAGGACTGTTGTGCGGATGAAATGTGATCATCCACGTGGCACCCCCAGCATGGACCTGGCACACCGCAAGTGCTCACTGCTGTCTGCCATTGCTATGATGTGGAGGTTTACTCCCCTATCTAAATTTCAGTGAGGCTTCAGGCTGACCATGTCAGAGCTGAGCCTCAGTTCCCCTTTATAAGACGAGATGTGATGTGGCCCCCACCAGGCGTTGGAGGGATTCTGGAAGACACACAGAAGCCCATTAGCAAATGCCTGGATGTGAAGGGGAAGCACATTTCCTACTGGGATTTGCAGGCATGATGGTAATATTCTTTTCTTTTTGTTTTTGAGATGGAGTCTCGCTCTGTTGCCCAGGCCAGAGTGGAGTGGCGTGATCTCCGCTCACTGCAACTTCTGCCTCCTGGTTTCAAGCAATTCTCCTGCCTTAGCCTCCCGAGTAGCTGGGATTATAGGCGCTTGCCACCACGCCCAGCTAATTTTTGTATTTTTAGTAGAGACAGGGTTGCACCATGTTGGTCAGGCTGGTCTCAAACTCTTGACCTCAAGTGATCCACCTGCCTTGGCCTCCCAAAGTGCTGGGATTACAGGCGTGAGCCACTGCGCCCGGCCAACATTCTTGCACATTGTAAAGTGCTTTAAAATACAGTAAGTGGCCAGCATGGTGGCTCACGTTTGTAATCCCAGCACTTTGGGAGGCTGAGGTGGGTGGATCACCTGAGGTCGGAAGTTCGAGACCAGCCTGACCAACATGGAGAAACCCCTCTCTACTAAAAGTACAAAATTAGCCTGGCGTGATGACACATGCTGGTAATCCCAGTTACTCAGGAGGCTGAGGCAGGAGAATCATTTGAACCCGGGAGGTGGAGGTTGCCGTGAGCTGAGATTGCGCCATTGCACTCCAGCCTGGGCAACAAGAGCAAAACTCTGTCTCACAAAACAAAACAAAACAAAACAAAACAAAACAAAACAACAAAAAGAGACCAGTAAGTGCTTCCATATCTAGTCTCAGTTATGGAGGACAAGGTGAGGTTGATCATTTTACAGATGAGGAGAACTGAGTCCAGAGAGGGACTGTGACTGTCCAAGGTCACACAGCCAGCGGGTGCACTAGAAGCCACCTCTTCTGCCCACCTCCCCCGCCAAATGGGGCAGCAGGAAGGAGAGGACCAGGGGAGGGTGGACATGGCCGGAAGCTCCAGAAATGTCTCCAGCTGCGGAAAGAAAATTCAACCATTACTCTAGACAGAGACCTGGCGGCTGTGACTGCTTCCTCTTCTTTCCTCACTTCCTACATCGAAACCAGGACCCACTGGCTCTGTCCACATCAGTCCACGTGCCTCTCCATGCCCGTGGCCCCCATGCAGGCTGGGTCGTCACCATCTCCCTGCTGGAAGACTCCACACGGCAGCTGAGCAATGCCCCTGCTCAAACGCCAAGGCCCTGACTCATCCTCCTGCTTCCACCCTGGGTCCCCGGCATACACGATTGGGCCTGCTCCCTCCTGGCCTCATCTCCCCCGACCCGCACCCCGGCTCCCTGAACTCCAGCCGTACCGGCCTTTGGGCTAGCTCCCAACTCAGGGTTCCATGCTGGTTGTTCCTCCACCGGGGATGCTTCTCTGCATACTCTGTATAGCTGGCTCCTTCTCAACCTTCAGTTCTCTGTTGAAATGTTCCCTCCTTAGAGGGTACCTCTCCAATCAACCTATTTAAAGGAGATCCCTTCTGTTACATTTTTCTTCCTGTATTTTCATCTGCAGCGATTCTTGCCACTGGTAACCCTCCTTTCCTGCCCTCCTCTGTCTTGTCTTGTTCAGGAACTGCCTCTCTACTGGGGAGCATCTTCCAGAGAGGCAGGGGCCTGGGACATCTTTGCCATTTGAGGAATCTTTCTTTGCACAGGCCAGGCACTGAGTAGCTGCTCAATGGATATTTTTTATTTTATTTATTTATTTTTATATTTTAAAATTTTAATATTTTTTTGAAGATGGAGTCTTGCTCTGTCGCCCAGGCTGGAGTGCAGTGGCGTGATCTTGGCTCACTGCAACCTCTGCCTTCCGGGTTCAAGCAATTCTCCTGCCTCAGCCTCCCAACTAGCTGGGACTATGGACGTGTGCCAGCACGCCTGGCTAATTCTTGTATTTTCAGTAGAGATGGGGTTTCACTGGTCATGAACTCCTGATCTGCTGGCCTCAGCCTCCCAGAGTGCTGGGATTACAGGTATGAGCCACTGCGCCCGGCCAATATTTTTTAGATAAAGTAACGTATTCATCTGTAAGTAGTGATAGCCCAAAGCTGCGTGGGGTTGTTCTGAGCTTTCCGTGGATGATGCCTGAGGCCACTCCACACGTAGCTTCTGGCACAGAGCAGGTGCTTACAGACGGTGGCTCGGGTCACCCCCGGGATGGGAATGGATGGGGTGCAGGGGCCTGGGTCCCGGTCCCTACCATGCCTGGCACAGCTGCACAGGAAATCTGCCGAATGCTTGAATGAGAAATTTATAGGACGGAGAAATGGGGGTTAGTCATTGTCCTCCGCTATTGTTTTTGTTGCCTAGGAACCCCCCACCCCCACCCTTAGAGGTGAGTGACTTTGTGGAGTGAGGAACAAGGAGTGAGTGACCCAGAAAGTAGAACAGGCGCCCCGGGAAGGCAGAGGGACAGAGGGAGGCGCGGGAGGGCTCTATCTGTGGGATCCAGAGCTGGAGGAGGTGCTGGCTTCCTGGTTGGGTGGAATTCAGATTCACAAAGATTCCCCTGGTATCCACAACTTACAGAAGGAGTTTAAGATAAGGAAATGTGAACTTCTGCACATAGCTCCAAACATCAGCCGAAGGATGGGGGAGATGGAACCTAACGGCAGCTTGGCTGGAAACTCCAGGGGACTTGGATTGGCTCCGGCTTCGTATGGGTCTCCAGGGGTCCCCAGATGACCCCTGAGCCTGTAAGAGCTGCCCGGTACAGGATCTCTGGGGGTGCTTGGGATCTGAACTGTAGATCCTTTTCAAAAAAAAATTTAAAATTTTAATTAAAAAAAAAAAATAGAGACCGTGTCTCACTGTGTTGCCCAGGCTGGTCTCGAACCCCTGGGTCCAAGCGATCTTCCCGTCTTGGCCTCTGAAAGAACTGGGATTACAGGCATGAGCCGCCTCACCCGGCCTGAACTGTAGATCCCTAGAGCCTGATATAATGTTTCAGTCACCAATGCAGATTCTGCTTCACTGAGATCCTGACCCTTGTCCTCCTGTCCTGGGCCCCTCTAGGGGAACAGGGTGGGAATGCTTTGGGACGTCCACCTGGGCTCCATCTTCCTCATCCCAGGGTGAAACTACTTGAACTTTCCAAGTGGGTCAGGGTTTGGAGAGAAGGGTGTAGCCCAGCAGGAAGGAGAAATGACCCTGGTTCAAATCCCATCTCCACCACTTCCTAGCTGTTGAACCTTAGACAAATAGCTCAACTTCTCTGGGTCTCAGTTTTCTCTTCTGTAAAATGGGGATAATGATTGTTTCTCCCTAACGTCATGGTGGGGATTCCATGAGGCAACATCTCTGGAGTGTGTGGCATGACTCTCGGCCTCTGGAGCCGCATTTGGGCCCTGGGATGCCTTCTGAGCTGACAAAGTTCTTGCCCTGGAGGAGGCATGGGGGGCTTCCTGTTTTAAGCTGGGTCCCACATGGTGAGGGATGCAGCAATCACAGGCACTCAGGAGTGCCACCATCACACCAGCAGCAGCCGTGTAAATGGTGGCAAGAGTGACAGTGACGATAAGACAATGAGAACCAGCCTTGACAGAGTGCCCAGACCCTGCTTCACGCTGCGCTGAGCACCTTCCAAGGCTCATCCACATCACCCTCACCGAGGGCCTGGGAGGTGGATTTTGTCACTCTTCCTGTTTCACAGACAGAAAAGTCACACTCAGGGAGCTGAAATGACTTCCCCAAGGGCACCCTGTTGGGACCCAGTGGTGGCGGCTCCAACCCAGAAGTCCGGCTCGCAAGTCTGTGCCCTCAACCTCCTACCGGGCTGCCTGCTTTTTGTCCACCCTGTTCCTCCTACCTGAGCTAATGTCAACTGTTCTTCCTTCCTTTTTCATGGGCATTCTGCCTCAGAGAGGGATGGAAGTGAGGGTGTGGGTAGTAAACTGCAGGAAACTGACATGGGTGGGACCCTCTGTGACACTGGGCTCCCCCTATTGGTTCTGCCTGATTGAGGGCCTTCTAAGGCTTTAGGGGTTAATGGGGACAAGACTGACTAGCAGTGGGGCTTGGTATTCCCTGCTGAACTGACTCATCTCAAATCACCCAGACCCTTCAAGTCCAACTCAAGTTTTGATGTTTCTGTGAACTTCATCCCTGCAGGCCTCCCTGACGAGGCCACCCCTCTTATCTTCCCTATCCTAGGGCTAAGAAAAGAGTCGGGGCTTTGGAGTCTGTGGGGTCTTGATATGGTTTGGCTGTGTCCCCACCAAAATCTCATCTTGAATTGTAGCTCCCATAGTCCCCACGTGTCATGGGAGGGACCCATTGGGAGGTATTTGAATCATGAGGGTGGGTTTTTCCTACGCTGTTCTCATGATAGTGAATAAGTCTCACGAGGGCTGATGGTTTTATAAAGCGCAGTTCTCCTGCACAAGCTCTCTTGCCTGCCGCCATGTAAGACGTGCCTTTGCTCCTTTGCCTTCTGCCATGATTGTGAGGTCTCCCCAGCCATGTGGAACTGTGAGTCCATTAAACCTCTTTTTCTTTATAATTCTTTTCCTTATAAACTTCTTTTTCTTTATAAATTCTACCCAGTCTCGGGTATGTCTTTATTAGCAGTGTGGAAATGGACTAATACAGGTCTGGATTAAAACTCTGCCCATGTGCATCTATTAAAAAACCCACAGTTAATATTATACTTAATGGTGAATGACTGAAAACTTTCCCCTTAAGATCAGGAACAAAACAGGGATGCCCACTCTTGCCACTTCTGTCCAACAATGTACCAAAGGTTCTAGCTAGGACAGTTTGGCAAGAAAAATAAATAAAAGTTGTCAAGATTAGGAAGAAAAAAGTAAAATGATCTCTATTCACAGATAACATGATCTTGTATATAGAAAATCATAAGGAATACACACACACGCACACACACACACACAAATGAGAACTAATTAATATATTTTGCAATGTTACAGGATACAAGATCAATATATAAAAATGGATTATATTTCTATACACTAGCAATGAATACTCCAAAAATGAAATTAAGAAAACAACTCAATTTGCATCAGCATCAAAAACAACAAAGTACTCAGGAATAAATTTAACAAAAGAAGTGTAAGATTTGTATGCAACGGTGTTGAGAGAAATTTAAAGAAACCAGGCATGGTGGCTCATGCCTGTAATCCCAGCACTTTGGGAGGCAGAGGTGGGAGGATTGCTTGAGCTCAGGAGTTCAAGACCAGCCTGGGCAACATAGGGAGAACTCGTCTCTACAAAATAAAAAAAATTAGCCAGGCATGATGGCGTGCGCCTATGATCCCGGCTACTTGGAGGCTGAGGTGGGAAGATCACTTGAGCTTGGTAGGTTGAGGCTGCAGTGAGCTGTGATCGTGTCCCTGCACTTCATCTTGGGCAACAGGGTGAGACTGTGTCTCAAAAAAAAAAAAAAAAAAGAAAGAAATTAAAAGAAGACCTAATTAAATAGAAAGACACCCTGTGTTCATGGATTAGAAGACTTAATATCACTAAAATGGCAATACCAACCAAACTGATTTACAGATTCAATTCAATCCCTATCAAAATTCCAGTTGGCTTTTTGCAGAAATTGACAAGCTGGTCCTAAAATTTACATGGAAATGCAAGAGACCCAGAATAGCCAGACAATCTTGAAAAAGAACAAAATTGGAGAACTCACACTTTCTCGTTTCAAAACTTACTACACAGCTATAGTAATGAGACTGTGTGGTGCTGGCGTAAGAATAGCCTATAGATCAATGGGATAGAACTGGGAGTCCAGAAACAGACCTGTACATTTATGTTTATGTTCAATTGATTCTTGACAAGGGTGCCAAGACCATTCAATGGGGGGAAAGAACAGATTTTTCTATTCTTTGGACAATTGTATATCCAGATCAAAAGAAGGAAACTGAATCCTGACCTCACACCATATACAGAACTTAACTCAAAATGGGTCACAGACTTAAATGTAAGAGCTAAAACTGCAAAACTCTTGGATAAAAATATAGGAGTAATGGCTGGGCATGGTGACTTACGCTTGTCATCCCAGCACTTTGGGAGGCTGAGGCAGGTGGATCACCTGAAGTCAGGAGTTCGAGACCAGCCTGGCCAACGTGGTGAAACCCTGTCTCTACTAAAAATACAAAAATTAGCAGGGCGTGGTGGCAGGCACCTGTAATCCCAGCTGCTTGGGAGGCTGAGGCAGGAGAATCGCTTGAACTTGGGAGGCGGAGGTTGTAGTGAGCTGAGATCACAGCACTGTACTCCAGCATGGGTGACAGAGCAAGACTCTCTCTCTCTCTCTCTCATATATATATATTTATATTTATTTATATACATTTGAGTAAATTTTTATGACCTTGGATTAGGCATATGACACCAAAAGCACATGGACAAAACATAAATAGAAAAATTGACTTCATCAAATTTGAAAATGTCTGTATTTCAAAAGACACCAAGAAAGTGAAAAGATAAACCACGGAATGGGGAGAAAATTTTGCAAATCACATATCTGACAAGGGACTTATATCTGGAATACATAAGGAACTCTTACAACTCACTAATAGAAGACAATCCAATTTAAAAATGGGCAAAGGATTTGAATACACATTCCTCCAAAGGAGACATACAAATTTCAATAAGCACATGAACATCAACACCATTAGTCATGAGGGAAACGCAGCTCAAAACCACAATGAGATGCCACTTCACCTTTATGGGATGGTGGACAAAAACAAGTGTTGATGAGGATGTGGAGAAACGGGAACCCTCAAGCATTGCTGGTAGGATTGTAAAATGGTGCAGTTACTTTGAAAAACAGCTTGGCAGTTCCCCAGAATGTTAAATATGGAGTTGCTATGACCCAGCAATTCTACTCCTAGGTATATACCCAAGAGAACTGAAAACATATAGTCACACAAACACTTATGCACATTATAAGCATTTTATTTTTATTTTTATTTTTGTTTTGAGATGGAGTTTCACTCTTGTCACCCAGGCTGGAGTGCAATGGTGCGATCTCAGCTGACTGCAACCTCTGCCTCCTGGGTTCAAGCGATTCTCCTGTCTCAGCCTCCAAATAGCTGGGACTACAGGCATGCGCCACCACGCCCGGCTAATTTTTGTATTTTTAGTAGAGTCGGGGTTTCACCATATTGGCCAGGCTGGTCTCGAACTTGGTGATCCATCCGTCTCACCCTCCCAAAGTGCTGAGATTACAGACGTGAGCCATCTTGCCTGGCCAAGCATTTAAATACTTAGAGCAGCTTTATTCATAATCACCAAAGGATGGAAACAATTCAAATGCCCATCAACTGATGGATGGGTAAATAAAATGTGGTGTATCCTACAATGGATTATTATTTGGCAATAAAAAAGAATGAAGTGTTGACACACGGCATGACATGGATGAGCCTTGAAAGCACGGCGCTAAGTTAAGCAGTTAGACACAAAGGCCACATTTCCTGTGATTTCATTGATATGAGATGTTCAGAACAGGCAAATCCATATATATAGAGAGAGGGCAGATTAGTTGTTGCCAGGGACTGGCAGGAGGGCAGGATGGGGAGTGACTGCTAATGGGTAAGAAGTTTCTTTTGGGGGAGAAAAAAATATTCTGAAATTTGACAGTGGAAATGGTTGCACAGCTCTGTGAATAGACTAAAAACCATTGAGTTGTACACTTTAAAAGGGCGAATTGGAGGCGGGCAGATTGCTTGAGTCCAAGAGTTTGAGACCAGCCTGGACAACATGATGCACGGTGAAACCCTGTCTCTACAAAAAAACAAAACAAAACAAAACAAAAATAGCCAGATGTGGGGGAACATGCCTGTGGTCCCAGCTACTCAGGAGGCAGAGGTGGGAGGATCACTTGAGCCCGGGAGGTTGAGGCTGCAGGGAGCCGTGACAGCACCACTGCACTCCAGCCTGGGCGACAGAGTGAGACCTCATCTCAAAAAGAGGAAAAGGTTAATGTTATGGCGTATGAATAAGCAGTTATTCAAAAAAGAGAGGGGGCTCATCTCTAACTCACAGGAAATACAGGGAGAGACAAACGAGTTAAAAAACACTGCAAGGGGCCGGGTTTGGTGGCTCATGCCTGTAATCCCTGTATTTTGGGAGGCCAAGGTGGGCGGATCACTTGAGGTCAGGAGTTCAAGACCAGCCTGACCAACATGGCGAAACCCCATCTTTACTAAAAATACAAAAATTAGCCGGGTGCGGTGGAGTGTGCCTGTAGTCCCAGCTACCCGGGGGGCTGAGGCAGGAGAATCGCTTGAACCCAGGAAGTGGAGGTTGCAGTGAGCCAAAATTACAAATTGCATCGCTGCATTGTAGCCTGGGTGACAGAGTAAGACTGTCTCAAAAAAAAAAAAAAAAAATGACACGATGAGGAAGCAAATAGACCAATCCAGGTTGTGGACACTTGTAGGACACTGGCCCCGTTTCTTCAATAAATCGATGGCATGAAATGAAAAACTTTTTAAAAAGCAATAGGACATAGCAACCATATGCCACGTGGAGATATTACCTGGATCCTAACTTGAACAAATCACCTGGGAAATGACCCTGATGAGAATATCTGGGAAATTAGATGATGCCATGGGTATCAGATGATCCCACGGAGAAGCCGGGATGAGAATCCCAGCCTACTGGATGCTGATCCCTGGCTCTCACCTCCTCGTGTCCCTGTGGACATGGTGGCTGCACCCAGCAGTTGACGTGTGTGTGTGTGTGTGTGTGTGAGTGTGAGTGTGTGTGAGCTGGGGAGGGTGAGTTCACCTCTCTGAGGCCAGCTGAGGCCCGTCCCGAGGTGAAAACTGTTTTCCTCTTGCAAGGGTACAGGACACTGGAATGTCCTTTGAGCTGGCCGCGGCCATCACACAGGGCCTCAGTCCATGCCGAGCCCTCCACCTCTGCCCCAGGTCACCCTCTGCCCCCCTACTCCGGATGTCCAGGAGCCAGGCTCAGCAGCCCAGGCAGCTGGACAAAGGGGCCTTTGGAGGCTGGGCCAGGCCTGTGCCTCAGCTGTGGGCTGTGGCTGAGGCCACCACAGAAGGCTGCTTGTGGCCGGGCCGGGTGGCAGCCAGAAATAGGTCCCGCTGGGCGCTGACTCCTGCGGCCCCGCCCTGGGCTCGGCCTGGGAACGTGGGTATTTGTGGAGCTGATGGGAGGAGACCTTCATCAGGAAAGCGGGTCTATTTTGGGGCTTTTGGGAAGCGTGTTAAAAAAGGGGCCCCAGCCTTTAGCGTTTACCCTGAGCCCCTGCCTTTCATGCACAGGCTCCTGAGCCCCCGGGGTTGAAATCCTGGCTCTACCCGGCTAGCTGTGTGCCCTACGTGCTGTGTGGTCAGTCACCCCACTCTGAGCCTCGCTCTGCTCATCTGTGTGATGGGGACGAATCTTGACAGCTCCTTCATGGAGAAGATGGGGGCACAGCACCTGGCACAGTCTGCGCTCACCAGGTGCCCGAGGTCATTGGGCTTCCCCTCCCCCTTCCTCGCCTTCCGCCCTGGCTGGGGGCTGCTCCTGCTGTTGAGGTCTCTCCCAGCCCCTGGGCTGGCTCTGCAGGGCCCTGGAAGGTGGTTTGGGGCACACACTAGCCTCACCGTTGTTTAGGGGGATGGAAACGCAGAAGACCTGGCAGAGCCTTGCAAGCCCCTTGCAGCTGGGCGGCCCCTCCCCTCCCGGCTGGCTCCCTGGTTATCCACAGCCTCGCGGGCTCAGCCCTGGACCGCAGCCTCCGTCCTTCCATCATGCACCGGGGCCCTGCAGGACTCATGCTCAGCGCTGGCTGTGGGAGAAATTTCAGCCGCCTCCCCCGCGACTTCTGCGTCTGCTTGTCTTGGTGATGGAACTGCTGGCGGAGGAGCTCTGCGGGTTTAGGCCCGTGGTCCATGGGGAAATACAGACCAGGGTTCAAAGCCAGAGTCAGAGGGCGGCAGGGGGCCTTGGAGAGGGAGAGAGATAGGAGTCGTGTGTAGCCAGCTCTCCTGGAAGCCGGGGGCCAGGTCTCCCCCTCCCGGCCCCTGTGTGTCCTTGAAGCTATTTTTATATGTTGCTGGAAACCAGAATGACAGCCAGAGCCAAAGCGCTAGGAGGTTTCCCGTGCACCATGGGTCTTGCCCAGGGGACCATGGGCCATTCCCAGCAGATTGATGGAGACAGTCCAGAAGCTCCACTGTGCGGATCGGGGAGCCTGGGTCCCCCATCCCTTACCAGCTTGGAGGTCACTGTTGGAAGATCCCTGGCTGGCACAAAAATGAGGAACAAGGACTTAGAGAAGCGATGGTGAGGCTGCAAGTGTTCTGGGGTCTTTGAGCCCTGCACGAAAATCCAGAATGCTCATGGAGTTCAAAACTCATTCATGGCTGGGTGCAGTGGCTTCACACCTGTCAATCCCAGCACTTTGGGAGGCTGAGGCGGGTGGACTCCTTGAGTCCAGGAGTTCGAGACCAGTCTGGGCAACATAGTGAGATCCTCTCATCACTCCAAAAATAAAAAAAATTAGCTGGGTGTGGTGGCATGCACCTATAGTCTTAGCTACTTGGGAGGCTGAGGTGGGAGGATTGCTTGAGCCACAGGGAGGTCAAGGCTGCAGTGAGTGAGCTGAGATCACGCCATTGCACTCCAGCCTGGGCAACAGAGCGAGACTCTTTCTCAAAAAAAAAAAAATAAATAAATAAAAAAGGAATTCATTCATTCACCACTGACCTCTTTACTCATCACATATTTAAGCAGAATCTTATAGGTGCTGATGGGGGTGGGGGTCACCCACAAAACATCCAGGGCCCTGCTCTCAAGGCACTCACGAATCTGCCTGCTCCAGTCTCTGGCTCTGAACCCTCCCATGGCTCCCCATTGCCCATGGAGACAGTGGGATCTTTGTACTCTGACAAGAGCAAGTCACAGAAATGTTGCCTGCTCACCTGCGCCTCATGAGAGAGCATCCTCACCTTGCCCGTTGGGCTTTCCCCCACGTACCCCCTTTTTCCCAGTCTGGTCAGGATCTTTCAGGGGGCGACTGAGGGGACAGGACTGGGGCAGGATGGGAGAGGCTGAGATGCACACTTGCTGGGTGAGCTCTGTGCTGTTGTTTTTGGAGGGACTCTGGGAAAAACAGAAAGAAAACAAAGCACTGGAGTCACCCGGGCTAAGCTGGGTGGAATGAAGAAGAACCGAGTGAGCAGAAAGAGGGCAGGGGACTGCAAATGGGGAACTCGGGGGGTGGCATATAGTGCAAGGGTCCTGGAGGGAGAGGTGATGGGGCTGAGAAGTCCTGCTGAGGGGTATAAATTGGACTCTCCTTAGTGTGACACAAAAAATATTGAAAGTCCCTATAAAGAATGTTGGGTTGCTGCCCCGAGCTGCTTTAGTGAGACTCTGCAGAGATGGGGCCACATGGGCCCCGGAGTTACTCGAGTTACATCTGGATGGCTTGCAGGGCTTTCCATGATCTGTGGCCCGCCCAGCTCTTCAGCTTTACTGCTCATCTTCTTGCCTTTTGCCTCCCCTAAATCCTCATCTAGATTCCACCTTCCAGCCTGACCTGGTTCTTCTGACCTCCCTGAGAGCATCTTGCTTCCTGCTTCCCACAGCCTTATGGTAACAACTGCCTGGGACCTGTCTCCACCCCCATCCCGTGGCTCTTGTCTGCTGGGCCCCAATTCTCCTTCCTTGGTCACCTGTTTGAAACGCACAGACTGACTATTCCTCTCTTGCTTCCTACTGTGGTATCATTTTTAGTTCCACCTTAAAAAGAAGAATATGAAATTAGTGCACAGGTAAATTTTCCTAGCCTGTTCTTAGAATAATCCAAAGAAAAAACCCAGAATATCCAGGGAAGTGAGTTTGGCTGGTCACTTTGTCTTGCTGGTTCACAATGAAACATAGTGATTCATTCATTAAACAAAAATCATTTAGTTTGGGGCCAGTGACATAAATATACTTAGTGGAACTCAAGCCTCTATAATCCCAACCCTAACCCCCAAACCAAATCTAAACCCAGTTCTAGCCCCAATACCAACCACAATCTTAAAGCCAACCCTAATCCCAAACCCATGCTAACTCCAATCCTAACCTCAACCCTAAATCCAATCCCAAGCCTAACCGAAACACCAAAACCAACTCTAACCCCAACCCAACTCTAAACCTAACCGAAAACTCAACTCTAACCCCAGATCCAACCCTAATTCTAATCTTCCTGTTAAAAGTCTTCCTTCCTTCCCTCCCTCCCTCCCTCCTTCTCTCTCTCTCTCTTTCTCTTTTCTTTCTCTCATGGAAACGGACTCACTCTGTTGCCCAGGCTGGAGTGCAGTGGTGTGATCAAGGCTCACTGCACCTTCGAGCTCCTGGGCTCAAGCCATCCTCCCACCGCAGCCTCCTGAGTAGCTGGGACCCACAGGCATGCACCTGTGGGTCATACCTGGCTAATTTTTGTATTTTTTGTAGAGATGGGGTTCCATTATGTTGCCCAGGGTGGTCTCGAACTCCTGGGCTCAAGCAATCTGCCCATGTCGGCCTCCCAAAGTGCTGGGATTACAGGCGTGAGCCACCATGCCCAGCCTCAGCCTTCCTTTTCTTTCTTAGTGCAATGTGCAGAGTATGATGAAATGCATTTCTGATTCTAGATTGTCCAGTGCCTTCAGATTGGAACAGGTAGAAGGTGAGTGAAACTGGATTGAATATAAGCCCAATCCCGGGAATCACTTTGAAAAACAGGGGTGTGTATTTTAGTTTAAGTCCCCAGGAGCCTATTTTGTGGCCATTTTCGAAAATCAAGATCCTTAGTGTGACCCTATCTAACTGGCCTTCCATAGACGCCTCCCTTGCCGGCTTCTGGACCACACAGACATTGTCCTTGCACGCATGCCCAAGCTCCTTCTGGCCTCCAGGCTCAGAGCACCCACACGCTGTTCCCTTTGCCTGAAATTCTTTTCCTCCACTCCTCACCAGGCTAACTCTGGCTCAGTCCTCAGGTCCCTCTTAAAGGTCACCTCCTCAGGGAGGCCTGCCCTGCCTGCCCCTCCCCCAGCTCCTTTTTATTTCCTACGTGCTCATGGCTCATGAGTTTTCCTTTCAGGGCATTTATGGATATTTGTGGCTGCGTGTTTGTTTGCCTGTTTATTTCTTTAACGTCTGTCTCCCCAGCCAGACGGTGACCTCTTTCAGGACAGGAATGTTTTGTTCACAGTTGTAGCCTGGGTATCTAGCACAGTGCCTGGCACACAGCAGACTTACAGAAAACTGTTGAATGAATGAATGAATGAGTGAATGAATGAAGGAGTGCATTTCCCACTTCTTCCTAAAAGTGAAACAGATTTCAGCTCATTGAAACTCCTGGCTAGGGGGTATTTGTTGGTCTCAGGCCCTGCTCTGGGCCCTGGGGAAGCCAGGTAAGAGGGACGCGGTCCCTCGGTGCAGCCATCTGTTTCTGCCTCCATTGAACTCTCTCAGGCTTACTTAGAAACAGAGGTTTTTGAGAATCCATTTTCTCATTTCAGATTCTCCTCCACGTGGAGTGGGAAGTCGGCAGGTATCATCTCCACTGCTTCACAAGATGCTTTTTCCCAGAGAGGCAAAAACGCCCGTGAGGGTGACCCGGCTGGGAGGCAAACCCTGTCCTGCCCCCAGCTCTTGGCACTGTAACTTTCTTTCTGCCCCTGCACCCAGAAATGCTCATCTGTGTCTACCTCCGGGAACTCAGCAGCCTGGATGCTGCATGAGACCCTGAGGGACTGCAGTACCATCTTCCCAGTTTGTCGACAGGCACGTTGAGGCAGGTACTGGGATCAGGCTTGGGCAAATGAGCCTCTGAGAGGGTGGATCCTTCACTTACGAATGAGGTCCTTCTTTCCATAGGAGCAGGAAAAAGGCCGTTTGTCGTAAGGGTCACTGCTGTTACTGGTCACCTCTGGGTGCGAGTCCTGGGCTAATCGCATATCTTGCGGGACCCTGACAACTCCCCCATTTATCAGATGAGGCAAAGCAAGGCTCAGTCACTTGCACAACGCATATCGCTAGTAAGCGTTGCTGGTGGGATCACACTCAGCACTTCATAGGCAAAGAAAATCCCAGGAGTGCCGAGGAAACGCTGTCAAGATGTCAAAAATACGCGGTAAGACGTCAGCCCGGTGAGCATCCTCCGCACTGCGGACCGCCCGGGGTCGGGGTCACCCGGGCCCCGCCCCGAGCTTGCTGTCGTATCGGCCCCGCCCCACCCACGCCCTCCCGGCCCCTCCTGCTCCGGGCGCGCTCGGCTCCGCCCCCACGGGCAACACGGCCTCCCATTGGCCGCGGTTTCCATGGTTACGCGGGCCGGCGGAGCTGCGGGCTCCCAGACACGTGTCCCCGGGAGCCGCCCAGAATTTGACAGGGGACCATGTGCGCGGCAGCGCGGGAGCGAGACAAAGGACCGGGGGAGGCGGGGAACGAAGCCGGGCGGAGGGGTCCGCGTGGCCCGGGCGGGGATGGGCCCCGCGCTTCTCCTGCGAGCAGGGCACCCCCTCTTCCTTTTTATTTTGAAGGAAAGGGAAAAAAGGAATTGCTACGGAAAGAGAGGTGGGAGAGGAACCCAGTCAATTTCACCTGCTCCCCTTCCTCCAGGAAGAATCGGGTACGCGGGCATCTGAGAACCCGCAGGGTTTCTGCTTATGCCTCCCGGCCCTGAGTTTCTAACCCCACATTGACCTCAGACCTTGAGGTTTAAATTCTGTTTCTCTGTCTTGTTCTAGAACCGAAAGCTTAATAAGTGTGGTTGTTTTGATATTCGAATCATGAGACCCAAGGCATCGTAGGGGACCTCGCCTGCATCCATTCGCCTATCCATCCTACAGCAGCGACTGCACCCCTGATTGTGATGACGAATGCACCCCCATCCTTGGGCTCCGTGCCCACTGCTGGGCTGGGCTGCTCCCTCAGGTGCGGCAGCCAGAGGAGGTGTGGACTCCCATCCCACGCGTTTATCCTCCTGCAGCCTCTCGAGCTTGGTGGCATAGCCGTCCTTCCAGTCCCCAAGCCAGATGTCCTTGATGCCCCTTCTCCCAGCCCCATCCCCATCGCCAGTTGTATCAGTTTTCTATTGCTACTGTAACAACTCACTACAAATTGAGTGGCTTAAAACAACACACATCTACTCTCTTACAGTTCTATAGGTCAGAAATCTGACATGGTCTCAGAGGGCTAAATTCAAGGTGTCTGCAGGACAGTGTTCCTGCTGGAGGCTCTTGAGGGAGAATCGGTTTCCTTGCCTTTTCCAAGTATAGAGGCCGCCCACATTGGCCCCCTTCCGTCTTCAAAGCCAGCAATAGCTCCGAGTCTTTCCTCCCTAGCATCGCTGTGACGCTGACTCTCCTGCCTCCCTCTTCCACATTTAAGAACCTTGTGATTACATTGGTCCTCCCAGATAATCCAGAATAATCTCCCCATCGCAAAATCAGCTGATTAGCAACCTCAATTCCACCTGCAACCTTAATTCTCCCCTGTCATGAAATATAAGAAGGAGATCCATATGTTCCGGGGATTGGGATGCAGACATTTTGGAGGCATTGTTCTGCCGACCACGCCATCCTGACAGTTTTACCTCTGGAATCTCTGCAGTCCACCTCCGCCTCGCCATTCCTGCACCACTCCCTTTCTGGTTACCCGCTATTTTCCCAAGATGCCTTCAGTAGCACCTATCCACTGTTGTCATCTCTCTAACCTCCCTCTGTCCACAGTCCCCTGGGCCCCCACTCCAAGACAAAGATGCAGATGTCGCTACTTCCATGGCACTGTCATCTGCAAGGGAGCATCCTAACTCTCCTTGGGCACACACAGGCCCTCAACCTGCCCTACCCCATTGGTTCCTCCGGATCCATGACCCCTCCCACCCTCCGCCTCACACCCCTGTGCTCCCTTAATAGTAAATCACTTCTGGTTCTCTTAAGATCCTGGGGCATTTGGTTCTTCCTGGCCTTGGCCTGTGTGGCTCCCATTCTCTGAACTGTCCTGCCCACCTTTATTCGCCTCCCCCAGGAAGCCTCCCTGACCCCCCAGACCCTTTCATTGCCCTCCCTTGGAACAGAAATGTGCTTTTCACTGACTGGATTGGCCCAAAGAGATCTGAACTTGAGGCTGCCTCCTCATGTCACTGAGAGCCCTCTGGGGTGGGCACTGTGCCTTGCTTGCCTCTTTGGTCATAGTGCCCAGCATGAGATTGGTCACATAGTAGGTGCTCAATGAACTCAGATTGAACTAAACTCAAGGACTTGGTCGGGGGGTGGTGGTGGTGAGAAGACCAGCTGGGCTGCTTGGGGAAGTAAAGTATAAAGTTGGATGGAAAAGCACGAGGACCTTGGCTCTATTTCTGGTTCTTGGGGTGGAATAATAATGACAGCAACACCAATGGTGGCTGGCCCCAAAGGTCGTCCCGTGCCAGGCATAGGCTAAGTGCTTTATGAGAACATTATCAATCAATTCCCACAACAGCCTTAAGAGGTACCAACTTTATCAGCATCCCCATTTTAGAGATGAGGGCCCTGAGGCTGGGCCAGGAAGTTATCTTGATCTTGGCTGTCCCTGATTGGAGGGGTGGTGGGAGTTGGGGACGGGCGGCTCTGGCAGAGACCTGCAGGGAGGTTGCAGCTGGCCTGGCCTCTGGAAACAGCCACCTTAATGCTCTGCCCTGAAGCCTCTTTTTTTTTTTTTTTTTTTTTTTTTGAGACAGAGTCTCGCTCTGTCACCTAGGCTGGAGTCCAGTGGCATGATCTCAGCTCACCGCAACCTCCACCTCCCAGGTTCAAACGATTCTTCTGCCTCAGCCTCCCAAGTAGCTGGGACTACAGGCACATGCCACCACACCCGGCTAATTTTTGTATTTTTAGTAGAGTTGGGGTTTCACTATGTTAGCCAGGATGGTCTCGATCTCCTGACCTCGTGGTCTGCCCCCGCCTTGACCTCCCAAAGTGCTGGGATTACAGGCGTGAGCCACCGCGTCCAGCCCCCCAAGCCTCTTCTTTCCTCACTTCCTGTTCTCTGTCCTCATTATTCCACCAGTCTATTGTCATTTTTTTCCCCTTCCCAGCCTGCCCAGCCAGGATATGCGGCAGGAGGTTCATTTTTGAAAGTATAAGAAGGGCCGCCGGGAATGAGTGTCTCACGGGGACAGAGTGTGCGTTTGGGAAGATGAGACGGTTGTGGAGATGGATGGTGGGGATGGTTACACAACAACGTGAATATGCTTAAAGCCACGTTCACGGAACACGTACAAATGACTAAAATGGTAACTTTCTGGTATGGATATTTTACCACAATAAAAAAAAAATGCTAAAAAAATTGTAAAGAAAAAGTGCTTTGTGTTTGCCGAACTTTTGAGGATGGGCCGCCCACTGCACATTTGCCGTTTCCCAAGCGCCTCCCACGGGCCAGGCCACGCACTTCCTCCTTTCATTCTGGAAACAAGCTTGAGGAGAGAGGTGGCGTCCTCCTTGTAGACGAGACTGAGGTTCAGAGCCTGGCAGGGGCGAGGCTGTCTTTGCAAACCCGACAGGCCTCTCTCTGGTTCTAAGAAGCACGGCAGGGACGGGGTAGGAATTTGGGCTCAAAATGGGCCTCTGGGCTGCGGAATCTTGAGCAAATTGCTTCCCATCACTGATCTTCCTCTTCTGACTATTGGGGACAATAATAGTGTCCTCCCTCGTGCAGGGGGAGGATTTGCTGAGATGTCGGAAGGTCCTAGCACAGCATCTTGGCCACCATCAAAAATAAAATTCTCCCCAGAGCTCTCCACGATGCCTCCCTTGCTGTCCAGAGGACAGAGGGCTGGAGGTAAGGTCAGGAGACCCGTGTCAGGGTCTCAGCCCTGAGGCTGACTTTGTCTGTGACCTTGGGGAAGTCCCCTGCCTTCCCTGGTCCTCAGGCTGCCCTCTGTAAAGTTAGGAGAGTGGGTAGAGTCAGCAGGGCTCTCTGGTTCTGGTTTTCTGGGGTTTCTCCCGTAATCCTGGTCCTGTCCAGAATCAATGTCCTCTCTCCCACCACCCGCTCTCTGGGCAGAGGGGTCTGGGCCCATCTCCAGTTCCACCTTTGCCCTCCACCCTGTCTTCTCAGGAGCGTCCAACCCCCAAGCAAGAGGAAAGGGAGGGGAAGGTGAAGGCAACAGAGTTCTTGATCCCAGGGTATGAGTCGCTGCCTAACACCCAGACCTGGCTTCTGACAGAAGCGCCAGCAGGAATTTCCCGCACCTCCGGTGTGAATCCTGTCCAGCTTCCTGCCATTGGCTTGAATTGTTGCCTGGTAACTCTAGGTGCAAATCACCCCTTCCCCGCAAACTACATGCTTTTTTTTTTTTTTTTTTTTTCTGAGACGGAGTTTCGCTCTTGTTGCCCAGGCTGGAGTGCAGTGGTGTGATCTTGGCTCACTGCAACCTCCGCCTCCTGGGTTCAAGCAATTCTCCTGCCTTAACCTCCCCAGTAGCTGGGATTACAGGCATGTGCCACCACGCCCGGCTAATTTTTATATTTTTAGTAGAGATGGGGTTTCACCATGTTGGCCAGGCTGGTCTCAAACTCCTGACCACAAGGGATCTGCCCACCTTGGCCTCCCAAAGTGCCGGGATTAAAGATGTGAGCCACTGTGCCTGGCCTCCCCACAACTACATGTAAGTTTCAGGATCTCAGAGACACGCTTCCTTTTGCCTGTCTCTTCTACCGTCTCCACAGGACTGGGCCAGGGGGGTGCTCCCGAGATATCCCACAGTTTTAGAGGGCCATTTAGCTAGGATCCTGGACGCTGGGAGCAAGAAAAAGAGAAAAATGGTGATTCCAAACTATAGGCTTCTGGAGGAAGAACACGTGCAGGGGAAGGCAGGCAAGGTCAGCACTCTGGGGGCTCCAGCAGATGCCAGGATGGTGCACACCGAATTCCTGGCACACGGGGGCTTAGTGACAGGACCTGGGCTATGGTGGTCACTGATAAATCATAATATTAAGAAACTCTAATGGGACATCCACAGGTGCTGGATGGAGAAAGGTAAGCATTTGGAGACATTTGACCACGATGATAATTTTCACACTAGGTGATGTTTTAGGGGTGATCACTGCATTTGAGGCACTGTGCTGAGCACTGACAGTCAAATTTCGTTTACATCTTAGAATGAGGCAGAGACTGTTGGCTTCTGCATTTTACAGATGGAGGCTGTATTAGTCTGTTCTCACATTGCTATAAAGAACTACCTGAGACTGGGTAATTTATAAAGAAAAGAGGTTTAATTGGCTCATGGTTCTGGGTAATTTACAAAGAAAAGAGGTTTAATTGGCTCATGATTCTGAAGGCTATATAGGAAGCATGGCTGGGGAGGCCTCAGGAAACTTACAGTAATGGTGGGAGGCGAAGGGGAAGCAGGCACACTTACCTGACTGGAGAGGGGAGTGGTACTGCCTACTTTTAAACAACCAGATCTTGTGAGAACTCACTCACTCTCATGAGAACAGCAATGAGGAGGTCAGCCCCATGATCCAAACACCCTCCACCAGGTTCCTCCTCCAGCACTGGGGATTACAATTTGACATGAGATTTGGGTGGGGACAGAAATCCAAACCGTATCAGAGACACTAAGGCTTCGGGGAAGCTGTGCCCAAGGTCACACAGCTGGTAATGATGCAGGGCAGGTGAGCCCCCAGATTGGGGCTTAGCCCTGGAGGGTTCTTGGCTTTGCCCAGGAAAGAATTCAAGGGTGAGCCGCTGGCATTAGGCAGCAGCTTGTATTGAGAAGGCTGTGCACAGCGGCAGCAGAGGTTCTGCTCTTAGTGGAACAGGGCTCTCCCATGGGCAGTGTGCCCAGAGTAGCAGCTCAGAGGCCGTTCTGCACTCATATTTATTATACCCACTTTTATTTTATTTTATTTTACTTATTTTAAGGTGGAGTCTCGCTCTGTCACCCAGTCTGGAGTGAAGTGGCACGATCTTGGCTCACTGCAACCTCCACCTCCCGGGTTCCGGTGATTCTCTTGCCTCAGCCTCCTGAGTAGCTGGGATTACAAGCACCCATCACCACACCCAGCTAACTTTTGTATCTTTAGTAAAGATGGGGTTTCACCATGTTGGCCAGGCTGGTTTCGAACTCCTGACCTCAGGTGATCTGCCGGTCTTTGGCTTCCCAAAGTGCTGGGATTACAGGTATGAGCCACCGTGCCCGTCCAATATACCCACTTTTAATTATTTCCAAATCAAGGGGCAGATTTTGCAGCGATTTTGAGAAAAAGAGTGGTAACTTCCCAATGATTGGGTTGTTGCCATGGAAAGGGGCAGTAACTGCCAGGTGTTGCCATGGCAATGGTAAACTGACATGGCACACCAGTGGGCGTGTCTTACAGAGAAGTGCTTTTGTCCCTTCCCTGTTTTAGCTAGTTCTCCATTTGATCAGGTGTTTGAGCCCCACCTCAGAGTCCAGTCCTGCCTCCTACCTCACGAAATGGCTGAGATTGAGAGACACATGTGGGCTGGGATTGAGGAAGGCCCAGAATTAGGGAGTAATGGGGTTTGGGGAGGACAGTTTACTGCCCAGGCTTGGTGGGGGTGGTGGGGAGTTGGTGTTCAGTCTAGCAGGTGAGAAGCAGCCACAGTGGGCCAGGGATAGGGGAGCATCGGAAATCACAGGGATGAGAAACAGTACTGAACAGACTTCTCCAGCCCTGACCAGACCTCAGTTCAGCAGGCGCTCAAATGACCATAGGTCCTATGAGGGAAGCTCTAAATCAACTTTCAAGCAAGAAAGGGAGCCCCCTGCTCCTCCATCTCATCCAGCCTCCTTCTATTTATTTATTTATTTATTTGAGACAGAGTCTCTCTCTGTCGCACAGACTGGAGCGCAGTGGTGAGATCTCGGCTCACTACAACCTCCGCCTCCCGGGTTCAAGTGATTCTCCTGACTCAGCTTCCCGAGTAGCTGGGACTACAGGCATGGGCCACCACTCCCGGGTAATTTTTGTATTTTTAGTAGAGATGGGATTTTACCATCTTGGCCAGGTTGGTCTTGAACTCCTGACCTCAGGTGATCCACCTGCCTCTGCCTTCCAAAGTGCTAGGATGACAGTCACGAGCCACTGCGCCTGGTCCACCAGCCTCCTTCTAGAGCTGAAACTGACTGTGAGAAAATGTGGGCCTTCATCAGAAAATCCATTCATTCATATGCTCATTAATTCACTATCTACTAAGCAGCACTCTGTGCCAGGCACTGTTCTCGCCCAGAAACACAGCAGGAAAAAGAGACAAAACTTTCTGCCATCATGGCCTCTACGTTCTAGTGGAGGGAGATGGACAGTAAGTGAAAAACTGCGTACGTTATATACTTTATTAGAGGTGACAGATACTATACAATGGAGAAAAATAAAGGTGGGGAGGGCAGAGAGAGTCCCAGGAAAGGTGGTTTGTGATGTAAAATAAGGGGGATGGGCATGGTGGCTCACAAATGGGGCGTGGGCAAGATGAGCCTGGAGTTGACAAGGAAGGGTGGGCTTAAGCGATTCTTGTGCCTCAGCCTCCCGAGCAGCTGGGATTACAGGTGCGTGCCACCATGCCAGGTTAATTTTTGTTTTTTTTTTTAGTAGAGATGGGCTTTCACTATGCTGCTCAGGCTGGTCTCAAACTCCTGGCCTCAAGTGATCTGTCTGCCTCAGCCTCCCAAAGTGCTGGGATTACAGGCATGAGCCGTTGTGCCCGGCTTCGGTTATCCTTTTTTATATGGTGAAAAAAGTACACAACCATAAAATATACCATCTTCACCATTTAAACAAAAAATTTTTTGAGACAGGGTCTCGCTATGTTGCCCAAGCAGGAGTACAATGTCTATTTGCAGGCATGATCATGGCTCACTGCAGCCTCCAACTCCTAGGCTCATGCGATCCTCCTGTCTCAGCCTCCTGAGTAGCTGCGACTACAGTGTGTGACACTGAGCCTGGCTCCGGCTTCACCATTTTTCAGTGTGTATTGCAGTGGCATTAAGAACATTCACATTCTCTGCAGCCATCACCACCATCCATCTCCAGAACCTTTTCATCTTCCTGAACTGAAACACTGTACCCAGTGAGCACCACCTCCTTATTCTCCCCTGCCCAGCCCTGGGCAGCTACCATCTGGTTTCTAGCTCTATGAATTTGACTGCTCTAGGGACCTCATATAAATGGAGTCATACGGTCTTTGTTTTTTTGGGTGTCTGGCTTATTTCTCTTAGCATAATGTCCCCAAGGTCAGTCCACACTGTAGCAAGAATCAGAATTCCCTTCCTTTTAAGGGCCCTGTGATATTCATCAATGACATATCCTTTCCAAGGACACGAGTCAACTTGTAACAGTGCCCAAGGCCTGAGTCTCAGTCATTTCAAGGATTTTAGAGGCCACAGACATGGGGAGGAAGGAACCAGCCAAGAAGCTTGAGGAAGCATGGCGGTGAGGTTGGAGGGGAAAGAATCATGAGTGCCTGCAGCGGGTATCGAGGCAGAGGGAGTGATGCCAGGGCCACAGCCTGCTGAGGGTCAGGGAAGAGGAGGCTGGAGATCCACCATCGGATGAGCAGTGGGAAGGCCATTGATGAGCTTTACAAGAGCAATGTTGGTGGACAGAGGGTGTGGCACCTGTCTGGAGTGAGTTCTGGGAGCCTGGGATGAGAAGAAGCAGACACAACAGGTAGAGAACTCTCTCCCTCTCTCTTTTCTTTTAGAGACAGGGTTTTGCTCTGTCACCCGGGCTGGAGAGCAGTGGTGCCATCATAGCTCACTGCAGCCTCAAACTCCGGGCTCAAGCAATCCTCCTACCTCGGCCTCCCAAAGTGCTGGGATTACAGGGGTAAGCCACTGCACCTGGTCAACTCTTTTGATAAATGTTGCCATAAAGGGGAGCAGAGAAATGGGGTGATGGCCGGAGAGAGGGGTGCAGTCAGAGGCTTTGCCAAGGTGGGAGTGGCCGCGGCCCTTCTGGATGCTGGTGAGAACTGTGCCGCAGGGATGGGACTGTGGGTGATGCAGGACAGAGCAGGACTGGAGCTCCTCCTCCAGGGGAGTTGGGATCTGGTGCAAGACAGGGTTGCCTGGGGGCCTGAGTGTCGATGTCTGGAAGCAGGAAGGTGGCTGAGGGACAGGCCCAGGCACCCAGGGGTAGAAGCCAAGGTGACCGTCCCTGGGTTTTATCCTTCTTGTCTCTGTCCCTCTGAAATAAAAAGCAGGGTCGCCAGGTGAGAGAGAGTCGGAGAGATGGTGTGGGTGGGCGAGGGACGAGGAGGAGGGCTGGACTTGTGACCCAGCAGGGGGCAAGTGGATGGGCAGGGAAGGAGATTTAACCGATGGAAATCATGCCGGCTGTGCACCTGCTCTGTGCCAGGAGTCATGCCAATAGCACTTCCACGTTTTCTCATTTAATTCTCCCAGCTCTCTATGTGGTGTCTGTCATTTTTATTTTCCATTTTACAGAGGTGGAGACTTTAAGTCTGAGGAAGGTGCCATGGTCTGAATGTGTGTGCCCCTCAGATACATGAGTTGAAACCTAACCCCTAAGGTGGTGGCATGAGGAGGTGGGGCCTTTGGGGGTGACCTGGTCATGATGGTGGAGCCCTTAGGAATGGGATTCATGCCCTTATAGAAGAGGCCCCAGAGAGCTGTCTTGTCCCTTCCACGTGAGGATGCAGAGATGTGGTGCTGTCTATGAACCAGAAAGTGACCCTCCCCAGACACTGAATCTGCTGGTGCCTTAATCTTGGACTTCCAGCCTCTAGAACTGTGGGAAATCAATCTTTGTTGTTTTTCTTTACTTTTTTCTTTTTTGAGACAGGGTCTCACTCTGTCGCCCAGGCTGGAGTGCCTGGCACAATCACCGCTCACTGTAGCCTCAACCTTCCTGGCTCAAGCGATCCTCAGACTCCTGAGTAGCTGGGACCGCAAGTGTGCACCATGACACCTGGCTAATTTGATTTTGATTTTCATGTTTTATAGAGAAACGGTCTTGCCGTGTTGCCCAGGCTGGTCTCCAACTCCTGGGCTCAAGTGATCCTCCTGAAGTGTTGGGATTACAGGCATGAGCCACTTTGCCCGGCCTAATCTCTATTGTGTTTTATTTTTATTTTAAATTTTTTCCCTTTTACTACATATGTAACAAAACTGCACTAATCTCTGTATTTTATAAGCTACCTAGTTTATAAAACTAGGCAGTTTATGGTATTTGTCTCAGCAGTCCAAACAGACTAGCATAGAAGGTGATACAACTTTCCTTCGATTATATAACCTGTAAGACTGACCACCAAACAATCCTGTCCAAATCCCAGAAGAAGCCTGAAGACTATTTTTTCAATTATAAAATTACATTTTTCCCTCTCTGTAAAAGTACTAAATGTTTATTTCAGAAAATTAAAAAATTCAAAGTAAGGTAAATATGAAAAAAAAATTAAATGCTTATAGTTTCACCATCCAGGAATAATGACTGTTAAATGGGGTGATTTCCTTGCAGTAATGTTTTTTATACATATTAACTGGCAGACGTGATGCTGTGTGTTCAGCAAATCCTGTTTCCCTTCTCCTCTGACATGCAGCTAGACTACATTTCCCAGCCTCCCCTGCAAGGAGAGTGTCACATGACTGGGTCTGACCAGTGGAATGTGGGAGAAGGTAATGTCCCTTACTTATCAGCCTGTTCCATAAAATCTTCTATTACTCCTTCAAGTTCTCTCTTCTTTGGATGCTCTCAGGATGGGAAGGACCCAGTGAAGGACCTAGTGAAGGACTCCAACACCCTAGTGAGCAGCCAAGCTGCTAGATGGAAGAAACCAGGGTTCCCAAATGACCCAGTAGAGTCAAGACTCTTCCCAACCCCTGCTGCCCAACATTTGACAGTGTCTTGGGGAGAAATGAACCTTAGTTGTGTTAAGCCATTGAACTCTGGGAGTTGTTGGTTAAAGCAGTTAGCCTTACACAGCAACATCATGTAAATATTGGAATCATATTACAGATACCCTTTTTGGCAGGCCAGGGGCAGTGGCCCATGCTTGTAATTCCAGCATTTGAGGCTAGGAGTTCGAGGCCAGTTTGGCCAACATGGCAAAACCCCATCTCTACTAAAAATACAAAAATTAGCCAGGCGTGATGGCACATGCCTGTAATTCCAGCTACTCGGGAGGCTGAGGCATGAGATCACTTGAATCCGGGAGGTGGAGGTTGCAGTAAGCTGAGATCATATCACCGTACTCCAGCCTGGGTGACAAAATGAAACTCTGCCTCAAAAAAAAAAGATACCCTTTTAGGCTGATTTATTATTATTGTTACTATTACTTAACATTTATCACAACCTTTCACCATATTATTAAATCACTTTTTTTTTGAGACAGAGTCTTGCTCCATTGCTCAGGCTGAAGTGCAGTGGTGCAATCTCGGCTCACTGCAACCTCCACCTCCCTGGCTCAGGTGATCCTCCCACCTCCACCTACCAAGTAGCTGGGACTACAGGCGCCTGCCACCATGCCCAACTAATTTTTGTATTTATTTATTTATTTTTGAGATGGAGTTTCGCTCTCGTTGCCCAGGCTGCAGTGCAAATGGCGCGATCTTGGCTCACTGCAATCTCCGCCTCCCAGGTTCAAGTGATTCTCCTGCCTCAGCCTCCCGAGTAGCTGGGATTACAGGCATGCGCCACCACGCCTGGCTAATTTTGTATTTTTAGTAGAGACAGGGTTTCTCCATGTTGGTCAGGTTGGTCTCAAATTTCCAACATCAGGTGATCCGCCCACCTCGGCCTCCCAAATTGCTGGGATTATAGGCATGAGCCACTGCGCCTGGCCTAATTTTTGTATTTTTAGTAGAGATGGGGTCTCACCATGTTGGCCAGGCTGGTCTTGAACTCTTGGCCTCAAGTGTTCCGACTGCCTCAGCCTCCCAAATTGCTGGGATTAGAGCCATGAGCCACCATGCTGGGCCCATATCATGAAACCACTTTTGACAGCATAATTTTAATGGTGGCACAGAGTCCGTTATCATTATTTATTTACCCAGTCCCGTGTGGATATGTAGGTTGCTTCTGACATTTGCGTTTGTATGTCATGCTCCAGTGAACATCCTGGTGATCAACTGGGTGGCCCCATCTGCAGATGCACTTGTGAAACCTACCTTGGTTTCCTGCCTGAGCCTCTCCTGTATCGGTGCTTAAAAGGGTGCCCTAACTCTGCAGAAACTATCAGTAGAAATGAGTGTAGGGGGCCAGGCGCGATGGCTCACGCCTGCAATCTCAGCACTTTGGGAAGCCAAGGTTGGTGGATCACTTGAGGTCAGGAGTTCGAGACCAGCCTGGCCAATATGGTGAAACCCCGCCTCGAATAAAAATACAAAAATTAGCTGGGCTTGATGGCGCGAGCCTGTAATCCCAGCTGCTTGGGAGGCTGAGGCAGGAGAATCACCTGAACCTGGGAGGCAGAGGTTGCAATGAGCTGAGATTGCACCATTGTACTCCAGCCTGGGTAACAGAGTGAGACTCTGTGTCAAAACAAAAAAACAGAAGAGTGTAGGGGGTGAAATGTACGTTCTTGGGCTAAGTTGTGTGAAAAGCCTGGATTTTCCAGATCTGATCTCCTTTTGCCCTGTGCCCCCTTTCCTGCTGATGTCTTGGCAGTGGGGAGAGGAGGGGTGACAAAACCGAAAGTCTCTCTTTTTTTTTTTTTGTAAAGTCGTCTCTTACAGGAAAATATGTGGTCCTTTCAAAGCCCTATCCCTTGTAAGGGTGGTTTCTCTGCACTCGGGGGGGTCTCCCTCCTGTTTCCTTTTGAAGATGGTGTCTGGCTGTGTGGAGAAGCTTGCATGGGCCAGGACAGGAGTCTCTTGCCCTACTTGCCATCACTGGACCTGCTCAGGAGGGGCGGGTCTGGTCTGCCCTGGTCTCCGGGAACCGCATCCACGTTCTCTGAGGCTGACTGGACTTCGCTTTGCCCTGAAAACTTCCAATTCACAGTCAATCTTCTTCCCATATGTTGTTTTTTTCTGTGGCTGCTCTAATAAAGTCCCACAAACCCGGTGGTTGAAAACCACAGAAATGTGTTCTCTCACAGTCCCAGAGGCCAGAAGTCTGAAATCAATGTGTGGGCAGTGCCGTGCCTCCTCTGAAACCTCTAGGGGAAGGTCCTTTCTTGCCTTTCCGGCTTTAGCCCCAGACTTACAAATGCATCTCTCCACTCTCTGCCTCCAATGTCACATGGCATTTTCCTCTTCTTCTAAGAACACCACTCATATTGGATTAGGCCCCACCTAATGACCTCTTCTTAATTATATCTGCAAGGACCTTTATTTCCAAATAAGGTCACATTCACAGGTACTGGGGGTTAGGGCCGCAGCATATCTTTTTTGGGGACACACTTCAACCCATAAGACCATCCCATTCAGTTCCTGGGCTTCCTCCACTCAGCTGCAGGGGTTGGGGGTCTCTGTGAGACTGTCCTCAGCCCCTCTGCCTGGGGACTGGGGACCCTCAGTCATTTCCATCTGCTGCAGCCTGGCCACACTGGGTGCAATGTCAGGCCTAAGGTGAGCCTCGCAGACCCCTTAGGATGCATCCTGGGGACATAGGCACCAGCTCTGATGTCCTCGGATCCCCCAAACCTATCTGAATCTTTCTACTGCCCCCAGACGCCTCACGCCTGACTTTCAGCCTCCCTTCCCCTCCTCCTGCCCTGAAAGGGGCTTCCAGTCCCCGCTGCTGTCTAGCAGGGACTCTCCTTTTGTCACAGTCCCCTTCTTCCCTAGTCAGGGATGCAGATGGTATCCACACGGCTCTTCATGGGACCAAACGCTTCATGGTTTAAGTTTTATGGTAGGGAGATGCTGGGGAGAGAGAAAATGTACTGAATTAGCAACAGGGGAGACACAGCAGGAAACATTTCCACAATTCTATGCCTGTTGAAATGATTTTGATGTTGAGCCCTATTTGCCTTGACCTTTTTTCTTGTTTTTTTTTTGAGATGAAGTCTTGCTCTGTTGCCCAGGCTGGAGTGCAGTGGTGTGATCTCAGTTCACTGCAACCTCCACCTCCCGGGTTCAAGCAATTCTCCTGCCTCAGCCTCCTGAGTAGCTGGGATTACAGGCATGCACCGCCACGTCATGCTAATGTTTGTATTTTTAGTAGAGACTGGGTTTCACCATGTTGGCCAGGCTGTTCTTGAACTCCTGACTTCAGTGATCCGCCCATCTTGGCCTCCCAAAGTGCTGGGATTACAGGGGTGAGCCACTGCGCCTGACCTTGCCTTGACATTTGAAAGGCTAAACAAGGCAAACCCTGGCCTTATTTCCTCCCCCAGCCCAGTTACCCGCTCAGCCAGCCCAGCCATGCTTCCCAGTCAGTCTCCCACTGCTCCTGGCCTCTTCTGGCCCCTTGGCACACGTTCTCATTTTCTGGAACACTCTTCCCCTACCCCCTTCCCTGGGCAACTCCTCCTCATGCTTTGGGTCCCAGCTTGTACAATACTTCATCGGAGAAGTTGCCCCCCATGCCCCAGACACATGACCCCCACCATGGGCTGCGTGTTTTATATTTGTGACCCTCAGCGGACCACAAGCTCCATGAGGGGAGGGGCCATGTCATTTCCTTCACCTCTGCTGTTCCTACTACTGGCACTTGTAGTGAGGTAGGGTGGGACTGGACTCTGGAGGCAGACCTTGGACACTGGACCAAATTGACCTTGGACACTGGACTAGCTAAAGCAAGCCTGGGGTGGAAGCACCTCTTCATAAGGCTGCCCACCAGTGTGCCATGCCAGTTTACCATTGGCATGGCAACACCCAGAAGTGACTGCCCTTTCCATGGCAACAGCCCAATGATCTGGAAGTTACCACCCTTTTCCTAGAAATTTCTACATGAACTGTCCCTTAATTTGCATATAATTAAAAGTGGGTATCACTATGAGTGCAGAATTGGATCTGAGCTGCCACTCTGGGCACACAGCCTGCGGGGGAGCCCTGCTCTGCAGGGAGCAGTTCCTCCGCTGGGCTAGGCATGGCCACTTTAATACAAGCTGTTGTCTAACACCACCAGCTCACCCTTACATACTTTCCTGGGTGAAGCCAAGAACCCTCCTGGGTTAAGCCCCAGTTTTGGGGCTCATCTGCCCCGCATCAGTAGGAACCCACCAAGTGTGGGAAGAGGGAATGGAAGCCAGCGGAAGTGATGCCATCATTTTGTATGATGTTTACTCCGTGAAAGTGCCGACATGCAGCTGTTGTCAACCTACAAACATGGCAACTGCTTATGATCAAAGCCCTCCTCAAGCCCCCACTTTTGGTAGACCCCCATCACTTGGTGATGGTCAGCTCGTCTGCTGGGGAGGGGAGGCTGCAAATGGTCTGTCATTTACCGGGCATTTCCTTTCTCCTCTCGAGTTGACAACCGACCCTTTCAGGCTCAGCCGGTTCTACCTTGAGTGAGAGCGTGAGTGTGCGATGAAGTAGCTCCCATGGTTTAGCTAGCTGCTCTCCATGCCCTCCCTCCACACCCTGCTGAGTTCGCTTCATGCATCTTGTCTTAGAGCAGCTTGGAGACTGACCACTATTTGAGCCAGTGTACAGCAGCAGTGAAGAGCAATGGATTTGGTATCAAACAGCCCCCAGCATGGGGCCTGGCACACAGTAGGTGTTCAATAAATGCTGATGGAATTATGAAAAACAAATTGGGATTTGTGTCACAGCTCTGCTACTTATTGGCTTTGAGACCCTGGGCAAGTGACACATGCTCTCTGAGCTCAGCTCCTCCCGTGGTATCTGGAGACCCCCGAGGTCAGCCTCACCCAGACACCTTCCCAGCTTCATCTCTGACTGCACTCGTGTGCTTCAGCCAGACACACCACTTGCTGTTTCTGTTCCAACCTCATCCGTCTTCCAGGCTCCTTGCTCCTTTCAGGCCGGCCCTTGCACCTGGACCGATTTTTACCAAACGAGGTGATGTGTGTCAAAGCACATTGGCGATGGATGGCTACTATCAAACAAACAGAAAATAGTAAGTGTTGATGAGGATGTGGAGAAATTGGAGCTCTCGGGCATTGCTGGTGGGAATGAAAATGGTGCAGCCGCCGTGGAAAACAGCATGGCAGTTCCTCAAAAAAAGTAAAAATAGAATTACCATATGATCTAGCATTTCCACTTCTGGGTATATACTCAGAAGAATTGAAAGCAGGGTCTCAAAGAGAGATCTGTGCACCCATCGTCATAGCAGCATTATTCGCAATAGCCAAAAGGTGGAAGCATCGATGGGCGAATGGATACGCAAAATGTGGTGTAGACACGCAAGGGACTCGGATTCAGCCTTAAAGAGGAAGGAGGTTCTGACACACATTGCAGTGTGGATGAACCTTGAGGATATTATGCTAGTGAAATAAGCCAGCCCCAAAAAGTTAAATGCTGTATGATTCCACTTACACAAAATACTTAGAGTCGTCATAATCATAGAGACAGAGAGTGTTGCCAGGGGCTGGAGGGAGCGGGTAACGGGAATGAGCGTTTACTGGGGACAGAATCTCATACTATAAAGATGAAAACTTTCTAGAGATGAAGGTGGTGATGCTTGCACAACCACGTGCGTGTACGATGCCACTGGACTGAACATGTAAAATGCTTGCAATGGTAAACTATGTGTTATGTGTATTTTACAAGCAAAAAAAGAAAACTTTGGTAATTGCCTGTGCCAGAAGCCACCATGCCCTGGCTTAGCGGGACAGAGGAGCCAGCCCCTGGGAACAGACTCCTACCCTTGAGAAAAGGCTAAGACCACTGTGGTGGGCTCTCCCCAGGCTCCCCTTGCTCTAGCCTGGCCTTGCCTCTCGGTTCCCTGAATCAATCAATCTTTCTTTCTTTCTTTTTCTTTCTTTCCTTCTTTCTCTCTCGCTCTTTCTTTCCTTCCTTCCTTTCTCTTTCTTTCCTTCCTTCCTTCCTTTATCTTTCTTTCTTCCTTTCCTTTCTTTCTTTCCTTCTCTCTCTCTTTCTTTCCTTCCTTCCTTTCTCTTTCTTTCTTTCTCTTTCTTTCTTTCCTTCCTTCCTTCTTCTTTCTTTCTTTCTTTCTTTCTTTCTTTCTTTCTTTCTTTCTTTCGGTCTCGCTCTGTCACTCAGGCTGGAGTGCAGGGGCACAATCACAGCACACTGCCACCTTGACTTCCTGGGCTCAAGCAAACCTCCCACCTCAGCCTCCTAAGCAGCTGGGACCACAGGCACATGCCACCATGCCCAGCTAATTTTTGTATTTTTTGTAAGGACGAGGTCTCACTATGTTGCCCAGGCTGGTCTCAAACTCCTGAGCTCAAGTGATCCTCTAGTCTCGGCCTCCCAAAGTGCTGAGATTACAGGTGGGAGCCCCTACATCTGTTCTGAAATCTTCTTCGCCCTTCCCCCCACCCCCTTGTCAGCCCCTACGTCAACAGCCACGTCCATGATACACCCTGGGTCCTGACTTGGTCAGTAACACCCTCCCATCTGCCATTTCCGCCTGAAGCATCCCATCTTGGAGCACTGCCTCTTGTCTTTCCACACATTCCCTCTGCAACCTTAACTCTGATCTTTCTTTGCCTCTTGCCATCTGCCCCCAGGGCACATTCCTTTTCCTTCACCTCCCGTGTCCTCTGCTTCCTTGGGTTCCAGGCTCATTGTCTGCTGCAGACGCCCTCAGTCACCCTGCCCTCCCCCTCCTCCATCCACCTGGCAGAACCCCTGTCCCGGTTGAGTTCTGGGTGCTGCTCAGTGTGCTCTGACATCCAAGCAGCGGAGCCCTGGACAAAGCCACCTGATGGCACAAACAGCTTTATATCTCATGACCTTGACCTCCAACAAACATTTGTGCTGTCCAGCAATCCTCTGTGTTCCTCGGTCAGCTTGCAGCCCCCGTCTCCCAGACCACAACTTCTCTCTCTCCCCAAACCTCCAATACCCCACCCTCCCTCAGCCCTCATTCTCACTGTCGGATGATAGGTTGCTTTTTTTTTTTTTTGAGGCAGGATCTTGCTATGTTGCTGAGGCTGGAGTACAGTGGTGTGATCACGATTCACTGCAGCCTCAAACTTCTGGGCTAAAGTGATCCTCCCTCCTCATCCTTCTTGAGTAGCTGGGGCTACAGGTACACATCACCACGCCTGGCTAGCTTTTTTTTCTTTTTCTTTTTTGTAGAGACAGGGTCTCACTATGTTGCACAGGCTGGCCTCAAACTCCTGAGCTCAAGACATCCTCCTGCCTTGGCCTCCCAGAATGTTGGGATTACAGGCATGAGCTTCATTGAAAACGCAGAGGCAATCAGAGGCATTCCTGGCCCTGCACTCACCAGCCTCCCTGGGTGTCCCCCTGGGCAGCTGCCCCTCCTTTCATGCCCATCAGCTGTCCCTCCTCTCATGCCCGTCAGGTCCTTCCCTGCCCGGGCCCCGTGCACCTCGCTTCCTCTCCACCTTCCCCTGGCTTCCCTTCACATGGCCCCATCTCTCCTGCGTCACCAGCTGTTTCCTCTCCTGGGTCAGCCCCATCAGCATGCCACAAACATGCAGGAATGCCCCCAGATTGTAAGAAGCCACCCTCTGACCCCACAATCCCCTTTAGCTTCCGCCGTGCTTATCCGATCCCCTTCCAGCATATTCCCTTGGAAGGGTGGTCTCTGTGCTGTCTCTCCGCTCCTCCCCCGGCCCCCATCATCCCCCAGGCCCACCAAAGTTGGGCTCCCAGCCCTGCCATTCCACCCAAACAGCTCTTGCCAAGGTCAGCATTGACCATCACAGTCCTCCACCTGCCAGCAGCCTCAGACATGGCCGCTCACTCCTTCTGTCTGTCAACACACCCTTCTCCTGGCCCCAGGACATGGCTTTGCCTCCCACTTTGCCTCCCTGCCTCTCATTTGCTCCTCCTGTCCTGTGTAAACTGCCTGCCCGCCCTCTTACTGGGAGAGCTCTTCCATCCCAGGCGCTGGGTCCCAGGTTCCTCCCCGAAGTCCGGCCCCTCCCCTGACCTCTAGGCCTGCACTCCCAAAGGACGGGTTCCTCGATCCTCAAACTTAATGTTTCCCAAACCCCATCTCCTCCACTGATAAGCTTGAAACCTGCTCCTCCCACAGCAAATGGAAATTGCGTGCTCTGCTTCCTCAGGTCAAAGCTCTTGGAGCAGCCCTTGACCCCCACCTCTCCATTACATCCACGTGATGGGTTGCCTTTTTTTTTTTTTTTTGAGACAGGGTTTCACTCTGTCACCCAGGCTGGGGTACAGTGGCACAATCATAGCTAGACCAGCGATCGTCTGAGCTCTCACTTTAAAACACACTTGAGGCCCGGTATGGTGGCTCAAGCCTGTAATCCTAACCCCTTGGGAGGCCAAGGAAGGTGGATCATCTGAGGTCAGTTCGAGACCAGTCTGGCCAGTATGGTGAAACTCTGTCTCTACTAGGCCAGGCGCGGTGGCTCATGCCTGTAATCCCAGCACTTTGGGAGGCCGAGGCGGGCAGATTATGAGGTCAGGAGATTGACACCATCCTGACTAACACAGTGAAACCCCATCTCTACTAAAAATACAAAAAATTAGCCGGGCATGGTGGCAGGTGCCTGTAGTCCCAGCTACTGGGGAAGCTGAGGCAGGAGAATGGCGTGAACTGGGGAGGCAGAGCTTGCGGTGAGCTGAGATCGCGCCACTGCACTCCAGCCTGGGCGACAGAGTGAGACTCCGTCTCAAAGAAAAAAAAAAACAAACCCTGTCTCTCCTAAAAATACAAAAATTAGCTGGGTGTGGAGGTGCATGCTTGTAATTCCAACTACTCGGGAGGCTGAGGCAGGAGAATCGCTTGAACCTGGGAGGCGGAGGTTGCAGTGAGTGGAGATCGCCGTCAGTGCACTCCAGCCTGGGTGACAGAGCGAGACTCCGAGACTCCGTCTCAGAAAAAAAACAAAATGAAACAAAAACCTCACACATTTGGCCCCCGGCCCCTTTCCAGGGTGCCTGGGACCCAGGGCTGGGCCATCCCCGCTCCCCCATAAGAATGCCGCAGTTCCCCACAGTCTCCCAGCTCCACCCTTCTCCACACAGAAGCTAAAAGACCCTTTTAAAATGCAAGTCAAATCCCATCTCTTGCCGGCTCAGAACCCCCCAGGGGCTTGCGGAGAGGAAGATGCAAAGTCCTAGCTGCTGCCCACCAGGCCTGACTGACCTACGTGGCTGACCCCATCACAGGCCCCAGGAAGGCAGGGCTGTGTCTGTCTGGTCGTGGGTGTCTCGGCACCCAGGCCATGCATCGGTACATATTTGATGGATGAATAAGTGACGGATGGGTGACTGCGGCTTCCCTGGGAGGCTCCGCCCTGCCTTGGAACCCAGCCCAGCCCAGCCTCCGCGCTTCCCTGCCTGCCTGGGCCTGCACCTGGCCAACCCCCGCAACAACCTCCACCAGGTGTGCAGCCTTGAAAACTGTTGGTTCTGGTTGCCAACTCTCCTAGCAGAGAGGGGTGCTCCAGGGACCAAGGGTCTGTGGTACCTGAGCAAATCTCTTCTAGCTGCCCTGACCACCCTCCTGTGGGTCCCTCTCCTCCATTTCCCCCACCTGGTGGGTGGGGCTGAGGGAGCAGAGACCACGCCCCCAATCCAGCCACACTCTTCTTCCAGCCAACCAAGCACCAGAAAACCAAGATTTGCACAAAGAGCTGGTGGCCTGGGAGCAGGTCCCTCAGGCTCCTCACATCTGCCCTGCAGAAGGGGCAGACATTGTCTCATTCTGGGAGTCACTCATGGTACCGAGATCAAACCCCCAGGTAACCCCCACACAGCCTTGCACAAGCCTTGCTTCTCACTTTGGACATCTACATTGCACCACTTGGGGTCGTCATTTGTAGCCAGCGAGGTGACCTGGGTGGGGGCAGAGCTGGATCTAGAACCCCCCCCCCGGTCCCTCCCCTGGGCAAGGGCCCCACATTTCCTTTTCCAGTGATGCTCCCATGCCCAGAATCTTTCTGGACTCCAGCTGCAGAATGGCCATTCATCTCGGGTTTCAATTTCCCACCTGCCCCTTTGACCTCCCCAGGCGGGGAGCGGGGGCCTTGGCTGGGCTTGTCGCTGGGGCTTGGGGGCAACTCGCCCAGTGAGAACCTGCTACGTGCCAGGTGCGCCTCTCACCCAGTCCTCACAGCAGCCCTGCATCTTCACAAATGAGAAAACAGGCCGGGCGCGGTGGCTCATGCCTGTAATCCCAGCACTTTGGGAGGCCAAGGTGGGTGGATCACCTGAGGTCAGGAGTTCCAGACCAGCCTGGCCAACATAGTGAAACCCCGTCTCTACTAAAAATACAAAAATTAGCCGGGTGTGATGGCGGGCGCCTGTAATCCCAGCTACTCAGGAGGCTGAGGCAGGAGAATCACTTGAACCCGGGAGGCAGAGGTTGCAGTGAGCCGAGATCGTGCCACTGCACTCCAGCCTGGGCGACAAAGGGAGACTCTGTGTTAAAAAATAAATAAATAAAAGAAAAGAAAACAAAGAAGAAAGGTCCCTGGTTAGGGCCACGGGGGGATGCAGCAGGGCCCATGGCCTGGGAGGGGGTGGTGGCTGGGCGGTGCCAGGATGGAGAGATACATCTGTCTTATAAGAGTGGGCAGACAGGCCCTTGTTCCAGGAGCTGAAATGAAACAGAACTGTGTATATATCTTCTCATCTATAGACTAAATTAAACTAACTCATAGAAATAGTCTGTTTTAAGTTTCTTTACTTAAAAGTATCTTACACGTTTAACACCTGCCAATACACGTATGTACGTGATATTCAGTAATGATCATTGCAAACTGGGCACGGTGGCTCATGCCTGTAATCCCGACACTTTGGGAGGCTGAGATGGGAGGATCACTTGAACCCAGGAGGTTGAGGCTGCAGTGAGCTGTGATGGTGCCACTGCCCTCCAGCTTGGGTGACAGAGCAAGATCCTGTCTGTAAATAATAATAATAATAGTAATAACTGCGACCACCTATACAAATTTCATCTATACATCCCAGGTATTGTGCACCCTCCATACAAATGTATGAAAATTCACAGAAAGCCTGTGCTTGGTCAGTGCTATCATCAGGCCTATTTGGCAGATGCAGAAACAGGCTCACAGAAGGGAAGTCACTTGCTGAAAGCCACATGGCTGGCACGGGGTGGCACTGAGACTTGCACCCAGATCTGGGCAGCATTAAAACCCCTGCCCCACCCGTGGTCCTCTCCTGTCTCCGTGTTAGCGTGGAGCCCTGAGATGTTTTAGGAGCCGGCTTTCCGATTTCCATCTGTGTTTGTGGTGATTGCCCTGATCTTTCAGGCATTCTGCCCTAGAAAGCCCCTTGGGGAGGGGGCTTCCTGTTTCACCTGCTTGGACGTGGCTTTGGAGCTAAGACCGAGAGGAGTCAAGGTGGGATTCCTCGGATGCCCTGAGGGAGTGCGATGGGATGCCTGGGGGCTGCTCCTCCAGCCTCAGACACTCCTGCCCACAGCCCCTGGCCAGGCCCTGCCTGAGCCACTGCTCTAGGCTGCAAAGGGCTGGCTCTCATTTCCTAATTCATCCTGCCAGCTGGAGCCAAGGTGGACTCTCCCCATAGACTGGGATGAGTGCCCTGGCCCAGCTGGACCTGGTGGTGGCTATGAGCCCCCTTGTGTCACCTTTTCCCTACCCAGGGCTCATCACAAGCTGCAGGGGGATGCTCTTGGGTCTCAGGGAGAGTGGCCTGAGTCCCCCGGGGCTTCTGAGTGCATCCAGGCTGCTCTGCTGACCCTGGAAGGCAACCAGGGAAGCTGTGAGGTCAGGGTAAGGGATGGGCCTCAAGAGCGGGTCATGGCCCAGCTGGGGCCTGTGTGGACAGAGGCCTCACTGTCTCCACTGCATGCAGGGAGTCTTGAGGCCAAGTGACACATTTGCCACCTGTGACATACGCCACCAGCCCGTGTGTCTGTGCCCCAGATACAGCCAGCCAGTGCAGAGTGAGGCCTGCCAGGGCCCTGTGTTGTGGGGATGTGACAGAGCTGCCAGTCCTGGTGCAGGTGAGACGTCACCGCCATCCCAGCTGGTCTCCACCTGGAGGACAATTTGGGGACCTCCTGGCACCCTCATGCGTTCCCTCCCCCTTGTTCTGCGTGACTGCCTGTTTTAATTCACATGTCCCTTTCTAAGACTTACAACTGCATTTCTCATAAAGGAAATTATTGGCACAGGGGATAATTGTGATCCAACTCTCTGGCTTCACTTAGAAATCGAGAGGGTGGTCAGTGGGGTCCCACTTACGAGAAGTTCCGGATGGCAGAACAGTACTACAGACATCATGGTCCTCAGGAGGATGCTGTCCTGCCCCAGAGAGGCCGCCGAGGGCTGGCGGAGGGGACCTGGAAGGCAGGTGGGGTTGACTGAGATGTGCCAGGTCGGGAGGGAATCCCAGGGCGGGGACCCTAGAGAAAGCGTGGCACATCTGTGGAGAGCGGACGGGCCACGCTGGGAGTGGAGGGCTGAGGGCTATGTCAGCCCGCTCCAGCAGGAGGACATGAGCCAGGCCTGTCCAGAGGGCTTCTGCAACCTCTTCTGGAAAAAGGACCAGGGAGGTACCTGTTTCATGCCCAGGAGGTCATGATAGTGCCTATCAGCGTTAAATGCCATCTGGTCCTTGCCTCGCAAGGAGCCCTGTCCCCTGGTTCACTGGCTTAGGGGTGCCCCTCAGGTCAGTGTTTCCCCAGTGTGGGGTGGGCACCCTCGGTGACCTAGGAGACAGTGACGTCAGGGATCACACAGCCTCATACCACACAAAGGTGATTCCCTTCTCTGTCTCAGCCCTCTGGTCCCCTGGAGGGGAAGCTTGCAACTCCCCAACGCTTTTCTATCAAAATGCCATCGGCAGGCAACAATAGCCAGCTAGAATTTCCTAACATTGCTTATTTTAATTGTAATTTATTTTTACTTTTACCTTCTATTTATGGCCCATGATCTTAGTTTTTTTTCCACCTAACAGTAGTCACATAAAGTTCCCTTATGGATGCATTTACCTAAGTAATAGCAGTGAATGCTTTTAAAGAAAAATAGAGAGCAAATAACAGAATAAGGTGCCACTGGAAGGGCCGGGTCAAGAGGAGGGGGTGGACGGACCTGTGGGTGGCACTGGCTTTTCGTAACTCAGGAATCAGGAAGTGTAGTTGACACTTGTTTTGTTATGTTTGCTCCAATGGAAAAGGAAGCTGTGGGTGGAGACACATCTGACGGGAGGGATTTGGATCCTGCCAGCTCGTCCCTGCAACCCCCTACTCCGGTCCCCTCAAACCTGTCCGTGGCTGGCAGCCCTGTGATACCTCGCCACATTCTGCAACAGAATCCGAGATAGAGGTAGAAGTGGGGGAGTACGTCGTGGCTGTCAGGGCAGCTTTCTGTAAAATGCTGCCTGGAGGAGCATGTGATTCCAGACCCTCCTCTCTGCAACGAAAGTGAGGTTGACACCTGCAGGTATGATTGTAACACGACTTTTAGTTCAGGTGAGCGCAGCCTTCCTCTCCTGGAGCTCTGGCTCATCCAGCCCTGAGCTCCCCAGTCCAAGGCTCTCCGGGTACCTTGGGCAGCCTCCCTAGCAGGGCGGTGGGATCGGACCAGCTGTTCCCGGCTGCTGGTCCGTTCCAAGCTGCAAGGGCCTAGGTGCGGAGCAATGACCGGCAGGCCGAGCTCCCTCCCTCCCTCTCGTTGCAGGCCTGGGGCCTCCTGGCCCACTGAGCAGAACACACAGAAGCTGGGCCCACCCCTGCCCTCCCCACAAAGGGTCACGGGAGCCACCGCCTGACTTTGAAGCCCACTGACTTGCGGCTGACAAGAGAAAAGGTATTTGGAATTAAGTGAAGGGCGGGAGGCAGGGGCGGGCTAGGCCCTGGGGTCACATAGCTGCAGGCACCTTGACTGCAGCTGCCGTTGGCCCCAGTCCCTTACTTTCTAGGGTTCTGCAGTGGGCCAGAGAAGGGACTATTATTATTATTTCATAACATTTCATCCTGGCTTATTTCTAGCCCCTCAAACGGTGTCCGTACAGGGTTGAACTGCCAAGGGCTCCCAGACCCCTGCTGCCAAGGGGCGGCTGGCTTGTGGTGGCTCTGGGGAGGCAGTGGTGCCCGTCACTGGCACTGGGGAATCTTGTCTGACTTCCCTTTTCCTCCATCTCCTCCCCAGGGCCCGGCTTTTCCTGTGCCCTTCATTTTCCTCCCCCTGTTCTGGGACTTGTGGGTGTCCCCAGAGCAAATTCTTGGGGAGCCATGCCCAGCCGGTCTAGGGGGCACTCAGGGGCTTGCATTTTGTCAGGCTCCCTCGTGGTCTGGTGTGGGTACTCTGGGGACCACATTTGGAGAACCTGGGCCCCCCAGTTGTTAACTAGCAGACGAGGGCCTGTACTTAGGGGCCATTGTCCAGCGTTTAGTGCAGAGTGACTGGAGAAATGGGAGGACCAGACCCTGTGATGGGAGTGAGGGTAGGGGGCACAAGATGGGCCGCCACCCTCCAGGATCTCCTGGTTCACACCAGTGCCTGCGAGAGGCCCCTGGGGCCTCGTGAAAGCACAGGTGGCTGGTTGCATCCCAGGGGTTCTGATTCCCAGGACTGGCCAGGCCAGAGAATCTGAATTTCTGACAAGTTCCTGGGCAAGGCCAATGCTGCTGGCCAGGAGGACCACCCTTTGAGAACCACAGGTGGACACCAGCAGCCGCAGACCCGGCTAGGACCAGGGCAGAGGCCACGCCCTCCCCATTCCCCCGGAGCTGCCTCGGCCCTTGGAGGAATGAGCAGGACCTAAACAGGAACCACGTGATGATATTGACGTGGCACCTGCATGGGAGCACTGCTGCCTGTCCACACTGAGTGCGGCTTCCAAGACCACCCGCAACACACACAGCCCTGCAAGGCGGGAGCTCACGTGCCCCTCACTTTACAGGCGAGAAAGCTGAGGCTCAGAGAGGGCAAGTGACCTGCATAAGGCCACACAGCCAGCAAGTCAGGGAACGGGTGGCCAAACCCAGACCTGCCCAGTTTCATGTTCGCGCCGTGAGGGGTCCAGCGGCTGTGGTGTCACTTCTGGTTACCCCGTCATTTAGAGGGGAAAGATGTGGAGAAATAGGAGTGTGTGTGGCAGGAAGGGACTGGGGGAGAGAAAAGGGCCCAGGAATCAGGCGTGCGTGTGGCGTTGAAAGGAGCAACAACTCAAAGTCACGCTCAAGGTCATGCTTAAGGTCATGCTCAAGGTCATGCTTAAGGTCACGAGTTCACCCCAGGAATCCCGCCCTCACTGGAGCTGAAGCAGACCCCTCCCCCAGGCTTCAGGGGTCTCCTGTGGCCAGGTGATCCCCTCCCCGTCAGCACCCCAGGGCACACAATGACACCTGATATTCCGCTAAACAGGACACTTCAGGGTGGAGGTGGGGCAGGGGGGTGGTGGGAGGCCGCAGTACTCAGCCTTTGCTCCCATGGGCCCAGCACCCCTGGGTGGACCTAGAGAGGCTCTGGGCACCCAGGTCTCAGGTCTGGCCTCAGAGCAGAGCTTTGGGCACCTCTTCCTCCACATCCACACCTGCTCCGTGCACACCTGCCCCGGGTCCTGGGTCTGGCAGCATCTTGGGCTGACTGTGGAGGGCCTTTGCTGGGCTTGGCAGGTGGGCATCAGGATGGGTAACTGCAGAGAAGAGGGAAGGGGGTGGTCTGAGGGCAGGGGGTGGCCTGAGGGTGGCCGGAGGAGTTCAGGAAGAGCACTGGAGCACGAGTCTCCTTTAGGGGACTCACCTTCTCTTTCTGTAAAGGGAAGGGACAGGGCTGGGTATCCTGAGGGGCACTGGTGGTCTTATGGGGTGGGGACATGGTGGGAAGGGGCCTGGCCCGCTCTGGTCTCCAGCCTGTGTCCCAAACCCACCTCCCCTTGGAAGAGGTCCCAGGAGTCGCCAGCACCTGGTTCTGGCTGGGCTGAGAGAGGCTGTGTCTGCTGCACCTGGAGTTGCAGGGCCAGCCACGGTCTGTGCACGTGGACCCCTTGAAGCGCAGAGGCTGACGCATGGCGAGTGCTCGTTAAACATCACCTGCATGTGATTATTAGTAATAAAATGTCTTAGAAGCTGGAGGGACTGAGAAGGGCCTTCTAAGCATGACAGACGTCTGTCTAGGTTGGGGTCCTTTTCATCAGGAGGGACCTGGGAGCCAGGTACCCTCTGCTCACAGGTAGTAATGCAAGAGGCCTTGTATTTTCTCTTCCTTTCCAGGCACTGAGGGCTCGCCACAACCCCCTGTGTATTTATCTTACAGAATGTGCCCCTGTGATCATGTGAAAGCATCAGCCAGGGGTCCAAGAACTTCCCTCTGGAGCCTCACACTCCCAGCGTGGCACCCAGCAGGGAACAGATTCTCTCCAAACCTTTGTGAATGAATGAAGGATGACGTCACTAGAATCCATCCCTGTTTTATTTTTTATTTTTATTTTTTGAGACAGAGTCTCGCTCTGTTGTTGCCCAGGCTGGAGTGCGGTGGCACAATCTCAGCTCACTACAACCTCCGCCTCCCCGGTTCAAGTGATTCTCCTGCCTCAACCTCCTGAGTAGCTGGGATTACAGGCACCCATCACCACGCCTGGCTAATTTTTGTGTGTGTTTAGTACAGACGGGGTTTCACCACGTTGGCCAGACTGGTCTTGAACTCCTGACCTCAGGTGATCCGCCTGCCTCGGCCTCCCAAAGTGTTGGGATTACAGGCGTGAGCCACCACGCCCATGCCCATCCCCATTTTATAGACAAGGATACCAAGGCTCAGAGAGGGGAAGCCACTTGCCAAGGACGCACAGGAGGACACCAGTGAGCAGGACCTCTGGTCTGTCTGGGAGGCCACTGGGCCTCTTCCCAGAGTCTCTGCTTGGTGAGCCAGGATTTTACACCCGCCTTGGGCCCAGTGGGCTGAGAGGACATGGGCTGGGGTGTCGGAAGCTGCAGAGCTGATCCCTCCTGCTTGGCTGGAGGCTTGCAGACCCGGCAGGCAGGCTCGGGAGGCAGCGGGCGACTTGAAAATGCACTCCCTACCACAGGCTCAAGAGTGACGGCGCCTGTCAGGGACCGGGAGGCAGGGCCTGTCTTTTCCTGCTGTTTTATTGCCTTCAAAGTCTGGACCAAGTGGTTTCTGGATGGAGTCACGGTAACCTCACGTCTATTCAAGCAATTCGTTCATTGTTTCATTTAGTAAAATACCCACAAAACAAGGAAGAACACCTTGGCGGTGCCTCTGATCCCCCCATTTGTCTGCAAATCGGAAAAGCATGATTCCATCGATCTCCTGTTTATTGAGCGCCTACTACATGCTAGGTCGGATGGTCTAGTTCAACCCCTCGCAACGCCACAGCTGCTGTCTGTTTCGTATCTTGTATTTTTCGCTTGACAGTTTATCATGTGCATTTTCTCGGGTACCAAAGGCCCTTGTAAGAGATGGTGTCTGGAGAATGGGTATCTCAGGGGCCTACCACCTGGCTTACCTCCTCCCAAATCAGGGTTCCTCTGCACCACCTCCTCTCTGTCCAGCTCCTCCTTCAGGGCCTGGCTCAATTCTACCTCCTCCACAAAGCCCTCCATTCCCTCCCCTCCTGGTCAGTGTTGTCTCTTTTGCAGCCACTAGCTCTCTGCCTTGCCTCACCCGGGTCTCCTATCCCTCTCCTTCTCTCTCATGGAGTGATGCCTTTTTTCTTCCTCTACACACATCAGGTCTGAGCTCAAAGTCACCTTGTCAAAGGCCCTCCCAGGACCACCCTGTGTGATTATCCTGTGGGCTTGTTCCTGTGTTTGTCCCTGAGCCCACAGGGTCTGGTGGTTCAGTAGAAGGACTCCTGCAGAAGGTGCTGGATAAACACTGGAAGATCTAGAAATAAAAATAAAAGAAAGACTGGGCGCGGTGGCTCAGGCCTGTAATCCCAACACTTTGGGAGGCCGAGGTGGGCGGATCCCCTGAGGTCAGGAGTTCGAGACTAACCTGGCCAACATGGCGAAACCCCATCTCTACTAAAAATACAAAAATTAGCCAGGCATGGTGGCATGTGCCTGTAATCCCAGCTACTCAGGAGGCTGAGGCAGGAGAATCGCTTGAACCCGGGAGGCAGAGGTTGTAGTGAGCTGAGATCGCGCCACCGCACTCTAGCCTGGGCGAAAGAGTGAGACTGTATCCCAAAAATAATAAAATAAAATAAAATAAAATAAAATAAAATAAAATAAAATAAAATAAAATAAAATAAAGCACACTCAGTTAAATATGAATGTCAGATAAGTACCAAATAACTTGTGAGTATAAATGTATCCCAAATATGGAATGGAATACACATAGTAAACATTTTTTTTTATTATCTCAAATTCAAATGACACTCAGCATCTTGAATTTAATCTGACAACTCCACCTCCTCCTACCCTCTTTGCCCCTTGTCAGGCAAGCTCAATAGCTAGGCCGAGAGCTGCTGAGGGCGGGGACCTTGTCTGTCTAGGCCACTGCTGTATGCGTGCCTGGCCCTCAGCAGGGAACCTGACATGAAGCACACGCTGGATAAATAAATACCTGTTGCTGGAGCGAGTGATGGGTTCCCAGCCCTCACTGGGGAATCGAGGGGACTCCACCTCAGCCCAGCCAGATGGAATCGTCGGGAACAGAGTGCACCTTAATTTCTGCGAAGACCAATGCAAATTAGAAGAAGACTGAGATGCAGGCTGTTTGATCCAAGAGATGCTTTTTAATTATTGTAAAACAGCTGTGACTTACTGAGCACCAACTGTGTACCCGGCCTCACACTGTTCTCATACACAACAGCTCCACGGGGAAGGCATTCTCACCGAGATTCAGAGAGGGGCAGACCTGGCCTCGGGTCGCACAGCTGGGAACCGGACACCGGGCTCTCTCCAGTCAGCTCGGGTGCTGCTGGCCCCAGCACCTCCCCCATGGCGTGGACCAGGGCCTCCGAGGCTGCTTTAAAGAAGGTTCTTTGAGAACGGCGCATGTACCGTGTGGACACTCGTGTGCGCCCCTGAAGTTTTTGAGCCAGCCACCCTGTCATCAATCTTGGTTATGCAGTTCATTTATTCAGTAGACCCCAGGTTCCCATCCACGTTTGGTGCACAGGAGAACTCCCCTGCTCAGGAATTCTGAATTAAGGAGGCTTTGAATGAACGAGGCTCTACTGAATTTAAATTCCAGATGGGGCAGGGAGGGGCTGGGTACTGGTGAGCGGCACAGACTGGGCAGGTAGATGCGGCAGGAGTTCGAATCCAGCCCCTACCGTTTCTCAGATCTGTGACTTTGGAAAAATCACTTTCTCTGGCCCTCAATTTTGCCATCTCTAAAGAGGGGGCTGAATGAATTCAGACACCCCAAGGCCCCACAAAGTGCTAACGACTGAGATACGCTGGGGTTGGAGGTGATTGGGAACAGGTTACGGTCCTGCTTTCCCTGGGGGAACCTGGCCCTGTGTCCGAGGTGCCCGTGGCATCTCTGCTGGTTGCCCTGGTTTCTGACTCACCCCAGGGAGCTGCCGGGCAGGGGAAACTACCCTCCTGGCCTCCTGAGACCTGCCTTCCAGGCTGCAGGCCTGCTGTCGGGGCTGCTCTGTGTGTGTGTGTGTGTGTGTGTGTGTGTGTGTGTGTGTGTGTGTGTGTGATGAGGCATGGGCTGCGCTCTGCACAGAGGTGGGGGTGAGGGTGGGCTCACATATTTTAAGTTCATCACCTGGCTGGGGAAGTGGCCACCCTTGCTCCAGAAAGGTGGCTCTATGTTCCCAAATTGTCATCACTGTCCCTCACATGTGCTGGAATAACATTCAAACTCCCCCAGGCTCCCAAGGCCCCATAAACTGGCTCCTGCCCGAGACGCTCGCTTCTGCCTTACCCCAGCCCTGTGGTCACCCGCAAATACTCCAAGCCCTTTCCCTCCTTACAGGCTTTGGCCTGGGCTGCGCTGGCCAACAGAACTCCCTCTCCCCTCCGCTGCATCCCTCTCTTGCTCTGCCTTCTCCAGGAGGCCTTTGTGAACGTTCTGTGGACATGGGCTCTCCATGAGTCTCTCAGCTCGTGTTTGCTTCCCCCTGAGCCAGGGTAGAGGCTCCTGCACGCTGAGTCCTTATCTGTGTTGCGCCGACCCCAGTGCCTAGGCAGGGCCTGGGCCCCAGGGCCCCTCTGGATCTGTTGAAAGAAGAGGTCAGAGGGCTGTGTCATCTAAACCCCGTTTGCATTGAGAGAGTCATTCTTACTGCCACATATCCATGCATTCATTTGTTCATTCAACAGAAAGCACCAGGCCCTGGGCGATTGAGGGTTGAAAGAGACACTGGCCCCTGCCCTTGTGAATCCCTTTCCAGCCAGGTGTGTCAGGGGCGCTGGGCGGGTGAGGCCGGCACTGAGCAGGTGAGACCCAAAAACAAACACCACCTGGCGATTTCTCTGTTTTCTCCCACACAGTCCCCCTTTTTGGATGTTAAGAGATTAATATATGCAAATACCCTTTTCCTATGGTGGTTTTAGCCTTGCACTCTGTGGATTAAGTTACTTGATTTAAATACATCTTCCCCCCACCAACATATACATGTATAAATCCTAAACACTAAATAAAATCCCCTCATTTCCCGTGTGCTGCGGAGCTTCTAATCCCAAGTCCTGTGGGCATTTCAGCAGTTAAGATGGTTCATGGGGGTTGTGGAGATTTTATTTGGAATATCAAATACCTGTCCCTTAATGGAGTTCGCTAATACCAGCCAGAGGGGGCCAAGGGAGAAGCTGGAGCTGGAGAGGTGGTGGGAGGAGCTTCTGGAAGGAAAGAGGCCTGTTACCAAGTGAGGAAGGGTTTGGACCGGATGAGGGTGGTTGCATAGCCAGACTGGAGGGGACACCTGGGTTTGGACGCATCAGAGGGCTGGGCAGGACTGGGGGTTCATCAGAAACAATCAAGGAGACTGGGTGTGGTGGCTCACACCTGTAATCCCAGCCCTTTGGGAGGCTGGAGCAGGAGGATCACTTCAGCCCTGGAGTTTGAGACCAGCCTGGGCTGCACAGTGAAAGCCTGTTTCTAGGAAAAGTAAAAATGCAAAAATGAGCTGGGCATGGTGGTGTGCACCTGTCGTCCCAGCTACTCGGGAGGCTGAGGTACGAGGATTGCCTGAGCCTGGTAGGTAGAGGCTGCAGTGAGCTGTGATTGCACCACTCCACTCCGGCCTGGGAGACAGCACGAGACTCTGTCTAAAAAAAAAGAAAGAAAGAAAGAGGAGGAAGCAAGGAAGGAAGGAGAAAGGGAGGAAAGAAAAGAAGAGAAAGAAAAAAAGAAAGAAAGAAGGAAGAAAGAAAGAGAGAGAAAGAAAGAAAACTATCAAGGAGTGTGTTTGGGGACAAATGTGAATCCCGCCAAACTTGGACCTCAGCCTCCTGGCCAAGCGGGAGGGCTCCGGAACCCGAGGATCACCTGGCAGGTCACCTGCACTTCTGCAGTCGAGGGACAGAGCCTAGGGCTGGCCTTTGAGCACCTGAGTAGCAGGTGCATGGTTGAGATTCGCTCACCCTCCCCTGAAACTGGATGGCCCAGGAACGCCCCCATGCTGTGACTGGCACCCTCTGGAATCCCCTTTCTTGCCCCAGGAAGAGTGCCCCTCCTTGGAATGTTGGCACAGAGGCCACCTTTTGCATAAGTGTACCCGGAGCAAGCCCAGCTCCGCGCCGCACTCCCGCCCCTTACTGGCCCCCCGCCTTTTTCCGTGGGCACCAGGCTCCCGCCAGCAAACGTGATGATTTACTTTCTGTGTTCTGTTCTGCTTCCTGTCTTGTCCCCCACCTACTCCCACCCAGACCCGTCACCTGAGTGTCAGCTCCTTGAGGCCAGGGTCTGGTTCTGCTCTGTTCACTGATGCGTCCCCAGGGCCTGGTCTAGGCGCGGCATGCAGTGGACGCTCAGGAAATAATTTTGTTGACTGCGTGAACTCCACACATATGGCCGGAATCCCTCCCCACCCCTAGCCAGGCTCTGGCCGGGAGCTGGCACACACAGGGAATTACAGTCTGTGGACCCAGTAAACCACCAAAGACCCAAGACAATCTGGCAAGTCCTTACTGCATACTTGTCAGACCGAGTCCTGGATTCCAGGGCCTGTGGAAAGGTGTGAGGAAGACCCAGCCTGGTGGGAGGGGGGCCCCCAGCACCTACTCTCTGCCCCTCCTGCCTCACCCCTGCTTCACCGAAGTCCTGCCCCGGGAGGTGGCACAGGAACAGAGGTGTGAGTGAAGTCAGGGAGCTGGTCTTGAGAAGATCTGGGACACAGCTTCCGTTGGTATCCTATTGAATCAAAATGCCGGCCCCCTGGGCTTGCAGTTTGCTTGTGTGTCTCTTTCCATCCGTTCACTCTCAGTCTATCTGTGTTTCTGTATGTAAGTGAGGTGGCTCATGCCTGTAATCCCAGCACTTTGGGAGGCTGAGGATCACTTGAGGTCAGGAGTTCGAGACCACACTGGTTAACATGGTGAAACCCCATCTCTGCTAAAAATACAAAAATTAGCCGGGTGTGGTGGTGCACGCCTGTAATCCCAGCTACTCAGGAGGCTGAGGAGGGAGGATTGCTTGAACCCAGGAGGTGGAGGTTGCGGAGAGTTGGGAATGCCCCACTGCCTGGGTGACACAGTGAGACCCTGTCTTAAATAAATAAATAAATAAAGTGCAAGTCCGCATTTGGTATCTCTGTATCTCCTTTCCTACCCTCTTTGCATTATTATTATTATTATTTAACGATTGCTTAAATGATTGTAAGACATACCCCTAAGCTTCCACAGTTAACTTAGAGTTAACATGGGACCACTTTGCATCAAATGTGGGAGCCTGCAACAGCACAGACCCATCGGCTGCTCCCATGTGTCCCTCACACCACCGTTGTCGTGTATATAATTCCTGCTTTAGATAATCCTATCTATGTTACAGAAATTAAGAGAAAAAAATGACCTTTTCTTTTTACCCAGGTATTTGTCATTTCCAATGCTCTTCCTGAAGATTTTTTTTTTTTTTTTTTTTTTTTTTTTTTTTTGAGACAGAGTCTTGCTCTGTCCCTCAGGCTGGAGTCCAGTGGTGTGATCTCGGCTCACTGCAACCTCTGCCTCTCAGGTTCAAGCGATTCTCCTGCCTCAGCCTCCCGAGTAGCTGGGATTACAGGTGTCCGCCACCACTCCCTGGTAATTTTTTGTATTTTTACTAGAGACAGGGTTTCATTATGTGGGCCAGGCTGGTCTCGAACTCCTGACCTCAGGTGATCCGCCCGCCTCAGCCTCCCAAAGAGCTGGGATTACAGGCTTGAGCCACTGCACTTGGCCTACTTTACATGTATTCTTAAAGGATATTTTTGCTGGATATATAATTATTGGATTGAAGTATTTTTTCTTCCTCTTTATTTATAATATTTATTTTAATTTTTTAAAGAGATGGCATCTCACTATGTTGCCCAGGCTGGTCTCAAACTCCCGACCTTAAGTGATCCTCCTGCCTCAGCCTCCCAAAGTGCTGGGATTAAAGGTATGAACCACCATGTCCAGCCTCTTCTTCTTTTAAAGAAAATTCTTGGCCGGGCGTGGTGGTGCATGCCTGTAATCCTGGCTACTTGGGAGGCTGAAACAGGAGAATCGCTTGAACCTGGGAGGCGGAGGTTGCAGTGAGTCAAGCCTGCGACACTGCACTCCAGCCTGGGCAACGGAGTGAGACTCTGTGTCAAAGAAAAAAAATCTTATTTTGAAATAATTATAGATTTAGAGAAAGTTCCAAAAACAATACAGGGAGCTCTGGGCACCCTCAGCTAGTCTCCCCCCAGTGGTACAGCTTACATAATAGTATAATATCAAAACCAGGAAATTGACATTGGTACGACGTGTGTATAATGCCATGCTATTTTCTCACCCGTATAGAATTGTGTAGCTACTGTGGCAATCAAGATGCAGAGCTACCCCATTGCCACAAGACCTCCCCAATTGCCCCTCTGTAGTCACACCTGCCCCCTGCCCCCCACCCGACCTGTGGCCTAGCATGCACTCATCTGTTCCGTATGATTTGGTCTTTTCCATGAAGTTATGTAAATGAAAACACACAATGTGTGATATTTTCAGAATGGCTTTTTTCTTTTTTTTTCTTGAGACAGAGTCTCGCTCTGTCTCCCAGGCTGGAGTGCAGCAGCATGATCACAGCTCACTGCAGCCTCCAACTTTCTGGCTCAAGCAATCCTCCTGCCACAGCCTCCTGAGTAGCTGGGACTACAGGCTTGCACCACCATGCCCAGCTAATATTTTTTCTTTCTTTCTTTTCTTAAATCCAAATACTTCTGAATACTTTTAATTTTTTTTAGAGATGTTGTCTCACTATGTTGCCCAGGCTGGTCTCAAATTTCTTGGCTCAAGCCATCCCCCTGCCTCAGCCTCCCAAAGTGTTGGGATTACAGGCATGAGCTACCACACCTAGCTAGAATAGCTTTTTTACTCAGGGTAATGCCATTGAGATCCATCCAAGTTGCTGTGTGTGCTCCTGTTTTTTTTTTACCTTGAGATGGAGTCTCGCTTTGTTGCCCAGGCTGGAGTGCAGTGGTGTGATCTTGGCTCACTGCAACCTCCACCTCCCAGGTTCAATTGATTCTCTTGCCTCAGTCTTCCAAGTAGCTGGGTCTACAGGTGCGTGCCACCATGCCCGGCTAATTTTTTTTTTGTATATTTAGTAGAGATGGGGTTTCACCATGTTAGCCAGGATGGTCTCGATCTCCTGACCTCGTGATCTGCCTGCCTAGGCCTCCCAAGTGTGTTCCTTTTTATTGCTGAGTAACATTCTGCAGTTTGTTTAACCGTTTACCTACTGAAGGGCATTTTGGTTGTCTTCCAGTTTTTTGGTTCTAACACATGTGGATGTAACTTTTCCTTTCTTTGGGGTAAATGCCCAGGAGCATGATTGCTGGGTTATATGATAAGTGTATTTTTTTTTTAAGACAGGGTTTCATTCTTGTTGCTCAGGCTGGCGTGCAATGGCGTGATCTCGGCTCACTGCAACCTCTGCCTCCCAGGTTCAAGAGATTCTCCTGTCTCAGCCTCCGGAGTAGCTGGGATTACAGGTATGTGCCACCATGCTCAGCTAATTTTTGTATTTTTAGTAGAGACAGGGTTTCACCATGTTGGCCAGGCTGATCTCAAACTCCTGATCTCAAGTGATCCACCCACTTCAGCCTCTCAAAGTGCTGGGATTACAGGTGTGAGCCACCGCACCTGGCCATGGGACTTCTTACTTCTTCGTTTCTGACCTGTTTGCCTTTTATTTCCTTTTCTTGCCTTACTGCTCTGGCTAGGATTTCCAGCATTAAACTTAGATTGTGAGAGCGGACCTCTTTACCTTGTTTCCAATCTTAGGAAGAAGGCTTTTGGCCTTTCACCATTCAATATAATGTTAATGACCAAATTTTTTGTGGCAGGTGGTAGATATTCTTTATCAAGTGGAGGAAGCTCCCCTCGGTTCCTAGTTTTCTTAGAATGTTTTCATGAATGGCTATTAAATTTCATTAGATGTTTTCTCTGCATCAATTAATATGAGCATACGATTTTTGTTCTTTAACCTGTTACCTGGTGGATTATATTGATTGATTTTCAAATATCAAACCATTCTACACCCCTAGAATAAACCCCACTTGGTCACAATGTAGAATTCTTTTTTTTTTTAAGACAGGATATTGTTCTGTTGCCCAGGCTGGAGTGCAGTGGTTTGATCATGGGTCATTGCAGCCTCAACCTCCTGGGCTCAATTGATCCTCCCATCTCAGCCTCCTGAGTTGCTCAGACTACAAGCACATGCCACCACACCCAGCTAAGTGTTGTATTTTTTTGTAGAGACAGAATTTTGCCATGTTGCTCAGGCTTGTCTCAAACTCCTGGGCTCAAGCGATCCACCCTCTCAGTCTCCCAAAGTGCTGGGCTTATAGGCATGAGCCACAGTACCCCACCCAAATTCTTTTTATATATTGCTGAATTCTGTTTGCCAATATTTTCTTAAGGATTTTGGCATCTATATTCATTGGGTATATTGGTTTGTGGTTTTCTCTTTTTTTGAGCTGTTTTTGGTTTTGATACCAGGGTAATATAGCTCTCATAAAATGAGTTGGGAAGTGTCCCCTTCTTTTTTCACAAATTCAATTTCTTTAAAAGTATTCATGTGATTTATTTCACAGTGGGTAAGTGGTAATAGTTTGTGCTTTTTAAGGAATTGCCCATTTTATCTAAGTTGTCAATTTTATGTGTAGAGTTTCCATAATATCCCCTTATTATATCTTCCTGAAGTCTTTAGGGTCTATAGAGCTGTCCCCTGCTCAATTCCTGATATTGGTAATTTGTGTCTTTCTCTTCTTTTTTCTTTGTCAGTCTTGCTAGTGGCTTCTCAATTTTATTGATCTTTTTAAAGAACCAGCCCTTTGTTTCATTGATTTTTTTCTATTATTTCTTATTTAAATTTTACTGATTTTTGCTCTTATACTTATTTCCTTCTGTTCATTTTGGTTTTATTTTGCTCTTTTTTTCATTTTCTTAAGGTGGGAGGTTGGAGAAATGACTTAGATTTTCTCTATTTCTAATATAAACATGTAGTGCTACAAATTTTCCTCTGAGTGCTGCTTTGGCTTCATCCCATAACATTTGATATGTTGTGTTTTTGTGTTCATTCAGTTCCATGTGTTTTTTTTTTTTCAATTTCCTTAGAGACTTCTTTGACTCATAAATTATTTAGAAGCATATTCTTTAGTTTTCAACAGTTTAGAGATGATCCTGTTACTTTCCCATTATCTACTTTGGCTTCTACTTCAATTCTATTATGGTCAGAGAATACACTCTGCATGATTTCAATTCTTTTCCTTTTTTTTTTTTATTATACTGTAAGTTCTGGGTTACATGTGCAGAACATGCAATTTTGTTACATAGGTATACACGTGCCATGGTGGTTTGCTGCACCCATCAACCCATCACCTACATTGTTTATTCTCCTAATGTTATCCCTCCCCTAGCTCCCCACCCCCCACAGGCCCTGGTGTGTGATGTTCCCCTACCTGTGTCCATGTGTTCTCATTGTTCAGCTCCCACTTGTGAGTGAGAACATGCGGCATTTGGTTTTCTGATCTTGTGATAGTTTGCTGAGAATGATGGTTTCCAGCTTCATCCATGTCCCTGCAAAGGACATGAACTCATCCTTTTTTATGGCTGCATAGTATTCCATGGTGTATATGTGCCACGTTTTCTTAATCCAGTCTATCATTGATGGGCATTTGGGTTGGTTCCAAGTCTTTGCTACTGTGAATAGTGCCACAATAAACATACGTGTGCATGTGTCTTTATCATAGAATGATTTGTAATCCTTTGGGTATATGCCCAGTAATGGGATTGCTGGGTCAAATGGTATTTCTAGTTCTGGATCCTTGAGGAATTGCCACACTGTCTTCCACAATGACTGAACTAATTTACACTCCCACCAACAGTGTAAAAGTGTTCCTATTTTTCCACAACCTCTCCAGCACCTGTTGTTTCCTGACTTTTTAATGGTTGCCATTCTAACTGGTGTGAGATGGTATCTCATTGTGGCTTTGATTTGCATTTCTCTAATTAGCAGTGATGATGAGCATTTTTTCTTATTTCTGTTGGCTGCATAAATGTCTTCTTTTGAGAAATGTCTGTTGGTATCCTTTGCTCATTTTTTTGATGGGGTTGTTTGTTTTTTTCTTGTAAATTTGTTTAAGTTCTTTGTAGATTCTGGATATTAGCCCTTTGTCAGATGGATAGATTGCAAAATTTTTCTCCCATTCTGTAGGTTGCCTATTCACTCTGATGATAGTTTCTTTTGCTGTGTAGAAGCTCTTTAGTTTAATTAGATCCCATTTGTCAATTTTGACTTTTGTTGCCATTGCTTTTGGTGTTTTAGACATGAAGTCTTTGCCCATGCCTATGTTCTGAATGGTATTGCCCAGGTTTTCTTCTAGGATTTTCATGGTCCTAGGTCTTACGTTTAAGTCTTTGATCCATCTTGAGTTGATTTTTGTATAAGGTGTAATGAAGGGGTCCAGTTTCAGTTTTCTGCGTATGGCTAGCCAGTTTTCCCAACACCATTTATTAAATAGGGAATCTTTTCCCCATTGCTTGTGTGTGTCAGATTTGTCAAAGATCAGATGGTGGTAGATGTGTGGTGTTATTTCTGAGGCCTCTGTTCTGTTTCATTGGTCTATATCTCTGTTTTGGTACCAGTACCATGCTGTTTTGGTTACTGTAGCCTTGTAGTATAATTTGAAGTCAGGTAGCGTGATGCCTCCGGCTTTGTTCTTCTTGCCCAGGATTGTCTTGGCTATGTGGGTTCTTTTTTGGTTCCATATGAAGTTTAAAGTAGTTTTTCCAATTCCATGAAGAAAGTCAGTGGTAGCTTGATGGGGATAGCATTGAATCTATAAATTACTTTGGGCAGTATGGCCATTTTCACGATATTGATTCTTCCTATCCATGAACAAGGAATGTTTTTCCATTTGTTTTTGTCCTCTCTTATTTCCTTGAGCAGGGGTTTGTAGTTCTCCTTGAAGAGGTCCTACACATCCCTTGTAAGTTGTATTCCTAGGTGTTTTATTCTCTTAGTAGCAATCGTGAATGGGAGTTCACTCATGATTTGGATCTCTGTTTGTCTGTTATTGGTGTATAGGAATGTTTGTGATTTTTGCACATTGATTTTGTATGCTGAGACTTTGCTGAAGTTGCTTATCAGCTTAAGGCGATTTTGGGCTGAGACAACGGGGTTTTCTAAATATACAATCATGTCATCTGCAAACAGAGACAATTTGACTTCCTCTCTTCCCATTTGAGTACCCTTTATTTCTTTCTCTTGCCTGATTGCCTTGGCCAAAACTTCCAATACTATGTTGAATAGGAGTGGTGAGAGAGGGCATCCTTGTCTTGTGCCGGTTTTCAAAGGGAATGCTTCCAGTTTTTGCCCATTCAGTATGATATTGGCTGTGGGTTTGTCATAAATAGCTCTTATTGTTTTGAGACACGTTCCATCGATACCTAGTTTATTGAGAGTTTTTAGCATGAAGGGCTGTAGAATTTTGATGAAGGCGTTTTCTGCATCTGTTGAGATAATCATGTGGTTTTTGTCCTTGCTTCTGTTTATGTGATGGATTACGTTTATTGATTTGCGTATGTTGAACCAGCCTTGCATCCCAGGGAGATTTCAATTCTTTTAAATGTGTTGAGATTTGTTTTAGTGCAGAACATGGCCTATTTTAGTAAATGTTCTGTGAGCACTTGAAGAGAATGTATATTCTGTTGTTGGATAGTGTTCTGTAAATGCTGACTAGATTAGTTTGGTTGGTGGTGTTAAATTCATCTATATTTCTGCTGATTATCTGTCTAGTTGTTCTATCAGTTGTTGAGAGAGGGGTGTTGTCTTCAACTATAATTATAGATTTGTCTATTTCTCCTTTCATCCATCAGCTTTTTCCATTCCATCAGTTTTTTCTTCATGTAATTTGAAGTTCTGTTGTTTGATACATATATATACATTAGAAGTACTATGTCTTCTTAATGTGTTGCCCCTTCTATCAGTATGTGATATCCTTCTTTGGTAATTTTCTTTGCTCTGAAGCCAACTTTATCAAATATTAATATAGCCACTTCTGTTTTCTTTTGGTTAATTTTTGCATGGCATATCTTATTTCATCCTTTTACTTAAAATCAACCTATAATGTTATATTTGAAGTGAATTTTTCACAAAGAGTTATATTTGGGCCACTAAAAAAATCCACTCTGCCAATATCTGTATTTTAATTGGTGTATTGAGGCCATTTGCATTTAATGTAACTATTGATGTGTTAGGGCTTAAGTCTGCCATTTTATTTTTTGTTTTATGTTTGTTCCCTCTGTTTTCAGTTTCTCTTTTCTCCCCTGCCTTCCTGTAGATTACGTAAACATTTCTTAGATTTCCATTTTTATTTAGCTCTAGTATATCTCTTTGTATAATATTTTTAGTGTTTGCTTTAGGTATTGCACTATACACACGTAAGTTTTTATTTATTTATTTTAGAGTCTTGCTCTGTTGCCCAGGCTGAGGTAAGTGGTGTGATCCTAGCTCACTGTGGCCTCAAACTCCTCGGCTTATATAATCCTCTCACCTCAGTCTCCCAAGTAGCTGGGACTACAGCTGCATACCACCACACCCAGCTAATTTTTCACCTTTTTTTTTTAGAGACACGGTCTTGCTATGTTATCCAAGCTGGTCTTGTACTTCTGGCCTAAAACAATCCTCCCTCCTTGGCCTCCCAAAGTGCTAGGATTACAGGCATGAACCACTATGCCTGGCTTATACACACAGAATTTATTATAGTGTACTAGTATTGATATTTTATCAGTTTGAGTGAGTATAGAAATCTCATCTTCATTTCAGTCTCTTTACCCTCCCTTGTATGTGATATAATTGCCTTAAATATTTTCTCTACTTATTGAGAACCATATCAGACACTATTATAATTTTTGCTTCAATCATCAAACATAATTTATAAAACCCAAAAGGAGGAGGAAAGTCTATTGATTTTGCACATTTTTTTACTCTTTTTATTGTTCTTCCTTCCAAATGTTCCAAGATTTCTCCTTTTATTATTTACTTTTGGTTTCAAGAACTTCCTTCAGCCCATTTTTAAGGGTAGGCCTGCTGGTGACAAATTATCTTAGGTTTAGTTCATCTGAGAATGCCTAGACTTTTCCTTCATTCTTGAAGAATATTTTCACTGGATACAAAATTCTGGGTTGACAGTTCTTTCATTTCAGGATTTGAAAACTGCTGCACCCACTTACTTCTGGGCACCATGGTTTCTTATGAGAAACCTCCTGTCATTCAAATTGTTTTCCCCATTTTGAAAGGTATAGTTTCTTCCTCCCTGCTTTCAAGATTGTTTTCTTTAGTTTTGTGATGTATCTTTTTATAATTTTCTTTGGATTTATCTTATTTCTGGTTTTCTCAGTTTCTTGAAACTACAGGATTGTATCTTTTGCCAAATTTAGGAAGTTTTCATTCATTATTTCTTCTAATCCTTTTTTAGTCACATTCTCACTCTCCTTTCCTTCTGGAAATCTATTGGCACAAAAGTTATTTTCTCTTTCTTTCTTTCCTTCCTTCCTTCCTTCCTTCCTTCCTTCCTTCCTTCCTTCCCTCCCTCCCTCCCTCCTTCCCTCCCTCCCTTCCTTCCTTTCTTCTTCCCCTCCCTCCCTCCCTCTCTCTCTCTCTTTCTTTCTTTCTTTCTGACAGAGTCTCACTCCATCACCCAGGCTGGAGTACAGTGGCACCATCTCGGCTCACTGCAACCTCTGCCTCTTGGGTTCAAGTGATTCTCTTGCCTCAGCCTCCTGAGCAGCTGGGATTACAGGCACCCTCCACTACACCCGGCTAATTTTTTTTTTTTTTTGTATTTTTAGTAGAGACACGATTTCACCATGTTGGCCAGGCTGGTCTCAAACTCATGACCACCTGCCTTGGCCTCCCAAAGTGCTGGGATTACAGGCATGAGCCACCGTGCCTGGCCTATGATTAATGATTTTCAATTGTGTTCTGCACATTTTGGGTATGATGTTCTGAGACTGTGGATATTATTGAAATCTTCTGTTTTAGCCTATCTCCTTTGATACCACATTGGTGTGGGAAGAAAAGCACTATCTCATCACTGCCAGGCAGGGATGAAAGCCCAAGTTCCCATTCAGTCTCTGCTGACACCGAGTGAGGAAAAGGTGCCTTGTTACTGCTGGTTGGGGTGGAAGTTTCGGCTCCCCACTCCACTGACACTGCCCTGCTTGGGATGGGGAGGGACCTCTCATTATGCTCCCCTTGTGGTCTCCACTGATACTGTGGAAGGTGGGAAGGACATTACTGCTGAGAAGTGGTAAAAGCCCTGGCTCTTCACTAGGCTTCCTCTGATTCCACTTCAATGAGGAGAGGAAGAGGTGCTTCATTATCACTGGGTGGGAGTATGAGTCCAGGCTTTCTCTGTGGTCTCTGCTGACATCACAGGACTGACTGGTGGGGATGGAAGTCCTGGCAGGGAGAAGGTGGACTTGGTTACAGCCTCCAGAGGGTAGAGGTCTAGGCTCCCCATTCTACCTTTGTCGACAGAGGTGGAGTGGGGCCACAGTTTTCTTACCATGTTTGGCTAGTTTGGGGTGGTTATTGTCTAAAAGTTCTGTCTTGCTAGGCAGCCCCTTTCCTGGTATTTTGGCTAGAGAGGGGAGGCTTTTCTTGAGAGCTTTTTTTTTTTGTGAGGAGGTCTGCACTTGCTGCTTTTTTGGGGCTGCTGGATTCTCTAGCCTCGCTATATCCAGGGTTACATGAGGCAAAAAAGAAAACCATCATTCTCAGCAAACTATCGCAAGGAAAAAAAACCAAACACCGCATGTTCTCACTCATAGATAGGAATTGAACAATGAGAACACATGGACACAGGAAGGCGACCATCACACTCTGGGGCCTGTTGTGGGGTGAGGGGAGGAGGGAGGGATAGCATTAGGAGCTATACCTAATGTTAAATGACGAGTTGATGGGTGCAGCACACCAACATGGCACATGTATACATATGTAACTAACCTGCACCTTGTGCACATGTACCCTAAAACTTAAAGTATAATAAAACAAAAACAAAAACAAAAAAACAAAAAAGAAAACCCAGGAATCTTAAGGTCCTACGCAGTTTGCCTTCTTCTTTCTACCTTTCAGAATCATTGTGGGTTTGTTTTTAGCCGGTTTTCAGCTGCATTTAGTGAGAGGACTAGGGAGAAGCACGTCCACTCCATCTTGTCTGGAGCCAGAGTTGAAAGCATTTTTTTCTTTCAGCGCTTTGATGTTCCACTTTCTGGTCACCTCCATAATTTCTGATGAAAAGTCAGTGATATTTCAAGTCACTGTTTGGACTGAATATGTCACTTTTTTTCTGGCTACTTTCCAGATAGTTTTAGTTCTCAGCAGTTTTGTCTAGGTGTGGCTTTCTTCTTACTTATCCTGCTTGGGGTTAGCTGAACTCCTTGATTCAGAAGTTCTTTCAGAAAATATAGGAAATTTCTGTCCATGACTTCTTAAAATATTTTTTTCTAACCTCCTTTCTGTGTCTCTAAAAAAATTAAAATAGTAATTTAAAATCCTAAATTAGAGAACTCTATATCCAGTGGTTTCACTGGTGACTTCTATTAAACATTTAAGAAAAAATAATACATCAGAAACTCTTACAGAAAAAGGAGAAAGAGGAAACCTTCCCACTTGTTTTGTGAGGTCAGCATAACCCTACCGCCCAAACCTGACAAACACATCACAATAAAACTACAGAACAATATCCCACAAGAACATAGATGCAAGCATTCCTAAGAAAATACTAGCAAATTTAATCTAGCAATATATTATAAGGATAATACACTAAGACCAACTGAGTTTTGTCTCAGCAATGTAATATTGGTTTAATGTTAAAAATTTAATCAGTGTAATACACAGTATTCACAAAATAAAGGAGAGAAACCATATGATCGTTGAAAACACAAAAATGTTTAAATAAAACTCAATGCTTATTCAATGTGTATACACACACACACACACACACACACACACTCTCTCTCTCTCTCTCTCTCACCAACTAGAAATGGAAGAGACCTTTCTCAATCTAAAAAAGGACATGTGGGCTGCACACGGTGGCTCACGCCTGTAATCCCAGCACTTTGGGAGGCTGAGGCAGGTGGGTCACCTGAGGTCAGGAGTTCAAGACCAGCCTAGTTTAACACAGTGAAACCCCATCTCTACTAAAAATACAAAAATTCGCTGGGTGTGGTGGTGGGTGCCTGTAATACCAGCTACTCGGGAGGCTGAGGCAGGAGAATCGCTTGGACCCTGGAAACAGAGGTTGCAGTGAGCTGAGATCCCACCACTGCACTCTAGTCTGGGCAACAGAGCGAGACTCTATCTCAAACAAACAAACAAACAAATATACAAAAACAAAACATAAAAACGGCATGGATGAAAACTCTACAGCTGATATTATACTTAATAGTGAAATAGTAAACACTTTCCCCCTAAGACCAGGAAAATGGCAGGGATCACAGTCTCTCTATATTATTGTGCTGAAAGTCCTAACTGGTGCAATAAGACAAAAAGAAAAAAAAAAAGAAAGAAGAAAAGGAAAAAAAGAGAAAGAAATAAAAAGCATGAAGACCATAAAGAAAGAAGTAAAACTGTCTCTCTTTACAGATGAGATCATTCTCTATGTAGAAAATTCTAAGGAATCTGCAAAACAACTACAATAACTTAATAAATGAATTTAGCACGATTGTAAGATATAAGATATATATATGTTTATATATAATTGATAATTACATATCTGTGCACTGGCAGCAAGCAGAAATGTTTTTTAAAATTTCATTTATAAGTATAACATACTTAGTAATAAACTTAGCAAAAGAGAGAAATGAAAGAAGCCCTAAGATAAACAGAAAGAAATTGTGTGCTCGTGGGTCAGAAGACCCAAGTTAGTTAACAGGTCAATTCTCCCTGGATTGACCTATCATAATCCCGGGAGCATTGTGCGAATGCATAAATTGGCCCAGCTCAGTGGCTCACGCCTGTAATCCCAGCACTTTGGGAGGCCGAGGTGGGTGGGCCACCTGAGGTCGGGAGTTCGAGACCAGCCTGACCAACATGGAGAAACCCCGTCTCTACTAAAAATACAAAATTAGCTGGGCGTGGTGGCACGTGCCTGTAATCCCAGCTACTCGGGAGGCTGAAGCAGGAGAATTGCTTAAACTCTGGAGGTGGAGGTTGTGGTGAGCCAAGATTGCACCATTGCATTCCAGCCTGGGCAACAAGAGAGAAACTCCGTCTCAAAAAAAAAAAAAAAAAAAAAAAAGGAGAATGCGTGAATTGTCAATCTCATTCTAACATTCATAGAGAAGAACCTAAGTTAGCCCTCCAAATCTTGCCGTAAGTTGAAGAACTTACAGTACCTGATTTCAAGACTAAAGAACAAAGGCCAAAAAAAGACTAGATTCATGGTATTGACTAGAGAGTCCAGAAGTAGGCCCACATTTATACAGCACATTGATTTTTGACAAAGGCATCAAAACAGTTCTATGGGGAAAAGCAGTATTTTGAATAAATGATGCTGGAACAACTGGATGTCAGTATTGAGAAAAATGAATGTTGAATCTTCAAATTATACAATAAATTTAATTCAAGGTGGATCGTAGGTCTAAATGTAAAAGCTAAAACTGTGAAACTTCCACAAGAAAACACAGGGAAACACTTTCACGATCTGTGAGCAGTCCAGAATGTCTTAGATGGGACAGCAAAAGCAACAAACATTTAAAAAATCGATAAATTGGGCCTGGTATAGTGGCTCATGCCTGTAATCCTAGCACTTCGGGAGGCTGGGGTGGGTAGATCACGAGGTCAGGAGCTTGAGACCAGCCTGGTCAACATGATGAAACCCCATCTCTACTAAAAATACAAAAAAATTAGCCAGGCGTAGTGGCGGGCACCTGTAATCCCAGCTACTTGGGAGGCTGAGGCAAGAGAATCGCTTGAACCTGGGAGGCGGAGGTTGCAGTGAGCCAAGATCGTGCCATTGCACTACAGCCTGAGTGACAGAGTGAGACTTTGTTTCAAAAAAAAAAATTGATAAATTGACTTCATCAAAATGAAAAGTCTTTATTGTTAAGAAAACTAAAAGGGAAACCACATACTTTGGGCAAATACTGCAACCCATATATCTGATAAAAGGCTAGTATCCAGGTTATATAGATAATCCTGTAACTCAATAATAAGAGGGTTTATGTGCTGGAAAGATTTGAACAGACACGTCACGGAAGAATGCATATGAATGGCCAATGAACACATTTGAAAGTGTTCATCGTCATTAGTTATCTGGGAAATGCAAATGAAAATCCATGAGCTACTACTGCAGTCCCACCAGAACAATGGTCCCCAACCTTTTTGGCACCAGGGACCAGTTTTGTGGAAGACAACTTTTTCATGGCCAATTTTTCTATGGCTGGGGGTTTGGGACGGTTTTGGGATGAAACTGTTCCACCTTAGAACAGGCATTAGTTCAAGTCTCATCAGGAGGGTGCAACCTAGATCCCTCGCATGCACAGTTCACAATAGGGCTCACGCTTCTGAGAGAATCCAGTGCTGCCACTGATCTGGCCGGAGGTGGAGCTCACGCAGCAATGCCCCCTCATCAGCCACTCACCTCCTGCTGTGCGGCCCGGTTCCTAACAGGCCATGGACCTATACCAGTTTGTGGCCTGGGGGTTTGTGACCCCTGCACTAGAATGACTCCAATTTTAAAAGACCGATGGCACCAAATGTGGATGAGGATGTAGAAAAACTGGAACTCTCATAAATCACTGATGGAAACATAAAATGTTACAAGTACCTCGGAGAAAGTTTCACTCTTGTCTTATAAAGTAAAACATACATCTACCCTATGACCCAGTAATGCCACTTCTAGATGTGGTCCCAAAAGAAATAAGTGCACATGTTTGCAAAAAGATTTTTATGTAAATGTTTGTAGCAGCTTTATTTATAATACCCTCAGACTGGAAACTGCCCAAATATCCATTAACAGAAGAACAGATAAACAAATTGTGGTATATCCATACTATGGAATACAATTCATCAAAAAAAAAAAAAAAAAAAGAGAGAATGAACTATCAATAAACACAACAACACAGATGAATCACAGACATTATGTGGAATGAAAAAAGCCAGACACAAAAAGATACAAATTGTGTGATTCCACTTATACAAAGTTCTGGAACAGGCAAAACTAATCTATGGTGAAAAAAATTAGAAAACCGATTGCCTGTGGCGGTGCAGGATTGGCTGGGAAGACACAAAGTAACTTTCTGGCATGTTGAAAAGTTCTTGATTTTGCTAACGTGTGGGCTTCAGGTGTATGCATTTGATAAAATACGTAAAACCTCATAAAATGGTACACATGAAATCTGTGCATTTGTAAATCGTGCATTTGTGAATATGTAAATTTTACCTAAAAAACCCTGAAATGTAAACAAAGATTCAGAATAACATTACACAGGTCAGCAGTCACAACAGCACCTTGGCCACCAGGACTATGAAGAGTGCTCAGCTGCCTCTGCTCGGCCACCCTGTGACCGGGTTAGGGCAGAGCTCTTTGGGTCTGACCACACTTGCTTACAGAATCACAAGACAAAGTCCTCCACATTCTGGAGACGGAGGCTTCCTGGACGCTGCCTCTGCCACTGCATTGCTTTGCCTTGGGTAGCCAGGCAGTAGCTCACGCCTGCTCTCCTTCACAGGCACAGCCGGCTCTTTGTCCTCTGATCAACCTGATCGTCATAGGACCAACCTCCTCTGTACAAAGATAAATGCTGTTCCCCTCAATCAGTACTGACCTGGGAAACAGGGCTTCTTGGTTCTAGTCACAAGATTTGCCTATGAGGCCCGCACTTTGGGAGGCTGAGGTGGCAGGATCGCTTGAGCCCAGGAGTTCGAGACCAGCCTGGACAACATAGCAAGACCCTGGCTTGACAAAAAAAAAAAATTATCTGGGCATGATGGTGTGCACCTGTAGTCCCAGCTATCTGAGAGACTGAGGTGGGAGGATCGCTTGAACCTGGGAGGTTGAGGTGACAGTGAGCTATCATGCCACTGGACGCCAGCCTGGGTGACAAAGCGAGACCCTGTCTCAAAAATAGAAAGAAAAAAAAAGATTTGCTTGTGATATTTGGGCCACTCTCATTCACGTATTCATGAATTACCAAATATTTTTTTGAGCCAACCCTGCTGTAGGTTCTTGGGACACATGAATGAGCAAAACACAGGAAAACTTTTGTCCTCTTCCAAGTGGGAGGACACTGATGGTGGTGCACAGAGTAATGGCCCCCAAAGACGTCCACGTTCTGATCCCTGGAAGCTGTGAGTGTGCTACTTCATGTGGCCAAAGGAATTCTGCACGTGTGATTAAGTTAGGAATCCTGAGATGGGGGGATGATCGTGGATTATCTAGTTGGGCCCAAGGTAATCACCAGGGTCCTTATACGGGTCGGGGAGGAGGGTCAGAGCTAGAGGAGGCGACGAGGTGAAGGAAGCAGAGGTTGGAATGATGCCTTTGGTGGAAGGAGCCATGAGTCAAGGAACGTGGGTGGCCTCTAGAAGCTGAAAAGGCAAGGATGTGAATTCTCCCCTAGAGCTTCCAGAAGGAATGCAGTCCTGCCGACACCTTGATTTCAGCCCAGGGAGACTCATTTCAGACTTACAACTCCCAGAGTTACAAGATAATAAATTTGGGTTGTTTTGAGCCACCAGGTTTGTGGTAATCTGTTAGAGCAGTGACAGGAAACTGACTTAAACAATACACCTACTACCTAAGCAGATTATCCATGATGCGTGAGAAGGTAATGGAACAATAATTCTGAGCTCCTCTTTGCCTGGGAGAGAGGCGGCTGTTGGGGTGTCTGTTTGCACATAGAGTAATTGGGCAATGAGCTTGACAATATTTGCACTCATCTCTAAAGGAGAAGCCTTTTGTTTATGGTAGGAGACAGCCTGACAATAGTGGTAAAATCCTATTGCACAGTCCTGGTGGGCTGCTTGTACACTGCCTGTACGTAGGTAGAGTTTAATTGTATTAAAATGTGCAAATGGCTGGGTGCAGTGTCTCATGCCTCTACTTCCAGCACGTTGGGAGGCCGAGGCAGGAGGATTGCTTGAGCTCAGGAGTTTGAGACCAGCCTAGGCAACATAGTGAGACCCCCTTCTCTACCAAAAAAAAAAAAAAAAAATAGCTGGGTGTGGTGGTGCACACCTGTAGTCCCAGCTACTCAGGAGGCTGAGGCAGGAGGATCTCTTGAGCCTAGGAGGTCGAGGATGCAGTGAGCTGTGTTTGCACCACTGTACTCCAGCCTGAGCAAGAAAGAAAGATCCCATCTCTTTTTTTAAAAATTGAATTAAATGTCCAAGCGATCATATGTATAAACTCCCATGTACAAGATGGAGAAACTGAGGCATGAGAAGAACTGGTTACCGACTTGACCCAGGGCTGCATAGTGAGATGATGGCTTCTGGCCATCATTGGGCTGGCAGTTTGAGCCCAGGTTTCCTCTTCACATGAAAATCAGAGCTTCTCGGCCGGGTGCAGTGGCTCACACTTGTAATCCTAGGACTTTGGGAGGCCAAGGCGGGTGGATTGCCTGAGGTGAGGAGTTCAAGACCAGTCTGGCCAACGTGGTGAAACCCCATCTCTGCTAAACGTACAAAAAAAATTAGCCAGGCGTGGTGGTGTGCACCTGTAATCCCAGCTACTTGGGAGGCTGAGGCAGGGGAACTGCTTGAACCAGGGAAGTGGAGCTTGCAGTGAGCTGAATCGTGCCACTGCACTCCAGCTTGGGCGACAGAGTGAGACTCCGTCTCAAAAAAAGAAAGAAAAAAGAAAAGAAAATCAGAGCTTCTCTCACACACACTAAATAAAAGCACTGTGCCTGCTCCCGCAACGTCCCTGTAGAAATGAGCACATCTGAGTGTCCTACCCAGTGCCAGGCTGGCTTAGCGTGGATGCCCCCGGCACACAGCTCTCTTCCTTTTCTCGGCACCTCCGCCGCTCTCTAAATCCCCTGGGAACATCGGGAACACTCTCCGGTGTTGCTTTACACCTGTTTTTACTTGCCTCCCGCTCTCCAGCCAAGGAGTGGGCTGGATTCACGATGACGTTCACCTTTGTCACTTGAAGGCAAAACTGGTATCAAGTTTGTTGCCTCGTGATGACCATGGATTATGATACCGGTTCAGCTGCTGTAGCAAAACCCAAAATAGCAGCGATCTGAACAAGATAGTCAGTCAGTCCCAACATCCACAGCCCAGTGTCAGTACCCAGACTCCCCTGGGCTTGCCGCTCTGCCATCCTTAACACACAGCTTCCACCTCGTGATGCACGGTGGCTGCTCTGGTTCCTGCCACTGTGTCTGCATTCCAGCCGGCAGGAAGGGGAGACCAGGAAGGACCGTCTTCCTTTAAAGGGCAGGGCACACATCATTGCCATTCATGTGCTGCTGGCCAGAGCCTGGTCATGTGGGTGCCGTTCATCACAAGGGAGGCTGGGAAATTTTGTTTGTTTGTTTGTTTGTTTTGAGAGACAGTCTTGCTCTGTTGCCCAGGCTAGAGTGTAGTGGCATGATCTCAGCTCACTGCAACCTCTGCCTCCTGGGGTCAAGCGATTCTCCTGCCTCAGCCTCCCGAGTAGCTGGGAGTACAGGTGAGTGCCACCACATGCAGCTAATTTTTTTTTTTGTTTTTTTCTTGTATTTTTAGTAGAGACGGGGTTTCACCATGTTAGCCAGGATGGTCTCGATCTCCTGACCTTGTGATCCACCCGCCTTGGCCTCCCAAAGTGCTGGGATTACAGGCATGAGCCACCGCGCCCAGCTCAATTTTCCTTCTTTCTTTCTTTCTTTTTTTTTTTTTTATAAATAATATGGGGTCTTGCCATGTTGCCCAGGCTGATCTTGAACTCTGGGCTCAAACTATCCACCCACCTTGGTCTCCCAAAGTGCTAGGATTACAGGCGTGAGCCACCGCCCCCAGCTCAGTAATTCTTCTTGAGTAAACTATATGGTTCAAACCACTCGAGTCAGGTATTCTGTAACTGATATCAATGAAGGCATTCAAACATTCGCCTGTCCTTGCGCTAAAACCTTCAGCGGTTCTCCACTATGCAGGGCATAAGGACTGAAAGCCTTAGCCTGGCTCACTAAACCTGTGTCTAGTCTTCCCACCAGCCCTCATCTCCCTCTCCTTGGCTCACTCTGTTACCACAGCACTGACCTTCTTAAGATTGTTCTTTTGACTCATCAGCTTCTCACCACCTTGGGGCCTTTGCACATGCTCTGCCCTCTGTCTGGAATGCCGTCTCCCTGCACCTGCACTCCCAGCGCCACCTGGCCAACCTCTACAGATCCTTTTGGCCTTTGTTTGTGTGGCCTTCAGCAAGGCCTTCTTCCAGGTCTTCTCTTGTGGTGCTCATCCCATCTGGAATGACATGTTTCTCTGTAACCTTGCTCTTTCCTTGCAATTAGAACCTTATCACAGGCCAGGTGCGGTAGCTCATGCCTGTAATCCTAGCACTTTGGGAGGCTGATGGGGGTGGATCGCCTGAGGCCAGGAGTTTGAGACCAACCTGGCCAGCATGGCAAAACCCCGTCTCTACTAAAAATACAAAAAATATTAGCCGGGCGTGGTGATGGGTGCCTATAATCCCAGCTACTTGGGAGGCTGAGGCAGGAGAATTGCTTGATCCCGGGGACAGAGGTTGCAGTGAGCCAAGATTCTGCCACTGCACTCCAGCCTGGGCAAAAGAGTGAAACTCTGTCAAAAAGAAAAGAACTTGATCACAGCTGGTCCTGAGCCTATCTTTCCACGCTGTAGTCCCCTGTACCTGGTATAGTGTCGAGTCCACAGCAAGTGCACAGTTGTTTCTTGGATGAATGAAATGGTTTGTGAATCATTATTTCACTGCCTGTCTCTCCTGCTGGTCTCCAAGGACACTTCTACTGGGAATACCTCACTCGGCTCTCAGGAATCCATCCCTGGCCAATCCCTCACATGCCTGCTAGCACTCCATTCATTTGTTTACAAGTCCCTCTCTCTCACACACACACCCATCACTGTGTTCATCTACTGCTACATAACAAATAATCCCCAAACATAGAAGCTTTAAATAGCAGGAAACATTTATTATCTCATTGTTTCTGTGGGTGAGAAATTTAGAAGCAGCTTAGCTGAGTGGTTCTGGTTCCGAGTCTCTTCTGAGAGTGCAGTCAGGGGCTGCAGTCATCTGAAAGCTCGACTGAGGCTGGGGGATCTGCATGCTCATGGAAGGTGTAAAGGCAGGTGATTTGTTTCATTCCATCAGCCCAGCCCCAGTGTCTTTCGGGGCCAAGGGAGGGTTGGTGATGGTTTTGGAGATTTGGGGAGGAGTGGTGGCTGTGCCCAACCCTTTAGGCACTGACGAGAAAGAATATAACAATTAAAAGCTTCAGGGGAGTGGATGAAATAGATGAATAAATAAATAAATAGACCAGGTGCAGTGGCTAATGCCTGTAATCCCAACACTTTGGGATGCCGAGGCAGGAGGATCACCTGAGGTCGGGAGGTCGAGACCAGCCTGACCAACATGGAGAAACCCCGTCTCTACTAAAAATACAAAATTAACCTGGCGTGGTGGCACATGCCTCTAATCCCAACTACTCAAGAGGCTGAAGCAGGAGAATCACTTGAACCTGGGAGGCAGAGGTTGCAGTGAACCGAGATTGCACCATTGCACTCCAGCCTGGGCAACAAGAGTGAAACTCTGTCTCAAATAAATAAATAAATAACAAATGAATGAATGAATGAGAGACCTTGAGGAATTTCTTGCTTTGCAGTGAAATTCTATCTCCTTTGTGTCTTGTGTCCCAAGATGTGTCTTAGGTAACAGAGCATGGGACAGAGCCACTGCAGCCATGCCCAGGGAGGGCCGGGGTGAGTAAGGTAATGACAGGTGAATCCTCCCATTGGGGGAAGTGCTCAGAAAGTGTAGGCGGGACCCACAGGCTTCTATGTCACCTGCAAGGATTTCTATGGCCTGGAACATCTTCCTGTGGATGCTGCTGCTGTGGCTGCTGTTGGTGGGTGGGGCGGGGGGTCGGGGGGCTCTCTGCTTTACCTGTGGCTCCCCAGCTGCCTTTTCTGGGGTCTGGGGGGGCTCCCTTCCCCACAGCCTGTGGTCCTCACTCCCCTAGGAGAATGTAAATGTCATTTTGCACAACTGAACTCCAGGGAAACTGCCCAGACTCAGTTAATCCCTGCTTTCCTTGCTTTAAGCAAACCCGGTTTATGGAAGTCTCTGGGATCACAGTTAAGGTAGAAACACTGTTTAGCCTCCGGGTCTGCCCCATACATTGAGCTGGCATTGCTCAAGGCAGCCTCTTGTTTCCTCTCGTAGCATTGTGAGGTTTTGGGCAGAACGTGGCTGCACTGTGCACGCGGTGAGGGATCGAAGGGGGCCCCCAAAGACACTCGAAGAACAGTGGGGGCCCTGAAAAGTGCCAATGCTGAGCCCAGACAGATGGAAGACCTTGGACAAATTCCCCGACACCCCTGAGCCTCGATTTCCTCATCTGAAAAGTGGGGTGGTGATGACAGCACATCTCAGAGGGCTGGGAGGACGAAGCCACCAAGTGACAGCTGCGATGGATCCACAGGGGCAGCAGCCGAGCAACCCGAGATCTGCAGAGCCATGGTGGGCCCAGCCCCATCCTGCCCCCCATGCAGCCAGTGAGAAGCCCTGCTGCTGGAGGGGATGGAGCTACGGGGACCGATCAATTACACCACAGTGTGAGGTCTCTGTGCCTTCCAAACTCCATCCTGAGTGTTTATTGCCTCAAAAATGAAGGGTGGGAGCCCCAAAGACCAAACAAACAGCTGATGAGAGAGAGAGAGAGAGAGAGAGGGAGAGAGAGAAAGAATGGGTCTGCACTGCAGCCTGTGCTATAACAAGAGACAGAGGGACCCTCTTGACTGGGGTCTCCAGCTGAGAGCGGGGAGGCCCCCTGGGGAGGTCTCTTCCAAGGTCTGAGGAAGGAGGAGAGGTGGATGGGGCCTTGGGATTAGGGAGATGGGGCGGGGCCACCATGTGTTGGCTGTGGGGCCCTGGGCAAGGAGTTAACCTCTCTGTGCCTCAGTCTCCTCCTCTATAAAATGGGTATGACAGACAGTAATAGTCTCTCCACCCTTAAAGGGCCGTTGTGAAGATTAAAGAAGTGAACAATTGTTGGTGCTTGGAGCAAAGCCTGGCTCTGGCAGTGGGCTTTGTATTTATGTTTGGTCAGTATATAAGAGTAAATGCTTAAGACCAGCTGGGGAACCACAGCGAGATCCCATCTCCACAAAAAATAAAATTAAAAAAAAAAATTAGCCGGACATGGTAGCATGTGCCTGTGTTCCCAGCTACTGCGGAGGCAGGAGGATGGCTTGAGCCTCGGGAGGCTGCAGTGAGCCATGATCGCACCACTGCACTCCAGCCTGGGCGACAGAGTGAGGCACCATCTTAGAAAAAAAAAAGTAAATGTCCCTGCTACCCGCAGGCTTCCCACCCATAGGCCTGCAGGCCCAGCTGCTTATTGGAGCCGGCCTGAGGTGGAGTCAGGGGTCTTCCTTTCTTTATCTTCTTTCCTGCCACCCCCACCCCAGCTCCTGTGGCTCCTCCCCTTGTCCCGGAGGAAGAGGACACTGAGTGGCACCTCACCACACTTCCCCTGAGGTCCCAACACAGGTGGGCCGTGGATGCTTCCTAAGCCTCCGCTGTGCCTCCTACTGACACAGTGAGAATGGGGCCAGGAGGCTGGGGAGAGATTTTAGGAGACCTGAAGTCTCTGGAGATCTTTGATCTTGGGGGAGGGAGGCTTACAGTGATGGAGTCTCTTCCGCAGCAGGCCCCTCACCTCCCCTGAGGACTGTCAGCCAGACTTGGGGTGTGTGTTTGCCCACATGGGTCAGGACAGAGCCCCTCGAAGCCATCCTTCCACCAGGTTAGCTCAGACCACAGACCTGGCCGTATCGCTGTTGGGGGTCTGATGGTCACATGGGCACCTTAGCCTCATTGAGAGAGGTGGGGTTCAAAGAGCTCTGGGACCATCTCAACCCCTAGACAAGTGAGCAAGTCTGGACCTCAGTCTCTTCTTTTGTCCAGTGTTCTGCAGATTCAGAGAAATAACAGGCATCAAGTCTATGCAGGCCAGAGTTTAACGGATGTGTCTGCCACTCAAGGGGGTGGTGTTGGGGGGACAAAGGACAGTTGTACATGACTGTGCCAGGCCTGCCCTGGAGTTCTGAGCCACCTTGCTGAACGCCAGCACCCACGGCTGCACGGCCCCTAAGGGTGGCACTGTCCTTGCTTCCCAGCTGCGTGAGGGACAGGACCTAGTTATTGCTTGTTTGTGCAGGTGTGATGCTCCTACCTAGAGAGGGTCCTCAGAACCTCCCAGCCCACTTCCCCACTGTCCTCCCGCCAGCTGTGCTGGTCAGGGTTCTGCTAGAGAAACAGAAGCAGTAAGAGGTCGATAGTAGGAGATTTATTACAAATAATTGGCTCATGCAATTGTGGGGGCTGGAGAAGCATGTCTGAAGTCTAGACGGCAGGCTGTCGGAAAGGGCAGTTGGAAATCTCCACCTGGGCACACGCTGCCATCCACAGGCAGTGAAGCACCAGCCCTGTTCTTAAGGCCTTTCACCGGATTGAGTCAGGCCCACCCAGAGTATCTGAGACAATCTCTCTCTCTTTCTTTCTTTCTTTTTTTTTTTTTGACATGGAGTCTCGCTCTCTCACCCAGGCTGGAGTGCGGTGATGTGATCTTGGCTCACTGCAAGCTCCACATCCCGGGTTCACAGCATTCTCCTGCCTCAGCCTCCCGAGTAGCTGGGACTACAGGCACCCGCCACCAGGCGCGGCTAATGTTTTTGTATTTGTAGTAGAGATGGGGTTTCACCGTGTTGGCCAGGATGGTCTTGATCTCCTGACCTCGTGATCCGCCCGCCTTGGCCTCCCAAAGTGCTGGGATTACAGGCGTGAGCCACCACACCCGGCCGACAATCTCCCTTTCTTAAAGTCAACCAATCATGGACTATTTATTTATTTTGAGACAGGGTCTTGCTCTGTCACCCAGGCTGGAGTGCAATGGCACCAGCTCACTGGAACCTCTGCCTCCCGGATTCAAATGATTCTCGTGCCTCAGCCTCCCGAGTAGCTGGGATTACAGGCATAGGCCACTATGTCTGGCGAATTTTTGTATTTTTAGTAGAGACGGGGTTTCACCATGTTGGCCAGACTTGTCTCGAACTCCTGACCTCAAGTGATTCACCCGCCTCAGCCTCCCAAAGTGCTGGCATTACAGGCATGAGCCACCGCCCCCGGCTGGCAATCATGGACTTTAATCGCATCCGCAAAATACCTTCCTGGCAACACAGAGATTCATGTTTGATTCAAGAGGTGGGGACTGCAGCCTCCCCTGAGTGGACACAGGAAACTGACCGTCCCACCATCCCTCCTCTCTCTCTGGTTTCTCGCTCCTGCCAGCATGAACACTGAGTATCGCCACTGGCCTCCCCCCGGAGCCAGGGTGGGGGTGGGGTGGGGAGGTGGGGAGTGAAACCAGCGCTGAGCTCCTGAGTCAGGCCCTTCTGGACTTCCCGGACTTTCTCCCCGCTCCACCTCCCAGCCCCCTGGGATAAATTCCACCTGGACCCCCAGCCCTCGGCCTCAGCTCCTCCTTCAGTGTGAATCCCTGGCTTGTGACATCTCCACAGACTGGCCTGAGCGAGCCCCACATAAGCCCAGCTTGGAGTGGGGCCAGGAGCCTCCCTTACTGCCTTCAGGGAGCTGCCAGTCTCCTGAGGGAGCCGCAGAGCCTGGAATCCGGGTCCCAGGTTTGCAGAGCGAGCTTGCAGAGAGCCTCTGTTTTCCCTGATTCTCGGCTGTGCTCTGGGCCGGACTCCCTGGTCAGCCCATAGCTCTTGGCTGCAGGAAACCAGCCCCGTGCTTGTTTTGTTTTGATTGCACAACCCCGGTGCAGGAGGCCAGGGTGGACATCTGCTGTTTTGGCCAGCCCAGCACCCAAGCCCCCCTTTTCTGGCAAGAGCCCCCCAGTTGCCTCATGGGGACCTCTCCCAGTGTGTGTAGCCTGGGGAGTGTGCTGTCAGCCTAGATGCCCCTGTCCTGCCTGGCCAAGGGATGGGCCTTGTCTTCGTCTGTTTTCTGTTGCTTATAACAGAATACCTGAAACTGGGTAATGTATAAAGAAAAGGAATGTATTTCTTATAGTTATGGCAGCTGAGAAGTCCCAGGTTGAGGGACCACATTCGGTGACACCCTTTTTGCTGGTTGGGATCTGTGCAGTCTCCAGGCAGTGCCGGGCATCACATGGCAAGGGGGCAGAGTGGCCCATGAGCTGGCTCAAGCCTCTCTTCTTTTTATAAAGCCACCAGTTTCCCTCCCATGATGACCCGTTAATACACTGAAATCCATGAATGCATTAATCCATTCCTGAGGGCAGAACCCTCATGCTCCAATCACGTCTTAAAGCTCCCACCTCTCGATACTGCCCCACTGGAGATTAAGTTCTTCATGACACATGAAATTTGGGGGACACATTCAACCCACAGCAGGCCTGGAGCCCCATCTTGGTCACCAGCCATCCTACCCTGAAGATAGATGCCCATCTGGCCTCATTCTTGATGGCCAACCCCTGGGGTGGTCACTGAGTCTTTCCTGGCTCTGGAAGATGCCCTGGTTTCGTCCCATCCTCACCAAGGCCCGCCTGGATCTCCAGCCTTTGCTTCCATTCTCTGAGCTCCCTCTTGGTCTGATGATAAAGCCCCTTTCTGCTCAAGTCAAACGAAGTCCATTTCTCTTGCTTATAACCACAGAAACCTGACTGGTTAGACACTGAATGCCACCCGACTCTGCCCTAACTCACTGCATGACCCTGGGCAAGATGGCCCCTCTCTGGGCCTCAGTTTCTCCAACTGCACGGCTGAACGCGCCTCCCATGCTGACGCCCCAAGGCCCTGTGGCTGCTTTGGTCATCGTGGCTGACTTGGACTGGTGGTGTGTTTGCTGCTGAGGATCGGTGGGGGCCTTCCCTGCCCTGACCCTGGAGGTCTATGGGGCGTGCCTGGTTGGGGAGAGGGGATGACAGCTGGGGAATCCTCAGCTTCTGTGTAGTTGGGCTCATAAGGACCAATGTGTTGGTACCAAGGCTGTTGCTTTAATAGGCAGTGGTCCACTTCTCTTTAAGTCCTTTTGCTTCAAATTTTTGGGAATCTGATAAAGGCTTTAGCTGCTTTCCTTAGACCAAAAAACTTTCCTCTACTCCCCTTGTTCCTTCTCTGCACACTTTATTTTTACTTTTATTATTTTTTGAGGCAGAATCTTACTGTGTCACCCAGGCTGGAGTGCAGCGGCGTGATCACAGCCCCCTGCAGCCTTGATCTTCCGGGCTCAAGTGATTCTCCCATCTCAGCCTCCCGAGTAGCTGGGACTATAGGTGCCAGCCACCATACCTGGCTAATTTTTGTTGTTGTGTTGTTTTAGTAGAGACGAGGTCTCGCCATGTTGCCCAGGCTGGCATGCTTTAAGGTACAGTTTCCAGAGGAGGTGGAGGAGCAGCCTTCAGAGGCCTGTCCTGACCCTAAGGTGACCAGCCTCTGGGTTTCCAGATGAGCAGCTTTGGCACACAGGTCAGAGGCCAGGTACAGTGGGCACTTTGTTAGTATCGCTTCATGTCAACTCATCCACCTGAAGAGGACAGCGTTTGAGGTAGAGATTGCTATGTTTTCACCAAACCCTGGTTCATTGGCTTCCTCCTGGGCATGCAGCTGGACTGCATTTCCCAGCCTCCCTTGCAGCTGGGAGTGGTCACATGACCCGGCTCTGGCCTGTGCAACGGGAGCTGAAATGATGTGGCTCCTCTGCTCCTGGTTTAGCTTGGTCCACAAGCATCCTTCCATGCTATCCTCCATGCTCCCTCTTTCTTCTCCCACATGGTTGCAGCAGAGGAGGATAAGGCCTTAGGTGATGACAGGGTCACGGGGTGAAGGGGCCCGGGCCCCTGAGTGACCACATGGAGCAGAGCCCTTGCCCCTCCCTCCACCAGCCCCCAGGAGACTGTAATGCAAGCAAGAAATAAACTTCTCTTCGGGGGCTGTTTCTTACATTTGTTATGACTAAGTCAACATTTTCATCATCCCCATCCAGGGGAAGTCCTTTTCCACTGAAAAGGAATCCATCTCAGGGCTCCTTTAAAATAGAGAGCTCCTCCAGTGCCTTTGGCCTGGGATCCCTGAAGCTGGAGAGTGTCTGCCTCCGGCCCTGAGCCTAGCGCCTGCCTGAACCTCAGGGCATCTTCTCTGGGGCTCTGATTTACAGTGACTCTGGGCTTCACCCCTTGCCCTCAGGTTCCCACCCCTGCTTTCCTCCTTCCTCGTGTCTGTAGTCTGTGGCCTTCTTCTTCCATCCTGCGGCCTCCCATTTACTTTGACCATTGTCTGGGGTTGAAAGACCAAGGTTCAGGGGTCAGGTGTATCTATTTTTTTCCCTTCTCCCTGACAAATTGCTCCCTGTGGGCAGGGCCCGCGCTGGCTCACTGTGAACTTCCTCCTACACAGTAGAAGGTTGAGCACACAGGGGCCGCTTCTGGAACGCCACATTCTTTGCAGTTCCACAGTGTGGAAGGCCCTGAGGGGGTTGCTCCCAGGATCCCATGTTCCCTGGGGCACTCGGATTCCAAAGAGAGAAGCCGGCCTCTGTTTCCGGCTCATTTCCTAAGTGAGCCACTGCAGGGCTCCAGAAAGGTGGAGTCCAGGCAGCTGGCTCTGGCCTCTTTTCCCAGCTACACACAGCATCCTGGCCCCTGTCCACAGCCCCTCCATGTCTGGGAGACCAAGAGACAGGTCTAATGCCGTGCCCAACCTATCCCCACTGTGGGAAACTCTTTCCATCACCCTTCCTCCCAGCGGGGACCACTTTCCACCTTTTAAATAATTAAGTTGGTCTCCAAACCACCAGTTACCAAACCCTTCTGCCCTTGGTAATCTTCCAAAAAATTTACAACAACAACTCTCCTTGCTGTGTGCCAGGCCCCAGGCTAAGCCACTTATACCCTAGATACCAATCCCTGGGGATGGATGTCATCAGTATCCCCATTTGACAGATAAGGAAGGTGAGGTTCAAAGGGCCTCCTGCCCCCCGTCGCCCCCGCCCTGGCCCTGTACCAGCTTCGAATGCAGTGGCAGGGGGCCACGATCTTGTGCCCAGGCCTGGTTCTCCTACCCCCAGCAGCGGGAGAGAATGCCGGGGAGGCACGAAGCCGATCCCTCCCCAGGGGGCTCCCACAGCTCCCAAGCTCACTGACACTTGGGTTTCCTTCCTCTCCTCTGGCCCTCCCCTGGCCCCCTCTGCTGCACCCCCAGCTTGTCCCACCCACCCTTGAGCTCGACCCCTCTCCCTCCCCGGTTCCCACCATCAAAAGCGCCTGCTGCAGGGCTTGGCTCTGTTTGGTTTCTCCAGAGCCTGCCCAGGGAGCTCTGCCTCTCGGAGGCTGTGTGCTCACTTTGCAAAACAGCAGAAATTTATAGCCCAAGTAATTGATCACGGCGCTTCTGCCTCCCTCCATCTCTCTCGGGCTCCTAATTCCCTTCTCCCGCTCTTCTCTTTTTTCTCAGCGCGCCATCTGTGGTGTCAGAGAAAAGGAAGCCAAAAGTGGGGGGGTGTTTCTAGTCCCAGTTCTGCCAATTACGAGTCACATGAACCTCAGTTTCCCCATCCGCAAAACGGAGAAGCTAATAATACCTGCTCACAAGTGTGCCGGGCCCGTGGAGGCCGGGGCCGGGAGGAGCACCCAGACGGAGTGACTTCTGGCCCTGAGCCACCCTGTGGGGGTGCAGGGTGGGGTGGGGGCCCACCTTCCCAATGGGGACACTGGGGCCAAGAGAGCTCGAGCCATTCACTCAGGGTCGCAGAGCTGGTAAACAGCAGCCCTGGGGCTTGAACCAGGTGAGTTGTACCTCAAAGACGGAACCATTAGGCCACACTCCCCCGACGCCGGCCCCAGGGCCCATCAGAAAACAGGTGAGCCTCCCCAGGCCTCCCAGACCCCTATTTCACTCCATTCTGGAGCTAACTGTGGGGCAGAAGGAGAGGCCACTAGGGCAAAGTGAACACTTTGCAAATTGTAGAGAGCCGCGAGGATGGAAGGAAACTTCACAATCATTCCCATCACTCTTCAGGGCCGGCCCCCCTGGATCAGACCCCTCCACTGTCTGGGAGACTCACTGGGACCTAAGAGCTTCCCTGGCCCTCAGTTGCTGTCTCTCCCTCCAGAGAAGCTGTATGAATAGCGGCCTCCCTCCGGCCAGGCCCCTACACCTGCCAGTCTCCAGGAAGGCCCACAGAACCTTGCAGAACAACTCACAAATGACCCCGAAGAGCACTTCACTCGCCCTTCCGTGGCAGATGAGGCAGCAGACCTGGGAGGGGAGGCCCAGGTTCCCGGCCCGAGCTCTGGGGGGCCCGGGGCTGGAAACTCCCCTCTGAGCCCCACTCCAGGGCGGGGCTGAGGCCATTCCTGACCCCTTCTGTTCGGTTCTGGGGGATGGGGGACGAGTGCTTCCAGGGGGGAAAGTGCTTGTCTTTTTTCCCCTCCGCCCTCAGTCTAGCTTGTCTCTGCCTGTGTACGTCTCTCTGTCTCTCGCTGTCTCTGTGTGTGTCTTTCTCTCCAAGCCCCCAGCCCGCAGGTACGGGCTTGCTTCCACCCGTGCGTGGCCCCCAAGACTGAGCACAGCTCCTCGGGTGTTTGCATCCAAGGTGCCCACAGCGCCCCGGCCTCCTCCCTTCCCCATGGCAGCCCCGGGGGTTGCTCTGGGCAGGGCGGTCCGCAGCTCGGGGGCGGCGGGCACGTTCTGTTCCCCGCTTTCGGGCGGGGACCGCAGGCTCCAGCCCCGGCGGCTGCCTGCTCCCGCCTGGCTGGCGGAGATGAGAGCCGGCTGCAGGGCTGGGAGCGAGGCAGCAGCACACAGAACAAACAGAATTTTTTTTTGCAACTAGAGGGGGAAGCACAGAGCTAAAAATAAAACGAAAAGATCAGTATCTGTCAGTCTGACAGCTGATTGGCTGCTCGGAGATGCATATAATTACCAGCAACTGGCGCTGGGTAGGCAAAGCCGGGAGAAACTGCTGAGACGAGGTTAGGATTTAACCTTTAAATTCTGGAGCCATCGGAAACCGAGGGGAGGACGACGGGTGTCGGTGCTAATGAGGCTGGGGGCGGGCGATGCGCGGTGGGCCTCCGAGTCCGGGGCAGGTCTCGGGGGTTCCCCGGGGAAGGCCCTGGGAGCCCTTGGCCCTGGCGGCCTCCGCCATCAGACTGGGAATGTCTCTGATTGGGTGGCCAGGAGGCGGTGGCCCTCCTCCCCGCCCAGCTGAGGGGTGTCGTCTTCCGCGAAGTTAGGGTCTCACCTGGGAGGCAAGGAGGGAGGGGGCTGCCTGAGGCCCTGGGCCCCTCCGGGACTGGCGCACCCCGTCTCACCCACATTCCTTCGCCTTTCCCTGCCCAGTGTGGATTTCCAAAACCCATCCCCGCTCCCCTCCTTCCTTCACCCCAAGTCACCCGTTCCCAGCTCTGTTTCTTGCCCCACCCAGGGAGGGCTTTTCCGCACCTCAGGCTTGTCCTAGGGCCCCCAGACAGACAAAAACTGCGGCAGTTGAGGGGTGTTGTGCTCTCCCTAAGCCTCAATTTCTTCATCTGTTAAAGGCAGGTGATGAAAATTGGGCCTACCTGGCTGCTGGTCAAATGCCAGGGCTGCTGTGGGCCCAGCCTTGCATGTTGACTCTCACCTGAGCCAGGAGTCAGGAGATCGGGGTTCTAGTCCAGCTGGGAATTGTCCCAGTGTGAATTGGGAGTAAGAGTTCCTGCCCTCTGACCTCTCCAGGTGGCAGCGGGGACCACGTGAGATGGCGTATGTGGCCTTGAGCGATAAACCTCACCTGTCGGGGGAGGTGGGCGAGGAAGCCTGCAGCTCCTGGAACCCACCACTTTTCTCTCCCAGGCCCTTGCCCAGGCTGTGGCCTCTGCCTGGAACCCCTTTTCTTCCCATCCGAGCCCTTCCCTTCAGTGCCTCTTCCTCTGGGAAGTCCTCTCTGGTGCCCAGCCCGTCCTCTTCTGCCCACTCTGGGTTTCGCACCCCATGCTTAGGCCCTGATTGCCTGCTTTGCACACAGGGCTGTGAGCTCCATGAGGGCAGGAACCACATGGCTGTTCACAGCTGTGTTGCCAGGGCCTGGCCTGGAGACCCTCAGGAAGTGAGACATCTGAATCCTCTGCTCTGTGACCCTGGCAGCCAGGTAGAGCCATCTTGGCCATGGCACCCAGGCTTGGAGCAAGCAGCAGCCTCATGGGTGGGGAACCACGTTTCCCCAGCACATCGGCAGGCCCTAAGGGGACATTCGCTTGGCTCTGCCCTCAGAGCACTGATGCCCGGGGGACACTGCCCTTTGTGTGTCCCATGTAAGAGAGGATGCAACCTTAGAGGGGGCAGGGGTAAACATGGTCCCAGGCCCTGTTGTCCCCTCCTAAGAAAGTTCCCAGTTCTGCCTGTCCATCCCTGGCCTTTTCCCTGTGCTGTCTGGGACAGTGGGTGGAGCTGCCGCTGAGCGGTGGGACCTAGAAAACACATACTGACCTATAGGAGGCACTGCCCAGAGCTCCTAACTGGGGTGGGGTGCAAAGGAAAGGTGGGTGAGGGAAGCAGAGAGAAATCATATTAGTAGCTCACACGTCAACAGTCTAGCTGTGTGCCTGCCTCTCTCATGCACTTCATGGGGATTATTTCCTAGAATTCCCACAAGAGCCCCTTGCAGGTGGTGCGATTGTTAGCTATAATTTGAAGATGAGGAAACTGAGGCACAGAGTAGTTAAGCAATGCACCCAGGAGCCCACAGCTAGGGAGGACAGAGGCTGGATCCAGCCCAGTCCCCTGTCTCCTGGGGCCAGGCCCAGCGCTCCCACCTCTCTGATAAGGATAAAAAGGAGGGAGCGGGAAGGGAGATATTCCAGAGGCAACTACCATGAGACCTCCCGGCAGAGAGGCTTGAAAACATCTTTTGTGTGTGGTACGCAAACCATTTCCCCTTTGGTGTCTCTTTGAAAGATTTTGGGAAGATTTAAACTTTTTTTCAATGATTTGGGGATGTCAGACTGGTGTTTTTTTGAGGGTGACACCGTGATGAGACTGGCCCCCAAGGCAGCCCCGTTTTACTCAGGTTATGGTAATAGAACTTCTGCAGCCTCAAAAGCAGCTTCCGCCGACTGAGCGCTCACCCCGGGGTCCGTGCTGGACTCAGCCTTGACTCGGATGCCCACCCTGAGCCCCACCCGAGAAAGGGATTATTTCATCCCTGCATTATTTCCTTAGAGCTGATGGCAGAATCTGCTCATCTCCAAATTCGCTGTCTCCCCGTTAGGAGTGAGCTTGGTGAGGGCTCCAATCTGGTCTCCCCCGTTCATTGCTGAGTCCCTGGCACCCAGCATCAGCCCCGCATGGAGCAGCTAGTCAATAAAGCTTTGCTGGACACATTTCAGATGAAGAGACTGAGGGTCAGAGAGGTCACATGGCTTGCTTGGAAGAAACATCAGATTTGTCTGGCTCAAGAGTCCACTTCTGGCTCCCCCCTCACACAGTTGCTTAAGAGACCCCCAGCCCAAGACAGCCTCAGAGCCTGGGTCTTCCCCCCCTCCGCCCATTCTCAGGCCCTTATACTAAAACCAGAGAGGCCTCTGAACTGCTGTCTGCCCCCCCAACCTTTTCCTTGCTTATCTGGGAATCACGCAAAAGTTGGCCAGAGTTAGCTCAGTCTCAGAGAAGCTGCATTCTTCTAGAGTCACTCGGTTTTGCGTGACCTGATTCAAATTTTCCATCTTTGTCACTTTGATTCCCACTCTGAGAAGTTTTCTCAGTACATATAACCTTACTATGTGATGACTGGCCTGGGTATTCATATGTGCACTTGTTACCTGTTGCTTATCTCCTGGGGGACCCCTGGTTCAGAGGGGTTTAAGCAGGTGTCCTGGTGAGACCGGGGTTATAATCAGAGACTCTCAGGGTTAGAGCTTGGCCCTGCCACTGAGTGGCCTTGGGAGTCTCATTTGACCTCTCTGAACCTTGGATTCCTCACTTGTGAAATGGGGACAGGTTGAGTTCCTGCATGGAAAGTGTCTTGCTTGATGTCTCGCCAAAAGACCAAAACTGCCGTCACTCACTGCCGGAGAGGCCCTGCACGTGGATATTAGAGTTTGCTGGGTTTTGTTTGTCCTGAGCGAATGTCCGTCCATGTACAGGCTGATGGATTTTGTAGGTGCAAGGTCCCTAACGCAATCAATCTCTCTCCTCAAAAGACCATGAGCATGCCTGGACTCAGAGAGCACCGTGTGTGGGGGGCTGGCGTGGGCACGTGTCCGCAGCTGGGACTGGCTTCTAGGGTTCTGGGCTCAGGCAGGAGGGCGGGGTCCCAGGAGGTCATCTCTCTCTCCTTACCCTGGAGCCTTTGGAATTTGGTTTCCAAATGTCCTGAATTCCTGTTCATTAATATGTGGCTCAGTACAGTGCTTGTCCCGGCAGCAGGAGCTTGGTTGGTGTTAGTCTGCTGGGGAATGGGATAAAGCAGAGAAATGTCAAGCTTTCCCTTAAAAACAAAAAACAAAAGCAAACCCTCACATCTCCCACCAATAACACACCATTGTTATCCCTGTACTTAAGACATGTTGTTGCCGGGCATGGTAGCTCACACTTGTAATCCCGACACTTTGGGAGGCTGAGGCGGGTGGGTCACCTGAGGTTGGGAGTTTGAGACCAGCCTGACCAACATGGAGAAACCTCGTCTCTACTAAAAATACAAAATTAGCCGGGCATGGTGGTGCATGCCTGTAATCCCAGCTGCTGGGGAGGCTGAGGCAGGAGAATGGCTGGAACCCGGGAGGTGGAGGTTGTGGTGAGCTGAGATCGCACCATTGCCCTCCAGCCTGGGCAACAAGAGCAAAACTCTGTAAGAAAAGAAAAGAAAGAAAGAAATGTTATTTTGGAAAAACATCTGCCTGAACTCCAGGCAGTACCAGCACCTTCCTTGTGTCCAGCGTTGCATGGGGAGTGCCAGACAGCAAGGCCCCACTTGTGGGCAGGTCTGTGCACTGTGACATGCCAGCCTCTTCACAGCCCAGGTCATCCTCACCTCCACCCCATGAGGTGCAACTAGATGAAACTGCCACTTCCCAGATAAGGAAGATGCACAGGGAGCTAAGAGGCCCGGCTGAAGGTCCCACAGTGAGAAAAGTCAGTAGCCCAGCTGTGGGCCTGAGCCCCAGGTGCTCCAGTGGGCAGGATGGAGTCCTGGTCTTCAGCAAGGCTCAGCTTGGTGGGGGAGACACATCCCCGACCCCAGACAGACTTTGAGTTCTGGCAGCTGGGCACTGGGGGAGCTTTCTGGGAACAAGCGTGAACCACACATGGTCCCTGCCCTGGAGTCGCTTACATCTCCCAGGAGAGGGGGATACATCCACAGACTGTGAACACATGGGCCTAAGAGGGGCCACCCAGGGCTGCAGAACTGATCCATCCCATACAAAATCACTGAAAAGACCCCCACAGACCTTGCTTAAAAATAGTCTTCTTGGCCAGGTGCAGTGGCTCACGCCTGTGATTCCAGCACTTTGAGAGGCTGAGGTGGGTGGATCACCTGAGGGCGGGAGTTCAAGACCAGCCTGGCCAACATGGGAAAACCCCGTCTCTACTAAAAATACAAAAAATTAGCCGGGTGTGGTGGCGGATGCCTGTAATCCCAGCTACTCGGGAGGCTGAGGCAGGAGAATCGCTTGAACCTAGGAGGCAGAGATTGCTTTGAGCTGAGATCACGCCGCTGCACTCCAGCCTGGGCACTAGAGCGAGACTCCGTCTCAAAAGTCTCCTGGCGGTGTGTCCGCATCAGAGTTCAGGTCGTTCATTGTGAATGGATGGTGCATCTTTTACATCTAAGTGGACTCCTTTTTAAGCCGTATTTGAGACCTAGTTGGCTTTCCCTTCCCAAGAATGTCCTGGCCCATGGTCCTGGAGACCTCTGAACCTGGGTGTCCAGCTACTAGACACGTAAAAACCATTTCTAAGTACCCCTTGTGGGCCAGGCTTATATCTGTAATCCCAACACTTAGGGAGGCTGAGGCAGGAGGATTACTTGAGCCCAGGAGTTTGAGACCAGCTTGGGCAACAGGGTGAGACCCAGTGTCTACAAAGAGTAAGATGATTAGTGGAACATGCTGGTGTGCACCTGTAGTCCCAGCTACTTGGAGGCTGAGGTAGGAAGATCACTTGAGCCTGGGAGGTTGAGGCTGCAGTGAGTCTTGATTGTGCCACTGTACTCCAGCCTGGACAACACAGTGAGATCCTGTCTCAAAAAAAAAAAAAAAAAAAAAAAAGAAGCCCTTGTGTCCCTCCCCTGCAATCCTGTGCTGTGCCCAGAGGTGGCTTCCAGTCCAGAATGGAGAAGACGCATTCCGGCCGTCATGGGCTCTGGGGACCCCACCTCCTCCAGGCTGCTGGCAGATGGAGAAAATGTGTCTGGGGCAGAGGCTACGAGCTGAAGTTGCCAGTTGATAGCAGCACCTGCTGTATCCATCTGACCTTCCAGCTCTCACCTTTAACCTTTGCACTCTCCTGACCAGTATCTCCAAGGCCTCCAATCTCCTGTGGGTTGTGGGGTGGAAGTGAGAGGGGTAGGGGAGGGAAGAGGTCTGCCTGGGAGGAGCCAGGGAAGCAGCTGGGGTGGAAGCCCCACAGAGACCCCACTCCCTGGAATGCTTCTGGGCTGGCCGCACCCCCACGCTTGGTGCAGGTTTCTACAAGAAATTCAAATGTGTCTGCGGCTGGATTCTGCCAGGCTCCCCTGAAACCTGCAAACAAGAGCCCACATGTCCTCGAGGACAGCTTGCAAGAGAACGGGGGACGAGGAGCATCTAGCGAAAACCCAGGATGAGTGCACGAGGTGCCCCTTCCCATCCTGGGCCTCACAGGGCAGCCTGTGGCCACCCCCATCGCCAGCAGGGCTGGGTGGGAGTGGGGAAACAAAGACTTTATTTTAAAGAAAAGATGGGCCAGGCATGGTGGCTCACGCCTGTAATCCCAGCACTTTCGGAGGCTGAGATGGGCGGATCATGAGGTCAGGAGTTCGAGACCAGCCTGGCCAACATGGTGAAACCCTGTCTCTACTAAAGATAAAAAAAAATTAGCCAGGCGTGGTAGCACATGCCTGTAATCCCAGCTACTTGGGAGGCTGAGGCAGGAGAATCGTTTGAATCCAGGAGGTGGAGGTTGCAGTGAACTGAGATCGCGCCATTATACTCCAGCCTGGGCAACAGGGTAAGACTCCGTCTCAAAAAAAAAAAAAAAAAAAAAAAAAAGCCAGGTGCGATGGCTCACGCCTGTAATCCCAGCACTTTTGGAGGCCAAGGTGGGAGAAACATTTGGGTTCAGGAGTTCGAGGCCAGCCCGGACAACATGGCGAAACCCTGTCTCTACTAAAAATACAAAAATTAGCCGGGTGTGGTGGCAGGCACCTGTAATCCCAGCTACTCAGGAGGCTGAGGCAGGAGAATCACCTGAACCTGGGAGGTGGAGGTTGCAGTGAGCAGAGATCGTGCCATTGCACTCCAGCATGGGGGACAAGAACAAGACTCTATCTCAAAAAAAAAAAAAAAAAAAAAAGGATAAGAGAGCAGGTGCCACCGCTGAAAAATAATCCCGACAAATGCCTTCCCTTCTGCACCTCAAATTTCTCAACTAATTCCTCTCTCTGTTCCCACTGGGAAAGTCCCTTCTTCTGTTATTTGCCCCAAGGCCCATGTTTGCCCAACGAGCAAACTGCATTTGTTAAGTAACATAAGCGTTCTCATTTTGGGTTACTGAAGGGCAGAGATGATGCCTGTTAACTCCCATCAGCTCCCAGCAGACTGAACAGGCACAGTGGGCTGACACCATCCCACCCAAAGCAAAGAAATGTGGTGGAGGAAGCCTGGGGCGGCCTGGCCTGCAGTAAAGGTGCAGTGACCGTCAGGGACTGGGAGAGGCTGTGAATAGCATGGAGCCAGTCCCCACACCAGAGAGCCTTTGAAGGCTTGCTCCACGGAACCAATTGGGAACTGCTGGGCTAAGCCAGTTGGATGGAGGTGCAGTTCTGACCATCCCCGTGGCCACTCCCACTTCCCCTGGACAGCAGGGTATCCAGGGACAACTCAGTGGCTGTGGGATCACCCTGACTCTGCCATTTAGTAGGCTGTCCTTGGGGAGATGACTTCCCCTCTCTGAGACCTTGGGTCCCAGGGTCTCCCTCCTGGGTTGGGAGTGCTCTGTAAGGGCCAAGTGTCTTTCATGTCGCTGTCACCTCTCTTTCAGGTCTCCTGACTTCCCACCATGTGATGCAATGATCATCTTGCTGGATTTCTGTGATGAGAGAGGGATGCTGTGGTATAGAATAAACATGGAAATGGGTCTTGGGAAATTCCTCTGGAGTCCCTCTGAGGAGTGGTCTGTGATGGGACAGGGGCCCTGGAAGGGGAGGGAGGAAGGCAGGTGTGGCCGCCCCTTAGGAGGCAGGCAGAGGGCACCCTGCAACCAGGGTGCATCCAAGCGTTCCCCAACCTTAATGTGCCTTGACTCGCTGTGGGGTTTCGTTCAGATGCAGGTTCTGAGGGAGCAGGCCTGGCCAGGGGCTCCCAGGTGAGATGGAGGCTGTGCCAGCTGGGACCACATTCTTTGTAGTAAGGGTGTTACGAATTCTTTTCACCCTCAGTGCCCACGCCTGAGCCTCTGGCTGGAGGGAAGTGGGCAGGCCACTTGATGTCTGCAGAGATGCCTCCAGAAAGGCCCGAGAGCCCCAGAATGCATGTGCCAGGAAACACGAAGCAACATGAGGGTAAAATTATGTTTTTAACAGAAGAAAAGACCTCTGCCTTGCAGCGTGTAGACAGATTTCTATTCCCACCCCCACGCAGCCCCAGGGACCTGAAAGAATGTGGTTTTCTGAGCACGGCCTTCCGTTGCTGAAGGGGGCGGATCCACTCTTAAAAAGTTGCTGTAAAATGAATTTTTCTATATCAAATGCTATTTTCCAGTGGCTTGTGTTTTAAGACCATGGTTTCATTCCCACTGAGAAATACCCAGCCTTGGTGTTCCGGATGCAGCAACCACGAAGGGGTGGGGGCTCAAGGGTGCAGCCCAACCCATGTGTCCCATGTGTCCTTGTGTGGCAGAGCTGATGGGAGCTGGCACTAGGGTTTGGGATTCAAAGTCTGAATCCCAAGTGCTCCCCAAATGGGCTGAGGTCCCTGGCCAGACCCTGGCCCAACACCACTCATTGTAAGATGGGAGTAGGCCGGGCGTGGTGGCTCACGCCTGTGATCCCAGCACTTTGGGAGGCCGAGGCCGAGGGCAGATCACGTGGTCAGGAGTTTGAGACCAGCCTGGCCAACATGGTGAAACCCCGTCTCTACTAAAAATACCAAAAAAAAAAGAAAAAAAAATTAGCTGGGCGTAGTGGCAGGTGCCTGTAATCCCAGCTACTTGGGAGGCTGAGGCAGGAGAATCGCTTGAACCTGGGAGGCAGAGGTTGCAGTGAGCCGAGATCGCGCCACTGCACTCCAGCCCAGGGAACAGTGCAAGACTGCGTCTCAAAATAATAATAATAATAATAATACTAATAATAAGATGGGAGGGGCCAGAGGTGGCCCGGGGCAAACCAGCCCCTCAGCCAGAAAAGGAGCCAGGAGCTAGGGGCCCATCATGGCGGAGCAGCCATCTCATCCTTATATCTTATGCTGTAGGTCAGACACTGGATATTATTATTATTATTATTATTTTTTGAGACAGAGTCTCTCTCTGTTGCCCAGGCTGGAGTGCAATGGCGCCATCTCGGCTCACTGCAACCTCTGCCTCCCAGGTTCAAGCGATTCTCCTGCTTCGGCCTCTTGAGTAGCTGGGATTACAGTCGCCTGCCACCACGCCCAGCTAATTTTTGTATTTTTAGTAGAGACAGGGTTTTGCAGCGTTGGCTGGGCTGGTCTCGATCTCCTGACCCCAAATGTTTCTCCCGCCTCAGGTTCTCAAAGTGCTGGGATTACAGACATGAGCCACCATGCCCGGTCAGACTCTGGATATTAGGCTGTGAGTATTTTTAGTTATTTTAATTTTTATTTATTTATTTAGAGACAAGATCTTGTTCCATTGTTCAAACTGGAGTGTAGTGGCATGATCTTATCTCACCGCAGCCTTTAATTTTAAAGATAGGGTCTCACTTTGTCACCCAGGAACCTCGAACTCCTGGGCTCAAGCAATCTTCCCACCTCAGCCTCCCAAGTAGCTTGGATGACAGGTATGTGCCACCATGCCTGGCTTTTGTTGTTTTTGTTAGAGAAGTGGTTTTACCATGTTGCCCAGCCAGGCTGGCCTCAAGTGATTCTCTTGCCTCAGTCTCCCAAAGTGCCTGGGATTACAGGCATGAGCCACTGGGCCTGGCCTATTTTTAGTTTTGTATTGGGCACAATTGTTTAAAGTATTCAAGGAATCAGTTGCCATGACAGTTTGGCTCTGTGTCCCAAAGCGTGCTCTGAGGCTCTGACACCAGAGTTCCACGGTCAAAGGCCCCTGAGAAGTGCTATGTTAAGGGAACAGCTTCCTCGCCTAGAGGGGTCTACTTTAATATGCCAAGGAGCATGGGAATCTTGAACAGGAGACTGGAATCCACAGTCTGCCTCCATTCAACTGATCTTGGTTTTCCAGAGCAAAGCCTGGGATCAGCATTCCAAGGAACACACTTTGGGAACATAGTCGGTGGAAGGCTCTCATAACTAAAAGGTCTCTCTGTTTCTGTATTAGTTCCTTACCTACTGTGGAGTACAAATTATCCCAAACTTAGTGGCTTAAAATAGGCATTTTAGTATCTCAGCTTCTGTGGGTCAGGAATTCAGATGTGGCTTAGCTGGCTGGTCTGTCTTAAGGTTGCCATCAAGATGTCAGCTGGGGCTGTGGTCATCTGAAGCCTTGACTGAGGATAGAGGATCTGTTTCCTAAATGGCTCACTGACATGGCTGACAAAGAGGCTTCAGCTCCATGCCATGCAGACTTCAGCAGGCTGCTTGAGTTTCCCCACAATATGGCGGCTGGCTTCTCAGAGTGAGTGATGCAAGAGAGTGAGACTGAAGCTGCAGTACCTTTTATGACCTAGCCTTGAACAGTACATGCAGTCATTTCCTCAGTATCCTATTGGTTATGCAGGCCAGCCTGATTGATTGTGGAAATGTGTGAATGCCAGGAGGTGCGAATTGTTTGGAGACCATGTTGGAGGCCAACTGCCTTAGTAACCATCACTTTGGTACCAGGACATGTAACTTGCCTCATTTGCACAGTTGCTTTTTCTTACCATTTTGTAGACATGAGTAACATTGGGAAGTGAACCTGTTAACCTGTGATATGAAGAGAAGGGGAAGAGACCAAAAATTTATCAGCCACACCAAGCCCTGGAAAACAGCGGTACTAATAACCCAGCCTCCCTTCCTGGGTGCTCACTCTGTACCAGGTACCTCATGGGCCTCAGGGTGCTATGCAACCCCTGTCCCCATGAGCAGGTTCCACTGATATTTTCAAGTCAGGCCACTCATGCCTATGAAATGCATGAAATGAGATTTTTTTGTGATGTTGGCTATGGCAACACACGTGGCTCTGCCTGATGGAAGCTGAGACAAAATTGGTAACCTGAGCGAACCCGTGTGGAGAAGATTTGAGCAGAGAGTAAGCTTAGGATGGATAAATGCCCACGATAAACAAATAATAAATAGATGAGATGAAATATTTATTTCATGTACAGGATGAGGATTAAATACGTTAACAAGATGAGGAGTCAGGGTGAGCCTGGGGAATCCCTGGTTTCACTGGAGCCTCCTGGCTGGGAGAAGTGTCACGTCTCCAGGCTGGGGCAGCGGCAGGGCTCCCTGGTTGGGAGGTCTAGTGGTGACACGTGGAACACCTGGTGGTGAGCCCCAGAATGCCTGTGTCCCAGGCCGACCCATACTGGTCATGAGCTGTGTGATCCAGGCAAGTGACTTCACGGACCTCAGTTTCCCATCTGCAAAATGGGATGATAACAGCAAACTTCACCACTTGTGATGAGGATTCGGAGAGTGAATCTTTGGCCCAGCACAAGGCCTGTAAGGTGTTTCACATGGCAGAGTTGGTGGCGGGTCACCAAGGTGGTGGTGTCCCAGGTTGAAGGAACCTTTCTAGAAATTCCATTGCCTGGAAGGATCCAGTGACACACAGTGGACCCTGAGCCACAAAACAGACTGTGGTAACTGCTGGGGCCTCCCGCAGGGTGATCCCCGAGGAGGCTGGGAGGAGCTCAGCCCTTTCTTCTGCTGGGGGCATGTGCAGGCATGGAGACTGCCCGGCCCCTTCCTGTCCTGTTGGGGCATGATTTTCAACAGAGGGAGGATTCTGGGCATGTTTTCCTTTGGAAGTCTCACCAGGCTGAGCAGGACTTAGAGGAACTCCGGCTACGTTTGCTGTCCCAACAAATAGACCAGGTATAGAGAGAACAGGCCCTGTGAGAGGTAGGGAAAGGAAGGGAGCTTTGGTGGGGAGATTTTGGGGTCTTTCCTGTGGGTACCGAGGTTCTGGGCAGCTGGGTGTGCTGGCCTCCTCTCTGGACATGCTCTGTGGGCATCTTGGCTGTAAATTCCAGGCCCCCCTGCCAGGGATTCCCTCTCTGAGTCTTCAACGAGAGTGAAACTCCATTTCAAAAATAAAATAAAATAAAAAAGCGAGGAGGCTGTGGGCCTAGATGATCTCTCAGCCCCTCCCAACTTTAACACTCTGATTAATTGCTGCATTTATTGAACTCCAGCTGTATGCAGGAGTGGTGTCTGGGAGATGGGAGGTGCTGACCCCAACCCAGGAGGAAGAACCAACCTGAGCCTGCAGATTTCTATGTGGCCTGGGATGGCAGAATGGCCATGTAGGCTGCAGGAGAGCCTAGTACCAGGCCCAGCTGCCATCTGAAACGTGTCCTGCTGGTGGCACTTTGGCGTGGTTCAGGTGTTCTGGTCTTAGAGTCCATTTGGTTTGTACATGAAAATATGTTAGCGGCCTCTTTCCAGTAAGGTTCTGTTTTTGTTTTTTGTTGTTGTTTGTTTTTGTTTTTAGACGAGTTTCGCTCTTGTTGCCCAAGCTGGAGTGCAATGGCATGATCTCTGCTCCCCGCAGCCTCTGCCTCCCAGGTTCAAGCGATTTTCCTGCCTCAGCCTCCCAAGTAGCTGGGATTACAGACATGTGCCACCACGCCTGGCTAATTTTGTATTTTTAGTAGAGACAGGGTTTCTCCATGTTGGTCAGGCTGGTCTTGAACTCCTGACCTCAGGTGATCCACCCGCCTCGGCCTCCCAAAGTGCTGGGATTACAGGTGTGAGCCACTGAGCCCAGGCTTTTTTTTTTTTTTTTTTTTTTTTTTTTGCGACGGAGTCTTGCACTGTTGCCCAGGCTGGAGTGCAGTGGCGCAATCTCGGCTCACTGCAACCTCCACCTCCTGGGTTCAAGCAATTCTCCTGCCTCAGCCTCCCAAGTAGCTGGGACTACAGGTGCGTGCCACCACACCAAGCTAATTTTTGTATTTTTAGTAGAGACGGGGTTTCACCATGTTGGCCAGGCTGGTCTCGATAGCCTGACCTCGTGATCCACCTGCCTCGGCCTCCCAAAGTGCTAGGATTACAGGCGTGAGCCACCGCGCTCAGCCCAAGGTTCTGTTTTTTATTCAAGGCGTCTTAGGGCTTAGAGCTAAACTTGACCATGTCATTCCACACATAAGCCCTTCCCTGGCTCCTCACTGACCTCAGATGACGGTTCATGCTGGGAGTGGCCTCAAGGCCTTCTGGGACCTGGCATGGGCCAAGCTCTCCCACCTGGGGCTTTCCTCCCCTTCCTCTCTCTCCTCCAGAAACACAGATTGAAACATGAGAACGTCTCTCTTCCCTCTAGAGCCTCACACTTGCTGCCTCCTCTGCCTGGAACTCTCTCCCTCTGCTCTCACAGGGTTCCCTAAGTGTCGCTTCCTCCAAGAAGCCCTCCCTGATGAGTTGAGCCACTTTAGTTTGTGCTCAGGCTCACCCTGCACGTCTTGGTTGCTCTCATCACTGTAATGATCTAAAACACACGTCTGCTCATGAGACCCGCATCCCACCCCCGATGCTGGGGCCGCTCTTGGATTTTCATGCCTGCTGCCAGCACCCAGGGGGAGCTCCGGAAATGTCTGCTGGGTGAGTCATGAACGCGCAACCTGTTGATCCAGGTTGGTAATCAGTGGCCGGGCCTGCCAGCAAATCACCTGACCCGGTCACCCAGAGGCTGGGAAGGACTGCCGCGGCTGCCGCCCAGATCCCTCCTTCCTCCCCCTGAAGGCTCTGCCTGGAAGGAGCGAAGGGGTTAAGTGTTTCTGGCGGCCTGGTGCTGTGTCTGCTGCAGTTCCCCCTTCCGGGGCTGCAGCAACCCGAGGTTGGCGAGGAATGTTTGCAATGCAGAGCTAGGAGGAGGGCGGGCTGCTAGAGGTGGGGGCCGAGGCAGGCCCGCGGCCAGGCTCCCTAGTTGAGCAATGGCCCTGCTGGTTCCTGTAACTCGGACCCCTCCCGCCTTTTCCCGCCCTGCCGGCTTCCTCCACCCCGGCTGGGCTGCCTGCCGGGCAGTGGGGGCGGCCTGCACTCAGCTGCAGAGGGAGGTGGAGGGACAGAGGCCCAGATAGCCTGAAGGTCAAGAGTGAAAGAGAGGGGTTCCCTGAGAGACAGAGCAGGGGTGCAGTTGGCTCAGCCACCCCAGCCCAGAGAAGCGGGGCCTTTTCCAAAGTCACACAGCAAGACACCAGTGAATTGGGCCACAGCTCTGGGTCTGGCCTCTTTAGTTCCCATAACTCTAGGCTGCAACTCCCACACACAGCAGGGAGGTCACATTGCCACTCAGCTGGGAAGCTTTGAACCACAGGGGACCCTCTCCCAACAGAAGGCAAAGCCCCCCCACCCCAATGCACTGGCTTGGCCTCTTCACCTAATCCCCAGGGTCTCAGAGAGGACAGTGCACCCACTGGTCTAGGTGCACCCCTCCATCCTGCCATTAACTCCCCACCACTTCCCACTGCCCACTGCCCGGCCAGGTCTTGGGGACCTTGGTCACCTCTGTTCCTCGCTTCCGGGAGTATGAAGTAAATGAATGAAGGCCAAACTTGAGCTGGTTCTTGAAAACCCTCTCTCCCCTCTTCCTCTGGGTCTTTTCAAGGAAGGACCAAACTGGCACGGTGGCTCATGCCTGTAATCCCAGCACTTTGGGAGGCTGAGGTGGGTGGATCGCCCGAGGTCAGGAGTTCGAGACCACCTTGGCTAACATAGTGAAACCCTGTTTCTACTAAAAATACAAAAAATTAGCTGGGCGTGTTGATGGGCACCTGTAATCCCAGCTACTCTGGAGGCTGAGGCAGGAGAATCGCTTGAACCCAGGAGTTGGAGGTTGCAGTGAGCTGAAATCACACCATTGCACTCCAGCGTGGGCAACAAGAGCAAAACTCCATCTCAAAAAAAAAAAAAAAAAAAAAAAGGAAGGACCTTCATGAGTACCAAATATTCACTTGGGCTCAGACGCAAAACTCAGCTCTTTCTCCACAAGCACCCCCCTCCTTTGGGGGGAAGCTGTGTTCCCTGACACTGTGGGATGAGCTCCTCCCTCTGCCGGCAGTATTTCCTCTCTGGGGGACCTCTGGGGAGGTGGCCTTGCAGTTGGGCACACCTGGCTTGCATCCCAGAGGCACCACCTTCAAGCTTCCTGGCTTTGCCACACCTCTCTGAGCCTCGGTTTCCTTATCTGTGCCATGGAATTCAGAGAGGCCCCAGTCTCACTAGGCTGAGGCTCAGGGCCAGTTGCCTTTTCCTGGCCCCACAGATGTATGGTCAGTTTGGGGGTATGCCCCCATCCCTGCTCTGGGCTTTGCCTAAGACAGGCTGTGGGCAGCCCTCAGAGGCGCCAGTTTGGCCACACCTGGCTGGAATCAGCGGGTGGGTGGGAGCACACAGCAGGGACCCAGTGCCTTCTAGAACACAGCTAGCAGTTCCCGTGAAAATCAAAACACCCCATTTTACAGGTAAGGAGGCTCTGGGAGGAGTGGCTTGCCACACTATGCAGATATAAAGAGGGATATTCACCAAGAAAAACATACCAATAACACCAAGGGCCCTCCTACACATTGTTCTACCACTATTTATTGAGCACTTACTACATGCCAGGCAATGAGCCAAGTGCTTTACAAGGCTGACCTATTTCAATCCAACAGCATACCGAAGAGGGAGGCATATTGATCCCCCTTTTACGGGAAACAGTGAGGTTGATGCATTTGCCCAAGATCACACAGCTCTTGGGGAGTGGAGCCTGACTTTGAATTTAGGCCGCCCGCCCCCAGAGCCTGTGTTCTTGGCCATCCTTCTTCGCACCTGGCTTAGAGACCCAGGCTCTGCATAGAGGGGCCCAGTGATCTTGGGTTAGTCCCTTAAGCCCCAGCCTAGCAAAAGGGAAAGGAAATATCTTCAGCACCCAGTGAGGGGGAGCTCAGAGAGGGGACCCCTTTTACTACAGGGCACACAGCCGGCTGAGCCAGGACCCACCACACTCAACTCCCCGGCCCCTGGCTCCCAGGAGGTGGCTCCTCCATGGCCGGGAAGGACCCCCACGGCTGCTCCCGCAGGCAGATGGACAGACGATGGCCCCCTCCCACGGCCTGCGGGCTGTGTGGCATCGCCACCTCCTCCCGAGCAGGCTGCCTTTAAGAAACCAGAAGATTGATTTCCTGGCAGGCTCTACGCCGAGGAGCCCGTCCAAATGGTTTGCATGTCTGCATTTTTTACTGCTCCGTTTAATATGTATGCAAATGCCGGCCGGCTGCGCCCGCCGCGCGGCTGCACAGTCACACGCGGCGCCCCATTAAAGCGGCCGTCCCGGGCGCGCGCCTCATTCGAGGCGACGGGCTCCGGGCCCTGATAGATGGGGTGCGGGGACGGAGACAAATGACGGCCTTTGTAATTTCTTTTCTCTCTTTTTCCGGGGGAGGGGGAACTCGCAGAGGAGATTTAAATATATGCAAAATTGTTTGCGGGCTGGGGGTGGGGCGGAAACCTGAAAGGGGCGGCGGGGGGAGGAGCTGGTGTGTTCCTGGTGGGAGTCGGGCTGGAGGCAGGAGGGGAGCCGGGCCCCCACAGTCACCTTCTGGCGGAGACAGCCGAGCGAGCCGCTCTGCTCCTGATAAGCAGGCCCGGTCCTCTGGGAAGCGTGGGCTTCAGCCGCAGAGAAAAGGAAAATGCTGGTTATTTTCGGCCCCGTTACACGCGGGAAGCCGGGGATGGTGGTTTTTCCCCCATCGCACCACCGCTTTCTTTTCTTGGGCTTCCAGGGCTTATAACTTAATTGGTACGGTGTCATTTAAGTTTCGCATTAGCCCATGAAGTGGGTCCCGGGTTCACACCCATTGTGCAGATGGGGAAACTGAGGTTTGCGGGAGTGAAGTCCCTTGGGGAGGGTTGCAGAGAGAGTGGGTGGGGATTGGGTCCCTCCAGAGCCCTGTCTTTGATCCCCACGGCCCTCTGCTGTCTCTCTGGCTCTCAGCGGTGGGGTGTCCGCGTGCCTGCCTGTGCCCCAAATCTGCCCGGGCTCGCCCCATACCACGAGCCAGCCCCCTCCTCCTGCCTGCCCCCACGCGCGCCAGGTGACAGGCCCACAGCCCAGCGAGCTGGGGGACTGAGCCTCACATTTTCCAAATATTGCTTAAGCCTAAAATCCGAAGTGCTGGTTTTAAAGGAATCTTTCCTAATTTGTCAGGATTTTAGGCCACATGGCAGCTGGGGGCAGAAACATTTCTGAGAGGAGGCTCCAGCCTCAGGAGAGACCCACCGTGGAGCAGACCACTCAGACCCACCGGAGACCCAGAGTTACACACTGCTGTGTCCGTGTGTGCGCGCCTGTGTCCGTGTGTGCTTGGGTGTGTCGTGTCATTGTGAGTGTGCTGGTGTGTGTGCACCAGTGGGAGTAGGGGAGTGTATATTAGTGCATGTGTGAGTTTCAGTGTGTATGTGTTAGTGTGTTACGGGAAAGGGGTCCTGATCCAGACCCCAAGAGAGGGTTCTTGGATCTCGCGCAAGAAATAATTCAGGATGAGTCCACAGTGAAAAGCAAAAGCAAGTTTATTAAGAAAGTACAAGGGATTGGGCGCGGTGGCTCGCACCTGTAATCCCAGCACTCTAGGAGGCCGAGGAGGGCAGATCAACTGAGGTCAGGAGTTTGAGACCAGCCTGGCCAACATATAGTGAAACCCTGTCTCTACTAAAAATACAAAAAAAAAAAAAAAAAAAAATTAGCTGGGTGTAGTGGCATATGCTTGTAGTCTCAGCTACTTGGGAAGCTGAGGCAGGAGAATCGCTTGAACCTGGGAGGCGGAGGTTGCAGTGAGCTGAGATCACGCTACTCCAGCCTGGGCAGAGCAAGACTCCATCTCAAAAAAAAAAAAAAAAAAAAAAAAGGGATAGCGGTAAAAAGACAGCTACTCCGTAGACAGAGTAGGATGTTCCTGAAAGTAAGAGGAGGAGCGAGGAACGCATCCACCCTAGGTACAATGCTTGTATATATGGGGAGATTTGCTCTGCTACAAGGGTTTGTGATAAAGGATTAATTTTCTTAATTACTATATTTTGCAAGAATCGATATTATTATCTTTAAAGCAAAATTAGGAATGCCTTTGTTCTTCAGATATGGCGATATCTGGACACTCCTAAGTCCGGGTCTGTTTTAGTAAACATTATTAATTTGTTCCCTTAACCATAAACCTCTAGGGGCTCGGAATACCCACCTTTCTGGTAATGCAGCCCAGCGGGTCCCAGCCTCGTTTTCCAGCCCTCACTCAAAATGGAGTCGCTCTGGTTCGAACGCCTCTGACAAGTGTGTACCTACGTGTCAGGGTGAGTATGGGGCTGTATGTACACACGTGTCACTGTGTACACGTGTCGGTGCGCATGTATGAATGTGTGTTGTCCTTGGCTGGCAGGCAGCTGGAGTGTGAATTTCCCTGAGGGTTTCCACTTCCCTGTGGTTCAGGCTGGGGCCGTCCCCGCTCTCCTGGCCCCAGAGCTGCCCCACTAGGCAGGGAAAGCCTCTGGAATGAGGGAACAGGATATGGCTCCATGAGGCCCCCACAAGCCAGAGGCACCCCTGAGCTTTGCATAGATGGGAAGGACTTGGATTGCTGGGGCCGGGCTGGAGCCTGGGAATCCTGAGCCGGAAGTGAGGGGTGCACACAGCTGTCTAGAGAAGCCCTCTGCGTGTGCGTGTGTGTGTCCCTCCAGATCTGTGCATGTTGAGTCACTCGGGGAAGTGGCTCTCCTCATGTAAATGTCTTCAGGATGAAGGGAGGTCCTTCTGGTGTCTGGACTTGAGCTTCTCTGGGGGCAGAACCTGGGCTCTGGGGGCTGCTATTTGGGAATCACCCTCCTTGCCGCCCCCTGGGCCAGTGCCCTGAGGACACTGGAGGGGTCCTTGAGCCCTAGTGGGGGGTAGGGTGTGTGTGTGTGTGTGAGAGAGAGCCAGAGAGAGTGTCTGTGAGCAGGGGTGTATGTAAATGTGTGTGAGGATGTGTATATGTGCATTGGTGTGAGTTGTGTGTGTGAGGTTGTGTTGGGGTGAGGGTGTGGGCGTGTGAGTTGGTGTGAGGGTGTGTGAGTTGGTGTGTGTGAGTTGTGAGGTTGCGTTGGGAGTGAGGGTGTGTGCATGTGAGTTGGTGTGTGAGTTGTGTATATGTGAGGTTGTGTTGGGTGGGGGCAAGGGTGTGTGCATGGGTCTGTGAGTTGTGTATGAGGGAGGATGTGTGCATGGGAGTTGGTGTGTGTGAGGGTGTGTGAGGGTGTGTGTGAAAGTGTGTGGGTGTGAGTTGGTGTGTGTGTTGTATATGTGTGAGGTTGTGTTGGGGTGAGGGTGTGTGTGTGAGTTGGTGTGTGAGTTGTGTATGTGTAAGGGTGTGAGTGTGAGTTGGTGTGTATTTGAGTTAGTGTGTGTTGGTGTGCATGCGAGTTGGTGTGTGTGAGTTGGTGTGTGTTAGTGTGAGTTGTATATGTGTGAGTTGGTGTGTGTGTTGGTATGAGTTGTGTATGTGAGTTGGTGTGTGTTAGTGTGAGTTGTGTATGTGTGAGTTGGTGTGTTGGTGTGAGTGACTTGTGTATGTGTGAGTTGGTATGCGTGTGAGTTGGTGTGTATGTGAGATGTGTGAGTTGGTGTGTATGCGAGTTGATGTGAGTTGTGTATGTGTGAGTTGGTGTGTATGAGTTGGTGTGTGAGTTGTGTATGTGTGAGTTGGTGTGTATGAGTTGGTGTGTGAGTTGTGTATGTGAGTTGGTATGAGTTGGTGTGAGTTGTGTATGTGTGAGTTGGTGTGTATGTGAGTTGGTGTGTAAGTGACTTGTGTATGTGTGTGTATTGGTGTACATGTGAGTTGAGTTGGTGTGTGAGTTGGCATGTGAGTTGGTGTGAATTATGTATGAGTTGGTGTGTGAATTGTGTATGTGTGAGTTGGTGTGTGAATTGTGTATGTGTGAGTTGGTGTGCATGTGAGTTGGTGTGTGAGTTCGTGTGTGAGTTGGCATGTGAGTTGGCACATATGTGAGTTGGTGTGTGAGTTGTGTATGTGTGAGCGCATATGAGTTGTGTGAGTTGGCATGTGAGTTGGTGTGAGTTATGTATGTGTGAGTTGGTGTGTGAGTTGTGTATGTGTGAGTTGGTGTGCATGTGAGTTGGTGTGTGTGTGAGTCCGTGTGTGAGTTGGCATGTGAGTTGGCACATATGTGAGTTGGTGTGTGAGTTGTGTATGTGTGTGTTGATGTGTATGTGAGTTGCTGTGCGTGTGAGTTGTGTGCGTGTGAGTTGGTGTGTGAGTTGTGTATGTGTGAATTGGTGTGTGTGTGAGTTGTGTGTGTGTGAGGGAGGGTGTGTTTGTGGACAGATGTGTGTGCGCCTGGATGTGCCGGACCGGTTGGGAGGGGCGGATGGACCGAGGCTCCGCGACAGGCATTTCCGAGCTCCCCTGGCAGATCTGGCTTAGGAGGAGCTGCAGGGACCAGCGCTGAGGGCCCTTCTGGCTGCCCTGGTCCGGGCCTTGGTGTCTTCCTGGTCTCATCTCTCTCTAGTCTCTGCAGTCCCCTGGGCTCTCCAGTCCCACAGGGGGCTCTCCCTTGGAAACCCGTGGGGAATGTCACCCGTGGGGAATGTCTCTGCCCACCCAAGCCTCCCCGGGGAACGGCAGACAGGATGGCCCCTCAGGCCGGCACCTCCCAGAACTCACGTCCCCACAGTGGCCCTGGGGTCCCCTCTGGCCTCACGCCCGCTCCTCTTCCTCTCTTTCAAGATTTGCCGGGTGCTGGGCCCCAGAAGCCAGCCCTCCTGACGTGTGGCGGCCGTCCTCACCGCTCCCTCCTTCCCTGCAGCATTCCCCAGCCCCCGGCCCACCCTCCTCCCACCCGCTTCCTGACCCAGGCTCCCGGGCCTTCCCCTCGTGGCCACCTAGCTGTGTGCTTTGTTTGGCTGCTGTCACCCCCAGGAAGGTGATCCCCGTGAGAACTCAAATAGCAGATGCTCATCTGGGACCCCCGCCTCCAGCCCCAGGGGAGGTTTCCTGGTCCTCACTGTGGCCGGGGCATGGCTCCTTCACCCCGGGGCTCACCCTCGGTGTCCGTGAAGTCCAGCCGACGGTGACCCTAAGTCCTCCCTCCACTCGCCTATGTTTGGGGATAGCCCATCCTTCCTGCAGGCCTTTGTCTTGGTGTCACCCTGCCTGAGCTGGCCCCAACCACAGTAGCAACAGTGATGCTGATGTGTGACTGCTGCCAGGAGCCTGCTCACATGACCGTGTGGAGAAAGTTCTTTCCCTGAGGACCATCTGGAGTGGACGCGTGCACTACCCCTCTCTGAATACACCCTCCCCACGAGGCCCTCTGGAGCATCCTGTAGAGCCAGCCCCTACCCAGAGACCCTGAGCCCAGAGAATGCGCTGGGTGGTGAGCCTGGGGACGAATGCAGAGCCCTAGGTCTCCTCTCCAGAAGTAAGTATGGGGTTTGTGTAAATTGCTTGGTCAGGAGGGCGGGACCTGGGGTCTTCACTAGGCTTCCCAAAAACTGGGTTGAGCACATAGTAGGTGCTCACTAAATAACTGTTGAAATAGATAAGCAAGGAGGCTGGGCGAGGTGGCTCACATCTGTAATCCCAGCACTCTGGGAGGCTGAGGCGGGCAGAGCACCTGAGGTCAGGAGTTCAGGACCAGCCTGGCCAACAGGTTTAGTGATGAAACCCCGTCTCTACTAAAAAAAAAAAAACCAAAAATTAGCTGGGCGCAGTGATGCACGCCTGTAACCCCAGCTGCTCAGGAGGCTGAGGCAGGAGAATCGCTTGAACTTGGGAGGCGGAGGTTGCGGTGAGCCAAAATCGTGACACTGCACTCCAGCTTGGGGGCAACAGAGCAAGACTTGTCTCAAAAAAAAAAATATATATATATATATGTATATGTGTATATATACACACACACACACATATATATATATGCAAGGGGATGGAAGGATGGACACAGGCATGGGTTTGGGCCACACAGTCTTGCTGGGCCTCCTGCCCATGGCCCTCCTGGGGTCCGGAACCTGGCAGAGGCTGAGGTTCCGGAGAAGTTGGGCCCCCAGCCTGTTCACTGGGGCACAGGTCACGCTGTAGACGCAGCCCCACTAGCTTGTTTAGGGGTCGAGGACTCCTACAACATCCCCGGGAGGGGGGTGGCACTGGGACCCTTATTTCCTCCTGTGGAAGCAGAACCAGGTGACCCTCGCCCCCCGGCTGGCTGTGGTGCTGTGTGTCACCCGGCTGGGTCAGGCCCTGACACCGAGCAGGGTTCACTGTGGCTCTTGAAGACCTTGTTGTTGGGGCTGAAACGCATCTGCACCTCCACCTGGGTCCTCCGTCCCTCAGGGTGGGTGTTTATTCCCAAGCAAGGGGTCACCCAGAGAGCAGCCCAAAACCTCCCTTGAGTCCTGAGGAAGGGGCAGCCAGAGGCTGGGCTGGGAGGAGGCGTGGCAGGCGTTGGGAGCAGCTGCTCCAAGTGCAGTGACCATATTTTTCTGAGCTGAAAAATGAGGACACAGGATGTAGCTGAGGGCTTTCTCAGGTTGGTTCACTTAATGAAGGGGAAAAAACCTTCCAAAGGTATGAAAGTTAAAGCTTATTTAGTTATGTGGGGAATAGCTTGTTTTTGTGGAAGGAACCTGAGTTTCCAAAATCAGGGGTTTTCTGGAAAGGAATAATTCCATTTGGCTAATATTTGGGGGGCACCTGGACCAACCTTGTCTTTAGTGGGAAGCAAAGCAGGCATGATCCTGGCCTCACAGAGTGACGTAGGGAGACGGACAGTATTCCAATAATTTCATGGTTCAGAGGTCTTTTAGGAGGTAACTGATGAAGAGGGAGCGCAGGATGGGGTGGGGAAAGCACATTCCAGGCAGGGAACAGCATATGCAAAGGCCCTGTGGCTGGAGGGAGAGCTTCGCGTTTGAGGGACAGGAGGGCAGCCCCGAATGTGACGAGCGAGAGGGAGAGGAGGATGGAGATGTGGGCAGGGGTCAGTCTGGGCGGTGGCCAGCAGCCATGAGAGTGTGATGGGCTGTCTCTGGCAGGCAGTGGGGGAGCCATGGATGGTTGGACACAGGCGTGACCTGGTCATCCTGGTGGATGTTGATGGTGATGAGGAGAAGGATGGGGTTGAGAATCGTAGGAGGTACTGAGTTCTTACCGCGTGCCAAGCACCATTTCACAGATCGAAGTGAGGGCTGGGGAGGGGAAGTGACTTATCCAGGTCACACCACTGGCAAATGGCAGAAATGGGACTCAGACCGCATCTGTCTGGCCACACAGTCCGCACGCTCGTCCTGCATGTCCTGTACACACTGTACACAGAGCTGCCCTTTGTCTGGATGCGGAAGCCAAGGGACATGCAGACGACCCTGTCACCTGCCTCCCTGTGGTGCTGACTCCTCTCTGCTCTGAGTTCCAGGCTGGGTGGGGACTGCAGGTCACAGGATTGGCCGGAGCTGGAAAAGCCCAGCTCAGTTCCTGCTGAGGCCCAGCAGGGGAAGGAGAGGTTGCAACATCGGCGGAGGCTGAGGTTCCGGAGAAGTTGGGCCCCCAGCCTGTTCACTGGGGCACAGGTCACACTGCAGACGCAGCCCCACTAGCTTGTTTGGGGCTCGAGGACTCCCACAACATCCCCGGGAGGGGGGTGGCACCGGGACCCTCATTTCCTCCTGTGGAAGCAGAACCAGGTGACTGCACTGCTGTAGACCCACCAGCGGCATTGAAAAAACCCTCACCAGGCTGGGCGAGGTGGCTCATGACTGTAACTCCAGCACTTTGGGAGGCCAAGGCAGGCAGATCAATTGAGGTCAGGAGTTCAAGACCAGCCTGGTCAACAAGGTGAAATCCCATCTCTACCCAAAATACAAAAACTAGTCCGGTGTGGTGGTATGCACCCGTAATCCCACTACTCAGGAGGCTGAGGCAGGAGAATCGCTTGAACCCGGGAGGCGGAGGTTGCAGTGAACCGAGATTGCGCCACTGCACTGCAGCCTGGGCGACAGAGTAAGACTCTGTCTCAAAAAAAAAAAAAAAAAAAAAAGAAAGAAAAGAAAAAAGAAAAAGCCCTTATCCCCTCCTTAATCATTAGGGAAATGCAGATGAAAACCCGGATGAGACGTCACCTCCCACCCATTAGGATGGCTACTATCAGGAACCAGAAAGAACAAGGGCTGGTGGGGAGGAGGTGGAGAAATTGGAACTCTCAAGCATTGCTGGTAGGAATGAAAATGGTGCAGCCGCTGTGGAAAACAGCATGGCAGTTCCTCAAAAAAAGTAAAAATAGAATTACCATATGATCTAGCATTTCCACTTCTGGGTATGTACCCAAACGCGTTGAAAGCAAGGCCTCGAAGACATATTCATGCTCCCATCTTCATAGCAACATCACTCACAATAGCCAGAAGGTGGAAGCAACTCAAGTGTCCTTGAATGCAGGAATAAACAAAATTTGATACATACGTACAATGGAATATTATTTAGCCATAAAAAGGAAATTCTGACACACGCTATAACATGGATGAACCTTGAAGACATTACGCTAAGTAAAATAGCCTGTCACAAAAGGACAAATACAATAGGATTCCACTTATGTGAGGCTCTAAAGAAGTCACATTCATAGAGACAGAGAGTGGAATGGTGATGGCCAGGGAGAAGGAGGAGTTAGTATTTCACGGGTACAGAGTTTAAGTTTTACAGGATGAAAAGAGTTCTGTGGGTGGATGGTGGTGACCGTTGCACAATAGCATGAATGTACTTAACACTACAGAACTACACACTTAAAAATGGTTAAGATGGCACATTTTATGTGTATTTTAAAAAATTTTTATTCTCAGTTCTCTTATGTTATTGACAGCTGGCTTTCTTTTAAGTTTTTTTTCTTTTTTCTTTTTTGAGACAGTGTCTCACTCTGTCACTCAGGCTGAAGTGTTGTGGAACCACCACAGCTCACTGCAGCCTTGAACTCCTGGGCTCAAGCGATCCTCCCACCTCAGCCTCCGGAGTAGCTACCACATCCAGCTAGTTTTTTACTTTTTTGTGGACACACGGTCTCACTATGTTGCTCAGGCTGGTCTAGAACTCCTGGCCTCAAGCCATCCTCCTGTCTGGGCCTCCCAAAGCGTGGGATTACAGGCGTGAACCAACTCCCGGCCTTAAGTTAGTTGCTTTTGTAAGAAATAAAAATACCAGGCGGTAATTGGCATTAGAGCAGTCAAAAATCTCAGATGCTAGTGTTCCTGGGCAAGTAACCTTGCCTCTCTGAAGCTCAGTTTTCTCATGGGGAAATGGGATCGTGATGGCACCTCCCTCCTGGAGCCACTGTGAGGGTTCCATGATGCCTCCGAGGTGCTCTTCCCAGCGGCCAATGTGCAGTGAGCACCCAGCTGCCCCTATAGGACTGGCAGGTCTTCCTTGAGCCTTTGGGGTTAGGGATTTAAGCAGCATAGGCCTTAGTCAGAGGAGAAAAAGTCCCTTACCCCACCATCCACATGGGGAAACGGGCCTAGAAGAGTCAAAGGACTTGCCAAGATCTCTCAGCATCTCCTGAACTGGAATGTGGTTTTCCAAGAGTCCCCTCAGGACCCGGGCCAGGCTTCACCTGTGCCTGGGTGTGCAGCTGTATTGGTCAGCAGGGCTCCCTCTGCTGTGGTAACAAATGAACCCCGCATCTGAGCGCCTTAAAATGGTCAAGGTTTGTTTCGCATCCGGCAAAGTCTGCTGTGTGTCCAGGCAATTCTTTTATTTTTTTTTTTTGGAGACAGAGTCTCTCTCTGTTGCCCAGGCTGGAGTGCAGTGGCACAATCTCAGCTCACTGCAGCCTCCGCCTCCCGGGTTCAAGCGATTCTCCTGCCTCGGCCTCCCGAGTAGCTGGGACTATAGGCGTGTGCCGTCACGCCCAGCTAATTGTTGTATTTTTAGTAGAGACGGGGTTTCACCATGTTGGCCAGGCTGGTCCCGAACCGCTGACTTCAAGTCATCTGCCCACCTCGGCCTCCCAAAGTGCTGGGATTACAGGTGTGAGCCACCGTGCCCAGCCTCCAGGTGATTCTTCGGGGTAACTGCCCTCGCTATGAAGGGAGGCTTAAAAATCCAGGCTGCCTCCTGCTGGTGGCACCCCCATCTCCAGATCACTGAGTCACGGGAAAGAGCATCACATCACTTCCTCCCACGGCTCACTAGCCGGGGGCCTCATGCAACCGCAAAGGTGGCGGGTCCTAAGAAAGAGACGAAAACTGGCTATAGGTGAGCACTAGATGTTTCTACTCACAGTCAGGGTGGGGTGTGAATCGAGCTGCCCCTTTCAAAATACAAATGAAGGCTTCCTGTTCTTTTTCTGTCCTTGAAGAATCCCGGGGACGGGCCCTAGCAGGCAGGCATTTTTTTTTTTGAGACGGATCTCGCTCTCTCGTCCAGGCTGGAGTGCGGTGGCATGATCTTGGCTCACTGCAACCTCCACCTCCCAGGTTCAAGCGATTCCCCTGCCTCAGCCTCCCAAGTAGCTGGTATTATAGACATGCACCACCACCCCCAGCTAATTTTTGTGTGTGTGTGTATGTGTGTGTGTGTGTGTGTGTATATATATATATTTATTATTATTATTATTTTTTTTTTTGTAGAGACCGGATTTTGCCATGTTGGCCAGGCTGGTCTTGAACTCCTGACCTCAAGTGATCCACCTGCCTCGGCCTCCCAAAGTGCAGGGATTACAGGTGTGAGCCACTGCACCCGGCCTCAGGCAGGTATTTTTACCAGCCGAATACTCTTGCACTGTGCACTCTTCGTGTTCATCATCAGTCCCCCGGATGGGTGTTTAAGGCATTTCCAAAGCTCTGTTATTAAAAACACGATGCAATGAGTTTCTTTCAGCATTTCCCCTTGTTGCCGTGTGAATGCGTCCGTGGTATAACTTCCTAAAAGTGGAATCGCTTGGTCAAAGGGTGGGTGCATTTAGCAACCTGATGGCTTTCCAGGAGACAAGTGCTGCCTCCCGGCCACGAGCTTTTAAGAAGAACTGTTGATGGAACCCGAGCTGGAGTCCCAGGGACCGGGGCGAGTTCTCCATCCCAGGGGATTTTCAGATGGGACACTGGGGAGAAGCTGCCCTGCCCATCTGAACTCTATGATCCCAGTACTAACACTGGTAGCTGTGCCATCCCCAGTATAGAGACAGCACCGTGCTCTTGGGAGGGTGAGTCATTGGCCCCCGGCTGCCCAGCAAACAGCATGTGACCCCCACTTCCCAGCCAGGCCTGGGTCCTCTTGGGTTCCGAGATCCCAGCCCCCTGCTGTGATCCTCAGGGATCCCTTCTTGACTGGCGTCTCCCAGAGGCACTTGTGTTCCCCCAGAGCTTGCTCTCCACAAGTTTCTGAAACTCATTGCTGCTGCTGGAGACTCCATTGGGTCTAGCTCTTGGCTGCTCTGGTTGTGCAATCACCCGTCTGCACGTTTTTCTTTCGTGCAGAGAAAGATCTGCCTCATCTTTCTGCAAGAGCATCTTGGTATTTATACACTTTTTGTCTTGATTTTACAATTTTTGGCTGGGCACGGTGGCTTACGCCTGTAATCCCAACACTTTGGGAGGCTGAGGAGGGTGGATCATGAGGTCAGGAGTTCAAGACCAGCCTGGCCAAGATGGTGAAACCCTGTCTCTACTAAAAATACAAAAATTAGCCTGGCGTGGTGGCGGGCACCTGTAATCCCAGCTACTCGGGAGGCTGAGACAGAGAATTGCTTGAACCCGGGAGGCGGAGGTTGCAGTGAGCTGAGATCACACCACTGTGCTCCAGCCTGGGCAACAGAGTGAGACTCCGGCTCGAGAAAAAAAAATTATTTCTTGGTTGGGCAATGTCACTGTTGTTTCTGAAAAAATACACCCTTATTGTACCATAAACTGATGAGTTGAAGCAACACTGGAAACTACAAGAAAGAAGGTAAAAGTCATCAACACGCTTCACCTGGAGATGACTCTGGTTAATGTCTAGGTGGACGTCCTTCTGCAGAGTGTACACATTTCGCCCCATCCCCTCTAATGACAATGAAAACCTCTCTGTTTCTTGCTGAAGGTGGGGTGTGTAAGTCACTGGAGTGGATCTGAGGGCCTGAAAATCTCCATCCCCTCCCCTCCCACAGCGTAAACAAACAGCCTCCCAGCACCCCTCCCGCACTGCCAGGTTGGAAGCCACCGCTCCAGCTCCAGGGAGCAAGGCTTGGTGCCCACTAAGCAGGTGCTAATGATTCCCCCACTCTCAAAGAAAGTTCCATTCACTCCCCAAGGTTCCACTCCCCTACCTTCCAGACACTCCAGTTTGTGTATTGAGTTCACACAAAGCCAAGTTGGCCTCTGTCTGCTTTGTGGTTCTATCTCTAACCCCCACCCACCATCAGCAACAATCGACTTTTTCTAAGCGCAGAGAGGGCCCCAGCTTGGGCCTGGGTGGTCCCATTTGCCTGTGCCTCTCTGGTGACATAGATGGTTGGTTGACCCCTGGGATGTCAGGGGCTTCCTGGGAGGACCTTCGCCTGCAGGGAAGAAAGAGCCTGGCCTTGCTTCTTAGGGAGGAGGCATGACCCCAGGTGGCAGTGTGGTGGTGGCGGCTCTAGGACCCAACTGGACGCAGGCGTAGACATTTCTGTAAGGACAACGGGCACCTGGAACCCACACAACCTTGCTCTGGGGCCTCTTGGAGGCACAGGGCTCTGGCAAATTGGGACATCATCCACCGGGGAGTGGCAGATGTTGCTGTTATTCCCAGTGAGGGGTGGCAGGGGTGAGTGGTGGAGGGTGTGGCAGTTTCCATGGCAGGGGCAGCTTTGCCCTGCGTGGCACCACGGTGGCCTCCCTTAGTCGTTCCTCAGACCTGTTCCTGAGCATTTGTGAGTCTTCCTGGTGCCCGAAGAAACCCTGGGGGCGGCTTGACATGAAACAAGAGCAGGAAGGGGGCAAGAGCCTGTGACACTGTCAGGGTGACCCTGTGGCTTCTTCAGGGGAGGGTGGGTGGTGCAGAAGCTTGGGTTTTGGAATCACACGGACTGGAGAGTGTCCTAGTTGAGTCTTATGCTGACTGGCTGTGTGACCTTGGGCAAGTCACTTAAGGTCTCTGAGCCCCCGTTTCCTCATCCACCCTAGAGGCACAGTAGTGCCCACGTGGTGGGCTTGGATGAAAGACAGAACTCGATGCCCAGGCCTCCTCACCTGGCAGCGCTGCTTTGCTCTGTCTGCTTGCCCTGGCGGTGGTGGCCTGGGAAGAGCTGAGTTACAGAAGTTGGGGGACTTCAGGAAGCCACAGTTCTCATCCCAGTGGCTCCTAAGTCTTGACAGCAGTGGGGTCCAAGCTATATTTCACACCCGCCTTCCCATTGCAATCTTGTTCTTCTTTCTTCTTGAAATGAATCTGACCCAAGTGATCAATACAGAAGGATGCAGGGGTAGGGGCTGTGAGACCTCACCTGGACCTCTCCATTCCCCACCAGATGCCCCCTAGGGTCTATGGAACAGTTGGAAAAACCCCTGGCCCCAAGAGGTGCTGGCGGCAGATAAACGGGGAGGGGGGGCGGTAAGGGGAGTCGTTTTCCAATGCATTCCTCACTGCTCTGGCTTAGAAGAAAGACGCGTCTCGTCTCGGGTGCTTCTGAGGGTCCTGCAGGGCCTGAGGTTGCTAAGCCAGGCGGCCCACCTTTCCCCCTTCCCATAAGACATGAAGACGCCCCTCCGTGTGGCACAGGGCAGAGCTGGCCAGAGCCCTGCTCAGTGTGTCTGGCCACTTGACCTGGGACAAGCCCTCCTTCTGAGCCTCTGCTGTATGGGGCAACCGTAGGGCCCTGGTTCGGAGCCCGGTGTGGGGAGGATAGGAGGAGCTGTCAGGCCCCATGCACTGCCCCTGGTGCCAGTCAGTACCTGATCAGTGGTGCTTGCCATTCTTTTTTCTTTTTTTTTTTTTGAGACAGGGCCTCCCTCTGTCACCCAGGCTGGTGTGCAGTGGCACAATCTCAGCTCACTCTGTAGCCTCGACCTCCTGGGCTCAAGCGATCCTATGTACAGGGCGTGGCAGTTTGCAGGGGCCAGGATCCTGGTCCTTGGTCAAGGCGAGGGAGGCCTCACCGGGCCCAGTTTGCAGATAAGGAAACTGAGGCTCCTTGAAGGCAGGCCACAGACTGCTAGTGGGTGTGGCCCCTTGACCTGACAGGCTATGACTAGGGAAGGGGCACGCTTTCCCCCGCTCCTCGCCCCAGTTTTAGGAACCCCCGCGGCATCCTTGTATATATATATATGTATATACGTATATTTCTTCCTCAGCTCCTCCTTTGTGTCTGAGGCGCTGTGGGGACTGTCAGAGGGGCCTGGAAACCTCCCAAACTCTGGCAAAGATGCCCAAACAGAGCAAGTTTGGCCCTAGAGAGCAGGGAACCAATCCCGGCCCCATCCCACAGAGGGGGAAACCGAGACTCAGCCAGCTGAGGGGCTAGTCCAGGCCCCCTAGGAAGCCGAGGTGGCCTCAGCCTCCAGGCCAGGGCTTCCTAGGACTGCAGTCCTCTCCTGCCCCTCTTCAGCCCCGCCTTCCCCGCAACCCCAGCATCCCCTGTCCTCTGGAGGAAGATTTCCGTGGTCCCGGTTGGGGGTGCCAAACTGCCAGCGACAACAGCGTTTTTTAAATCCTAGAGTCGCTGACTCGTGTGATTATTCTTATTTAAGGCAGGGAAGGTACTGGGAGTGGGGAGCCGGTCACCTCTGGGTGGGGGGCACCTCCGGGTGAGGGCGGCCCCTCCTGTCTGCCTTGTGCCCAGCTCCAACCTGGGGAGGGGGAGGAGAGGGGAAGCAGGAGGAGGAAAGGGGGGGAGGGGGATGGGAGAGGATGAATTAGGAGGATGGAGAAGGGGGAGGAAAAGGAAGGGGGAAGAGGGGGCAGAAGAGGGCGGAAGAGGAAGGGAAGAGGGGGCTGGGGTAAGGGGAGAAGAGGGTAGGAGGGGAGAAGGGGCAGGAGGAGAGGATTAGGGAGGGAGATGAGAGGGGAAGAGGAGGCTAGGGAGGGCGTGGGGTGGAGGGGGTGAGGAAAGGGCTAGGGGAGGAGGATGGGGAGGAAGATGAGGGGAGCACAGAAAAGAACCCCCCCGCCCCCGCCTTGGTGGCTCCCTAAGCAGATAGGAGATACATAATTTACTACGGAAATGCAAAAAGAATTGGGAAACTCTCAATTTATAAATATTTATTTTTACAAGTTCGCCCCTCCCGGCTCCCCCTTGCTGGCCCTGGTCTTTTCTCTCTGGGGCCCTCGGGGCGCAGGTCCCTCCTCTCCGGCTCCCACTCTGGCCCCTCTTCCCCTCCCCGCCTTCCTTCTGCAGTCCCTTCCCCCTCGGGCGGTCTCTGTCTCCCCCAGGTCCTCTCCTTCCTCTCTCCCGCCTGTGTCTCTCCCCCTAGTGCGTCTCTGTCTCTGTCTCTCTTTGTGGCGGGACGGGGGCGATTTTTGAGTCTCCCCCGCCGTGGGTTTCTGTCTCTCTGGCTGTCTCCCCCATCTCTCCATCTGCGTCCTCCCACTTGCCCCGCGCCCCCCGTCTCTCACACCCGAGGACCCCAGCTCCCGCCAGAGGGTCCGGGGGCGGCAAGAGCCCCCGTAGGCTCCCGGGGGATGGGGGGAGGGGTCGTTTCCCTGGCAACAGCCGGTCGGCGGGGCGGGGCGGGAATTGGGTTGAGCCCCGCCCCTGCCCCGCCCCCTCGCCCTGGCCGCGGGTTGGGGGCGCCTGGGTGAGGCTTCCGAAGCACGTGGACCGGGCCGTGGGGGCGGGAGGGGGCTCCCTGGGAGGCCGGCCCGGAGGAGGGGCGGGCAGGTAATCAGCCAATCAGTTAATCAATCGGCGGGTCAATCCATCAATCACAGGCCCCCAGAGCGGCTGGGGTTGAGCGCTCAGGGTGTGGAAAGAGCTGAGTTCTAATCCCTGCTCGGCCTCTTCCTGGCCGTGTGGCCCCCAAGCCCGGAAGCCCCTGCACAGCGCCGAGCCTCGGGGTCCCCTCTGCGCAGTGGGGCTGTGGCAGCACCTGCCTGCGGGGCTGACAGTCCTTCCTGGTGGCCTGGTAGTCCCTGTCCACCCCTCCACCTCACGGATGGGAAACGGGAGCTGCTGAGAGGGGAAGTGGCCGGTGGGCACAGAAGGGATGGAGCGGGGAGGGGCACCAGCCATTTCACAAGCTCGGCTGCATCTGCTGGCCCAGGCCGTTTTTTTTTTGTGAGCGGGGCCTGCGCTGTCCCCATCCTTGGCAGCACCTAGCTCAGTGCCCGACCTGCACAGGTCCTGGCTTCAGGTGGGAGAACCCGAAATGCCCTTTTGATCGCTCCTCCCGGTCCCTCTCCCCTCCTGGGGTGGGGAACTGAGTCCGGGAGAGGCCAGATGGATGCAGGGTTGCTTGGCTAGACCCGTGCCGGCCCCTCCTCTTAAGCCATCCCTAGGCCTGACACATGAGCTGGGGTGGGGCGGTTGTTTGTTAGTGAAGGAGGAGGCCTCAGGCAGCGTCTGCAGGGTCAGCAGCTGGAAGGGTCTCTAGATGCTTCCTGCAACTCAAAGCCAGTTGTTTGTAACCAACACGCAGGTCTGCTCAGCCTTCTAACCAGCACCTCTCCCAGCCCTGTCCCTCCCTCCCTCCCAAGCGGGCTGGGGGCTGGAGTGGAGGCTGATGAAGGGGCTGGTGGGAGGGCCCTCTCCAGGAGGGACTGGGGAGTCACAGGGAAGGTGGCTATTTATAATTTCAGCAGCCCCTTTAAGCCCGGGCTCCAGGCCTGCTGCCAGGCCGGTTCTGTTTGAAGCTCCCAGCTCTAATCCTGCTGCAGTCCTGCTCTCAAATCCAGATCCTTTGGCTGCCTCCCATGCAGGGAACAAGCCCGGCCTGCGGAGCTCTCCCAAGGCTGGGGACAGCTGCAGGGCTACTCCCTCACTGTCCCCAGCCTCCTATGCTGGGCAAGCACATCACACACACACACACACACACACACACACACACACACACACACACACATTTCCCTGTGCTACAAACAACAAATTCATCCTTTTTTATTTTTTTGTAGAGACAGGGGTCTCACTATGTTGCCCAGGCTGGTCTCAAACTCCTGGCCTCAAGCCATCCTACTGCCTTGGCCTCCCAGAGTGCTGGGATTGCAGGCATGAGCCAATGTGCCCGGCCTACAAACGTGCTTTTCATAGACTGGCATTTCATGTCTGTGGCCTGTGGGCCCCAATCCCAAGGCCTGCCCTGCCCTCTGCGGGAAGGATGTTTTCAGAACTTTGTGGCCCTCCCCAAAGGTTCTAGGTTCTATGCCCCACCTCCTTAGAGCCCCAGGGCCCCCAAGTGTGTTCAGAACCCGAACCAGCCTAGGAACTGACAGGAAGAAAGAGTGGAAGTTGTGGTGGGGAGGGGTTGTCGGGTCTTGAAGGAGGGGAGTTGGTTCAGATGCCCAGGGCAGCCCTGTCCCGTCGGGTCCGCCCAGCGGCCTCTGCCCATTCCCATGCTGGGCTCTGTGCCCGGGCTCTCCGTGTCTTACCTGCCCCTGGTGGACGTGTTCTTACTCCCATTTTACAGATGGGGAAGGTGAGGCTGGGAGTATAGGTAACACACCCAAGGTCCCCCAGCTAGTGAGAAGAAGGGTGGGGTTTGAGCCAAACTCTCTGGGGCTCTATGGGTCAGGCTGTCCCCCACTTCTGCACTGGCAGTGTGGGTACTTGGCAACATCCTGCCAGCTTTTCCCTGCTGCTGGTCTGGGGCTTCCACAAGGCCTTCTGGGTGGCAGGGTGGCTTGCGTCTCTGTGTGGCACACTATGGTGTCCAGTCCACATCCCTGGCTGACCGCATGTACTGGGGAGAAAGGAAAGAATAGAGACGCAGGGGAGGCCCCTCGGTCCAGCTGCACTGTTGGTAACGAGGGTCTCAGAGCAGACCCAGAGATCAGGCTGTGGAGCATCTCAGGCAGCTCTAGGGGAAGGGAAGGCATAGAAAAGACTAGAGGGGTCAGTGAGGACCAGGCCCCGAGACTCAGGGAGCCCCATGTCAGACCAGGCACCAGGAAGGGAGTTGAGGCCAGGGATTCTGCTCCAGAACTAGCTGTGTGACCTTAGGTAAGGCCCTTTACCTCTCTGGGCCTCAGTAAAAATAAAGAGGCTGGCCAGGTAAGTGGCTCATGCCTGTAATCTCAGCACTTTGGGAGGCCAAGGCGGGTAGACCACCTGAGGTCGGGAGTTCGAGACCAGCCTGACCAACATGGAGAAAACCCGTCTTTACTAAAAATACAAAAATTAGCCGGGCATGTGGTGGGCACCTGTAATCCCAGCTACTCAGGAGAATCGCTTGAACATGGGAGGCAGGGGTTGTGGTGAGACGAGATCGTGCCATTGCACTCCAGTCTGGGCAACAAGAGTGAAACTCCGTCTCAAAATAAATACATAAATACAGTGGCTCAGTTCTTTAATTTCTGAGAAGGCTTCCAAGTGGAACAGTTCAGAATTCTCTGAATGTTTTATTTTCCACCGAACTTCTCTTGAGCACCAGCAATGTCACAAATGCTGTGCTTAGGTGCAGCGAGCGGGAAGCTACAGGAGACCCCCCCACTCTCGGGGGGATGCGCACTGGGTCCTGGGGGAGCTGAAGTGCAAACGACCCACTGCCTGCACCAGGCCATGTGCTGCTGGAGGCATAGAGCAGCTAATATTGGCTGCCATCTACTCCGCACCTGCTGTATGCTTTATCCTGTTATTGAATCTGCACAACAACCTCATGCAGTAGTTACCATTATTCTTCCCATTTTACAGATTAGGAAACTGAAACCCAAAGAACTAAATGCCTGTCTGAATTCTTTCTCGCTCTGTTGCCCAGGTTGGAGTGCCATGGTGTGGTCATAGCCCACTGAAGCCTCAAACCTCTGGGCTGAAGCCATCCTTCCGCCTCAGCCTCCCAAGTAGCTGGGACCATAGGTGCATGGCACTGTGCCTGGCACTGTCTGAATGCATACAGCTGGTAAGTGTGAACCCAGGCAGATCCCAAATGGTAGCTGTCTTGACGGTTGTTAGAAAAGGGCTTCAAAGTGGAGACTTTCTATGATCTTCCCTTCCCAAGTGGAAAGGGAGGCAGAAGGATGCTCCAGGCGCACCCCAAACAGCAGTTATCTGCTGCCATGTGACAAGCCACCCCAAACACAGTGGCTCAAAATAATCATGTATTGGACTCTCTTATGATTCTGGGGTTGACTGGGCTCAGCAAGGCGGTTCATGCTTGGACTCTCTCCTGCAGGTGCAGTCAGAGAATAGCAGGAGCTGGAGTCATCTAAAGGCTCCACTGGGCTGGGTGCCCAAAACAGCCTCATCGTGGGGCTCATATTCTCTCCTAGTGTATCCCAGATTTCTTATATTACAGCTCAGGGCTCCAAGAGGCAGGAGGCCTCTGTCCCGTGTCACTTCCACAATCCTCCACTGATCAAAGCGGTCATGTAGCCTACTCAGATTGAAGGCAAGGGGCATAGACCCTACCTCTTAATGATGGGGGTATCGAGGAATTTGTAGCCACGTTTAATCCACCACAGATGCTAATACATATTTCATGGCAAAAATGGAGGTTCATGATTAAATACATTGCGGGAAAGGCAGGATTAAACAAAAGTGTTCTTTCCTGCAGGGCTTCTCAGAGCGTTTGCAGATGTGGACAGTTGGTCTCCAGCCTAGGAAAGGAGTTTGCACAATTTCCCAAACGGATTTTATGAACTGATTTTGGTTTGGCTGCTAGGAGGTCCTATCTGCAGTGGGGGCTGCTGGACCTGGGAGGCTGGGGTGCTGAGGCTCCTCTGCACACTCCACTTTGGGTGACATTGTTCTAGAACCTCCAGGTCCAGCTTCCAGAGGACCATGAGTGGGTATGATAAGGTTTGAAGTGGGGCCGGGCATGGTGGCTCACGCCTGTAACCCCAGCACTTTGGGAGGCCGAGGCGGGCAGACTGCCTGAGCTTAGAAGTTCAAGACCAGCCTGGGCAACACAGTGAAATCCCGTCTCTACTAAAATACAAAAAATTAGCTGGGCATGGTCACGTGCTCCTGTAGTCCCAGCTACTTGGGAGGGTGAGGCAGGAGAATTGCTTGAATCCGGGAGGTAGAGGTTGCAGTGAGCCGAGATCATGCCACTGCACTCCAGCCTGGGCGACAGAGCAAGACTCCATCTCAAAAAAAGAAAAGAAAAGAAAACGAAAGAAAAAAGATAAGGTATGAAGTGGAGTTCATCTCCGGCGGCTCCCACCTTCCCAGGCATCAGGGTGTGTAGGGGAACTGGCCAGATCTGCCAGCCAGGGCCACCTTCCCAAGCAGGCAGGGTCAGGTGGCACCACTTCAGGTGACCAGAGCTTCTGACCGCGTAGCCCTCTCTCTTCTTCCCTGCTGGCCCTGAGAAAAGGGCTTCCGCCCTCCAGCCTCCTGGCACTCCCTTCTGTCTGGGCAGAGTGGGAGGTGGATGGGGGCAGGAGCAGGGGCCTTGCTGCCTGACTGTGTGACCACGCCCCAGTGCCCGCCCCAGGAGAGTCTTGGTTTCCCACTCACTCCCATGGGGATGGTGAAGACACCTCTCACCAGTTGAGCGTGAGAACACTTTGCAAGAGAGTAGCTGGTCTTTCCCGGACATCTACTGGGTAGGCAGGCCCTGTGCCCAGCACATTCCAAGCACTGCTCATGTCATCCTCTCTGGGTCTCAGCATCCTCATCTGTAAAATGGGATGCCAATAGCACCTACTGCATAACATTCAATGAGGAGCAAACCGGGTAATGGGAGTGGAATTAGGAGACAGAGACCCAAGCCCACTCAGCCTAAAGGTCTCAGCCACAAAGGTCTGTGCGCACCCTGGTCCTGGCTCCTGGCTGAGCGGGACCCAGTGTGCAGTGCTGCGGTTGTTGGCCATGTCTGCTGCGTGTGGCTGAGTCCGGGCACAGTGTATGCCCATGTGCCACTGTGCAGGGCAGGCTGTCTGCGTGTGGCCCTTCCCCAGCGAGCAGGGCAGCACTGCCTGTGAATGCCACAGTTTGGTTTGTGCCCCCACCCCCTGTGGGGCCCTTCCCCCTCCGTCTCCCCACTGGCACCATCCCCCAGGAGGCCATGTCCCCAGGCTTGACGTCTCCGAACAGAGGCAGGCAGGGGAGAGCTGGTTACCTGAGAGCAATAATCAGGAAGGACCCTGCCACCACCCTCCTCCCCAGCCTGGACCAGTGACGCAGCCCTGGGAACAGTCTCTGAGGCTTTCAGATGGATCCCACACCAGCTGTGTGTCCTTGGGCATGTGACACCAGGCCTGTTTCCCCCTCTGAAAATGGCCCCTGTGATGTTTCTGCCTCTCAGGGCTGGAAGGAGGATTCCGGGATGTGCTGTCTCCACCGCTGCCTTGTGGTGCAGCTCCAGCAGCCTCCACCCATCTGGGATTCCAGCCAGAGCCCTGGGGTGGGGGGACGGGGTTGCAGACACAGTGGCAGGGCCCAGGTGGGAGCACCAAGCTTCCAGGTGAGAGGGCTGAGGCTGGGCGTGGTCAATCCAGGGCACCTGCAGAGTAGGGGTCCTTGGGCTGGTTTTCTTTTCTTTTTTTTTGAGACAGAGTCTCGCTTTGTTGCCCAGGCTGGAGTGCAGTGGCAGGTTCTCAGCTCACTGCACCCTCCGCCTCCTGGGTTCAAGCGATTCTCCTGCCTCAACCTCCCGAGTAGCTGGGATAACAGGCACGCACCACCACACCCAGCTAATTTTTGTACTTTTAATAGAGACAGGGTTTCACCTTGTTGGTCAGGCTGGTCTTGAACTTCTGACCTCAAGTGATCCACCTGCCTCAGGCTCCCAAAGTGCTGAGATTACAGATGTGAGCCACTGAGCCCGGCCCTTGGGCTGGTTTTCTAAACCAGCCCCCCAGCACTGCCCACAAACATCCCCACAGAGCCAGGGCGCCCCTGAGTTCCACCTTCCATCCTGGGAATTGTCGCCCATAGGTGGCCACAGCCATCCTGCTTCCTCTACCTCTTTCCCCTCCCACACCCTGCAGCCACTCGTCTTCCACAAGAAAGGGTACATCTGCCCACTTCTCCCAGTGCAGGACCCCCCCGCTGCTCTTCCCTCCCCTGCCTGGAGTGCTGCTCCAGACTCTTCCCAGGCCCGGGCTGCAGCATGGCTCTTGACGGCCGTACCCCACACAGGGGCTGTGGGTGTGATGAAGTGTCTCCCCCAGCTCACGGCCCTGCAGGGGCGTAAGTCCCCCTTACAGAGTCAGCTCTATCCCTCGACTCTGAAGGCTGCAGGGGCACGGTTCCTGCCCACTCCTGCAGGCTCACACCTCTCCACCCCCACCTCTGCTCCAGCCAGAGGAAGTGACTTTCCAGGCCTCTGGGCCCTTGCACATGCTGTCCCTGCTGCCTGAAATGCTCCCCGTTGTCATCAGATCAGCTGTTCATTCTTTAGGACTCAGCCTGGGCTTCCCCTCCTCCAGAGAGCTCCCGACCCCTCCCAAATTCTCCCATAAGTCCCAAGGCTCTGTCACCAGGCTCTTGATACGTGTCTGTCACCCCCATGAGACTGTCCAGGAGGGGTCCGTGTCTAGTTTGTCTCTAATCCTCTAGCTTGGCCCAAGGCCTGGTTGGGAGGTGGGTCTCCAGTGTGGAAGGATGGCCCAGTCCCCTCATCCCGCACCTGTGCCTCGGCCATGCCTCCCCAGGTGCCTTCACCTCCCCACCCGCCTTTCTCTGCAGCGTAGCATCGTGGTAAGAACACCCGCCCTGACATCACACAGACCTGCATCCACGTCCCAGCTGAGCCTCAGTTCTCACATCTGCAAAATGGGGAGAACAACAGCAGCAGCGTCCTGAGGCTGGGGTGAGGACCGAGTGAAAAACCTTTGTCGCATCTTTGGGCATCGCAGGAGTTCAATAAATGTTAGCTATCGTTGTCACTTTGTATTATCCAGCCCAGTCTGGCCCGTTGTAATCACCTCCTGACCTGTGTCTGGGAGCTCACAGCTCCAAGCAGCAATTCCACAGCTGGAATCATTTCACTGTCACAGAACACTCCATGGCTCCCCATTGTCTTCCCCAGGACATAAACACTCCAACTAATTTTCTTTTTTTTTTTTTCTTTTTTTTTTTCAAGACGGGGACTTGCTCTGTCACTGAGGCTGGAGTGCAATGGCATGATCTTGGCTCACTGCAACCTCCACCTCTTGGGTTCAAGCGATTCTCCTGCCTCAGCCTCCCGAGTAGCTGGGATTACAGGCGTCCGCCACCACACCCAGCTAATTCTTTGTATTTTTAGTAGACATGGGGTTTCACCATGTTGGCCAGGCTGGTCTCAAACTCCTGACCTCGTGATCCACCCGCCATGGCCTCCCAAAGTGCTAGGATTACAGGCGTGAGCCACTGTGCCCAGCCACTCCAGCTAATTTTCAAAGCTCTTCATCACCTGTCTTTCTGGATTTTCTGGAGAGGCCACTTTGACTGGTGGCCAAACAAAAGTCCCTCAAAGAGAAAGGGGTTTCCTTGTGGCTGGTACAGACACCCCCGCCAGTAGGCCCCTCACCTCCACCCCTGCTCCTCCACCACCCACCCCTCCCCCACTGGAGGCTGGGCCGCCTGGGCAGGCCACTCACCTCCCAGAGCTTCTAGTTCCTTCAGCCGCAAAGTGGCACTAATCCCAGTCCTTCTGGTGATGCTCCCCGACTGTTAGGGATCTGTGGGGTGTGGGGGTCTGAGTGGGACCATGCCGGGTCCAGAGGGCTTAGCTTGGCGTCAGGCACACAAGGGCTGCAGGAGGCCGCCCCAGCCCCATGGCCGCCCCGTCTAGCCCACAGCCCTCCACACAGGCTCTGGAGCAAAGCCAGAATCCACCCTGCTCATCTCTCAGAATTCCCCTGCCTTTTCAAGCTGAATATTACCCTGATTGTGTTGTAGGGAAAGGAAGAGAACATTTGTTCTTTAAAAAAACAAAAACAAAAAAAAACCATTTTCTTCATTTACAAAAGTAATACATGTTAATTGTGGATAATTTTGAAATTAAGATAAACCAAAGAGAAAATTTTAAATGATCTATAATTCATCACCCATCTATCACCACGTTGAGCATTTGAGCTTCTAGCACCTAGATTTTTATTTTTTATTTTTTTATTTTTTGAGACAGAGTCCCGCTCTGTCGCCCAGGCTGGAGTGCAGTAGCGTGATCTCAGCTCACTGCAACCTCCACCTCCTGGGTTCAAGCAATTCTCCTGCCTCAGCCTTCCAAGTAGCTGGGATTACAGGTGCACGCTGCCACGCCCAGCTAAGTTTTGTATTTTTAGTAGAGACGGGGTTTCACCATTTTGCCCAGGCTGGTCTCGAACTCCTGACCTCAGCTGATCCGCCTGCCTTGGCCTCCCAAAGTGCTGGGATTACAGGGGTGAGCCATCTCGCCAGGCTGCCTCTAGACTTTTAACGAATGTGTGGCGCTCGCTCGCTGTACTTCGAGCACAGGAGGGGACCCTAGAGCGCAGGTCCCCCCCATACATACTTTGTTTTGTAACCTGATTCTTCCATTCACCAGCAGAACGTGAACTTCCATGTCACCCCAAACCCTCGACCCTCTTGTTCCTCAGAATGCTCCACAAATTGGCTGCCGGTTAGACGTGTGCGTGAGTATGCGCGTGGGTATGTGTGTGCGTGTGTGCGTGTATGTATATGCACGTGCGTGTGTGTATGTGTGTGCATGTGTATGCATGTATGTGCGCGTGTGCGTGTGTGTATGTACATGCGTGTGTGCATGCATGTGTGTGTATATGTGTATGTATGTGTGCATGTGTGTGCCTGTGTGTGTGTGTACGTGTGCATGTATGTGTGTGTGTGCGTGTGGGCGTGCATGCATGTTTGTGTGTGTGTGTGTGCGCGCGCACGCGTGCAGCATCACAGCCCTGTCCCAGACCCCAGCCTCCATACTTCCCCAGGATCTCCAGGAGCTCTGAGGCCCAGTGTGGTTTGGGGAGCTGGCTTCCAGCCCCCTTTCCAGTGGCGGCTGAGTACCCCTCTGTGCAATGCCGAAGACTTATTTCAGCCAATCCACTCATGTGGAACACAGAGGTGGTTTCCAAGTTGTGATATTACAAACACTGCCAATAAATTATATTTATTGATAGAATCATTAATAGCTAAAACCCTGGCCATAGCACAGATATTTTCTTGGAGTGAATATTAAGGAGCTTCCCTGAGTTCTCGGCCTCCCCACCACTGGCTCCCCTTCTCCTCAGAACATTCTGGAGCGGGCCAGTCACGGTAGCTCACGCCTGTAATCCCAGCACTTTGGGAGGCTGAGGCAGGTGGATAACGTGAGGTGAGGAGTTCGAGACTAGCCTGGCCAACATGGTGAAACCCTGTTTGTAAAACTACAAAATTAGCCGGGTGTGGTGGTGGGCGTCTGTAATCTCAGCTATTCCGGAGGCTGAGGCAGGACAATCGCTTGAACCCGGGAGGCCGAGGTTGCAGTGAGCCGAAATCGTACCATTGCCCTCCAGCCTTGGCAAAAAGAGTGAAACTCTGTCTCAAAAAAAAAAAAAAAAAAAGAACATTCTGGAGGGGTAGGGACCATCTTCACCCCTCTTCCGTGGATGCAGAAACTGAGACTAGGGGCAGGGATTACATTCTCCCAAGGTCCCCCAAACCGTGGCCTAACCAGGCCCTTTCCTTTCCATCCTCTCCCTGCCCCTTGCCCTGCATAGGCGTTTTTCTGTTTTGTTTTTTGTTTTGTCTGGAATGTCGGCCCCTGCCTGGAGGGTGCGCACAACAGCTTCCTGTCTGCCTGGTCCCTGACCAGAGGGACCAGTTTGTCTGGGTGACAGACGAGGCATGACAGCACATGTGTGGCTGGGCCAGCTGGGACAGCATCACTCTACTGTGCAAACCTCCAGGGGACCAGGAGTGGGGCTCCGAGGAGGTGGGTAGGACATGGTAGAAGAGTGAGAGGGGCCTCCAGGTCATGGGGGAGTGGGGCTCGGGCCCAGGGGTGCAGAGGGGGCTGTGAAGGACATCAACGGGGAAGCTCTTGGCTTCCTGGTGCCCGTGGCAGGAAACGCAGCCATGTGAGCGTGAATCCTTTTGGGGGAAGCCCTTGGCGAGGAACAGAATGCAGTGATGGCAGCAGATTCTATTAAAAGCAATTCTCATTACGGTACCATTAATTATTAATAGGATTGGGCAAATAAAAGATGGGAAGACCCAGCTGGGCCTGACTCAAACTTTGCCTCCGAAGCAAATGGCTTTTGGTTCCCATCCAGGAGCCCCAGCCATGAACGTGCCTGTTGGAAAAGTAATGGCAACCCAGAGGCTGCCATGGTGGGACGGGCACCACTTATGTCTGCTTAAAAAACATAAAGACTTTTTAATCTTTTTATAATAATATATATATTATTATATATTATAATATCTATATATATATAGAGAGAGAATATATAAATATATATATTTATTATATATATATTTATTATATATATATATTTATTATATATATAAATATATATATATTTATTATATATATCATATAAATATAATAAATACTGGCACGGTGGCTCACACCTGTAATCCCAACACTTTGAGAGGCTGAAGCGGGAGGATTGCTTGAGGCCAGGAGTTTGAGACCAGCCCGGGTAACACAGCCAAATCCCATCTCTACCAAAAAACAAACAAACAAACAAAAAAACAAAAACAAACAAACAAGAAAACCCAGACATTAGCTGGGCACAGTGGCTCAGGCTTGTCATCCCAGCTACTCAGGAGGCTGAGGCGGGAGGACCACTTGACCCCAGGAGTTCAAGGCTGAAATGAGTTGTGATTGCGCCACTGCACTCCAGCCTGGGCAACAGAGCAAAATCTTGTCCAAAAAAAAAAGGAAAGAAAAGGAAGAAAAGGAGGCTACCCGAGAAAAGGCACCTGGAGGAGTGCAGGGGACTGTGTCTGCTCTCAGAGCTTGGCTTTTAGGCCCAGATGGCCTGGTTGTCCTTCCCATTAGGAAACATCCGTCTGCTCGCCTGGCTAGGCACTGCAGACCTCATTCTCCTCAGAGCACCTTCCCGCCCCAGGGGCTGTCAAGCCTCTAAAGAGATCCAGAGAGGCCAGGCGCAGTGGCTCACACCTATAATCCTATCGCTTTAGGAGGCTGAGGCAGGTGGATCACTTGAGGTCAGGAGTTCAAGACCAGCCTGGGTAACACGGTAAAACCCTGTCTCTACTAAAAATACAAAAAAAAAAAGCCAGGCATGGTGGTGCATGCCTGCAGGCCCAGCTACTCGGGAGGCTGAGCCAGAAGGATGGCTTGAACCCGGGAGGAGGAGGTTGCAGTGAGCTGAGATCACGCCACTGAACTCCAACCTGGGCGACAGAGTGAGACCCTGTCTCAAAAAAAAAAAAAAAAAAAAGAGAGATCTAGAGAGAACTTTCTCCATGTAGCAGCAGAAGCCATGGTGAGAACAAAGTCAATGAAGAATGTCAGGCTTGGGCTGAGGAGGCCCCAGAGAGAGAGAAGCTGCCCCTCTTTCCTGCCCCCACCCTGCCTTGTCTTTACTGAACTCCTAACCACCCTTTGAAGCCCGGCTTCTATGACCTCTTCTCCAGGCAGTGCTGCTTGGTCTCAGCTGGGGCAGCCACTGAGTACACAGACGCTGTCCCTGCTCTTGCGGAGCTGCCAGTCTAGCAGGTGACTAGCAGGGTTATATTAAAAAAACCCTTGGCCGGGTGTGGTGGCTTATGCCTGTAATCCCAGCACTTTGGGAGGCTGAGGCGGGTGGATCACGAGGCCAGGAGATCGAGACCATCCTGGCTAACATGGTGAAACCCCGTCTCTACTAAAAATACAAAAAATTAGCCAGGCGCGGTGGCGGGCGCCTGTAGTCCCAGCTACTTGGGAGGCTGGGGCAGGAGAATGGCGTGAACCCGGGAGGCGGAGCTTGCACTGAGTGGAGATCACGGCACTGCACTCTAGCCTGGGCGACAGAGTGAAACTCTGTCTCAAAACAAAACAAAAAAACCCACCACAAGCCGTGATGACAAGTGGAGATGATGCTCTAAAGCCAGGAGATGGAAGCCACACACGATCAGGACAGGAATCTCAGATCTGTTTCTTCCCCAGAACCTGGAGCAAAGCAGGTGCTCAAGAAATGTGTGTGACCAGGCGCGGTGGCACACACCTACAATCGCAACTGCTTGGGAGGCTGAGACAGGAGGATCGCTTGAGCCCAGGAGGTCAAGGTTGCAGTGAGCCGTGATGACACCACTGCACTCCAGCCTGGGCGACATAGTGAGACTCAGGAAAAAAAAAAAAAAGAAAGAAAAGGCAAGACAGACTGACAGAGAAAAAGAAATATGTACAACGGCACGAGACCGAGGCTTCCGAGATGGAGAGACCTCTGGGGAAATAGGTTTTTCACAGCAGAGGGAAGAAGGGCCGGGACCTGAGCCTGCCCCCACTCCTTCGTCCTTCCAAAATTCCCCTGGATTATTGGCTGATTTATTTCCCAATATCCCCTATGAGGCAGAGCGGTGAAGGCTTCCTTTTCTGGGACTAAATGAATATGGGGATGAATACGTCTGGGTCAACAAACACACAAAAACCAACAGCTAGGAACTTGTGGATTTCAGGATAAAATGACATCTATGGAGAAACGCCTGATACAGCCGTTCTTATTTTTCCACTAAATACCCAGGAAGGCAGAGAAAAAGATGAAACCTCAGTTGGTTTGGAAACAGAGATGGCTGCCAAACTCATACCAGAAGCTGGGAGGAGTTTCTACTAATGATCACGGCAGAGGACAATGTTGGAGAGAAACTTGTGACTCAGGGACCAGGGATGAAGGTAGGAAAGTCCCCAGGATCTTTCCCATAATTTGCTCCCATTCAGAGACCTGGAAGCTGTATTTTTAGTAGAGACAGGGTTTCACCACGTTGACCAGGCTGGTCTTGAACTCCTGACCTCAAGTGATCTGCCCACCTCGGCCTCCCAAAGTTCTGGGATTATAGGTGTGAGCCACCATGCCCGTCCAACAGTAATTTCTGAAAGGAGCTGCAGAAGATGTCAGAAAACTGTGGCAGGCCAGGTGCGGTGGCTCACGCCTATAATCCCCGACAAAACCCTGTCTCTATTAAAAATACAAAAACTAGCCAGGCATGGTGGTGGGCGCCTGTAATCCCAGCTACTCGGGAGGCTGAGGCGGAGAATTGCTTGAACCTGGGAGGTGGAGGTTGCAGTGAGCTGAGATCATGCCACTGCACTCCAGCCTGGGCGACAGACTGAGACTCCATCTCAGAAAAAAAAAAAAAAGAAAACCGAAGGACATAAAGAGGTTAAAAATACAAAAGACTGGACAAAGGCATATGAGGCAAATTCAAGTTCAATAAAAGCAAAGGTAATAATATTTATATCAGATAAAGAATCACAGGCAAAAATCATGAGATGGGACGCGAGGTCCTTTGAATTGGTAGAGGGGACAAGCCGCAGGAAATATCTGATTGTCATGATACTTTATGTCCTACACAGCACTGGCTCCAACCAGAGAGAGTGATATCTTAGACACACATACACGGTCAAAGAAAAAACTGTGGTGCGAGGAGGAGTCTTTAACACATGTCTGTCTTTGACATATTTAGTCTTTTTTTTGAGACAGAGTCTCACTCTGTCGCCCAGGCTGGAGTGCAGTGGTGCGATCTCAGCTCACTGCAACCTCTGCCTCCTGGGTTCAAGGGATCCTCCTGCCTCAGTCTCCTGAGTAGCTGGGACTACAGGCGTGTACCGCTACGCCCGGCTAGTTTTTGTATTTTTGGTGGAGATGGGTTTTGCCACGTTGGCCAGGCTGGTCTCGAACTCCTGGCTTCTTCATATGATCTGCCCATCTCAGCCTCCCAAAGTGCTGGGATTATAGGCGTGGGTCACCGCACCCAGCCTCTTTTACATATTTAAAGAGTACCTCCCCAACAATTAATGTAGGATCGGAATAATATAATGAATAAGATTGATTTAATAATTGAACTTAGTACCCTACAAATAAAAGGTACTCATTTCTTTGCCAGAGTCCATCAAACATTTATAAAAATTGATCATATATTAGGCCACAAAGAAAAACTCAATAGAACCCCCAAAGCAGATATAGTGAGAGCTTCATTCTTTAACCACAGTGCAATTAAGCTAGAAATTATTAACAAAAGTTTAAATTAAAAAGCCAACCATTTGAAAATTAAAAACCACTTTCGTAAATAACTTTAAATAAAACCTACATGACAAACTGTTACACTGCAAATACCACATATCCAAACATATGGGAAAATGGCTCAAATGTTACAAGGAGGAAATTCATACTCAGTGTTATGAACTTCTTAAATAAGAAATTATGAAAGTCAATAAATTAAGATTCAACTGGAGAAATTAGAAAAAAGAACAAAATAAAGCTAAGGAAAGGAGAAAGAAGGAATCGATAAAGATAAAAAGAAGAATCTAATATATTAGAAAAGAGAAAAACGCTAGAAATAAAAATAATTACATGACTTGGTGTTTTGAAAGTCTAATAAATTAGGTAAACTTCTAGCAGATGGAAAGAAAATAAGCAGAGAGAAACAAATGCATGACAATAAAGGCAAAAAAGGAAATTCTAAAAATTAAATTATAATAAGCAAAGTTAGAATAATAAATGTGGAAATGTGAACAAATAGATATTTTAATAAGAAAATACATATAACCAAAACTGATTCCACAAGTAGGAGAAAACCAAAAAAACCTATTACTGCAGGATAAATTGGAAAGGTAGGGCTGGGCTTGGTGGCTTATTCCTGTAATCCCTATATTTTGAGAGGCCAAGGTGGGAGGATCCCTTGAGTCCAGGAGTTCGAGACCAACCTGGGCAACATAGTGAGATCCCATTTCTACAAAAAATGAACAAAATTAGCCAGGTGTGATGGTGCACACCTGTAGTCCCAGCTACTCTGGAAGCTGAGGTGGGAGAATTGCTTGAGCCCGGGAGGTCGAGGCCGCAGTGAGCTGAGATTGCACCACTGCACTCCACTCTGGACGGCCTGGGTAACAGAGCAAGACTCTGTCTCAAAATAAAATAATTAAATAATTTTTTAAAAAAGAAAAAGAAAAGAATAGGTAGAGAAAGAGCTACTTCCTAGACTTCCTAGGGAAGTGTTGGGTCCTGACACTTTTACTAGTAAGTTCTTTCAAATACTCCGTTTTGGGACACAGGAAAGATGGAAAGCCTCTCCAACCATCTTAAGAATATAGTGGCCGGGCGTTGGTGGCTCACGCCTGTAATCCCAGCACTTTGGGAGGCTGAGGGTTGTGGATCACCTGAGGTCAGGAGTTTGAGACCAGCCTGGGCAACTTGGCAAAACCCCGTCCCTACAAAAAAAAATACAAAAATTAGCCAGGCGTGGTGGTGCGCGCCTGTAGTCCCAGCTACTTGGGAGGCGGAGGCACTCAAACCCAGGAGGTGGATGTTGCAGTGAGCTGAGAGATCACCACTGCACTCCAGCCTGGGCAACAGAGCAAGACTCTGCCTCAAACAACAACAACAACAGAATGTAGTATAACCCTAAAAGGTTGGCAGATAACACAAAACTACAGACCAGTCTTGCTTAGGAACATGATACAAGTCCTTAATAAAATACCCGCAAATTACCCTGATTGAGACTCTTTGGGTCACAAGTAAGAGAAATCTACTCAAATGAGTTCAGAAAAGGGGAAAATTCATTATGAGGATTCAGAGACCACCCCTCCCCCCGCCCCAGAATTAAAGAAGGAAACAACTGCACAGCCAGACTCCAACGGCAACAGAAGCCCCCAGTGCCTGTGAATGCACAACTTCACCTCATCTTTAGCCTCTGCTGCTACCAATCAGACTGCCAAGGCCTAATGACTCCTCAAGTTGACTTTTAGGGTCTTTCGGGGTCCCAAGTGTAAGATTCCCATGACTGTGGCAACATCTGTGTGTTCGCCAACCTTTCCATTCCTCCTTCCAGGCTGGGCCCACACTTCCCATGGGGGTTAGGCAGGGCCGTGTGACTTGCTTTATCCAATAAAATGTGAGTGGAAGTAACACATGCCACTTCTAGGTAGAAACATTGAATTGCCAGTATGAGAGTCTCCAACTCTTCTTCCCTTGCCTCAGCAAGCATGAGACCACCTGCTACGCAGAAGGACCATGCCGACCACATCACAGCTGTCTGCCTGGAGCCACAGGCGACTTGGTATGAGCAGGAAATAAACTTCTCTCAAGCTGTGAGGTTTTGACATTATTTGTTACTGCAGCACAATCTAGCTTATCCTGAATAATTCAATGACAAAGAACATCTATCTCAGGCCAAGAGTCAACATCTCATTTAACATTAAAATACTGGAAGCAGCCGGGTGCGGTGGCTCACACCTGTAATCCCAGCACTTTGGGAGGCTGAGGCGGGCGGATCATGAGATCAAGAGATCATCAACATAGTGAGACCCCCATCTCCACTAAAAATACAAAAATTAGCTGGGCTTGGTGGCGCATGCCTGTAGTCCCAGCTACTCGGGAGGCTGAGGCAGAAGAATTGCTTGAACCAGGTAGGCGGAGGTTGCAGTGAGCCAAGGTTGCGCCACTGTACTCCAGCCTGGGCGACAGAGCGAGACTCTGTCTCAAAATAAATAAATAAATAAATAATAACATAAAATTTAAAAAGTACTGGAAGCATTCTTAGCAATGTCTTGAACGTGGCAAGGATGCTTTATATATGCTCTATAATGCTATATTGCTGTGAAAGTTCTGGACAATGCAATAAGACAAGAAACACAAATTAAAGGACAGCCACTAAAAAGGAGACAAATTATCCTTACTTGTGGATATTATAATTGTCCACTTGAAAATCCAAGGGAAGCAAATGAAAAACTATTAAATAATGAAAGCATTCTACCAAAGTAGCCAGTTGTAAAATCAACATACAAAACACCCACAGCTTTCCCCTCTCCCTCCCTCCTCTTTTTTGCTATCAGATTGATTGTGTTTCTTTATTTCTCACCTTTTCCCTTTATTGGTTTGAAAGTTACACATTCCTTTTATGCCTTTTAGAGATTATCTTTAGGTTTTTATCATGCATAAAATTTTTTAATAATCTTCAGCTGGGCACAGTGGCTCACACCTGTAATCCCAGCACTTTGGGAGGCCTAGGCAGGCAGATCGCCAGAGGTCAGGAGTTGAAGACCAGCCTGACAAACATGGAGCAACCCCATCTCTACTAAAAACACAAAAAATTAGCCGGGCATGGTGGTGGATGCCTGTAATCCCAGCTACTCAGGAGCCTGAGGCAGAAGAATCGCTTGAGCCTGGGAGGTGGAGGTTGCAGTGAGTCGAGATCATACCATTGCACTCCAACTTGGGCAACCAGAGCAAAACTCCGTCTAAAAAAAAAAAAATTGACTTATAATCAAAATCACTATTTTTCACCCTCCTGCTAGATAGTACAAGATCTTGGAGTGATTTGACTCCAGTGACACCTTCCAAACACTATATTATGATTGCCTAATATTTAGTTCCACCTTTTCTTTATTTTTTATTTTTTTAGAAACAGGGCCTTGCTATGTTGCCCAGGCTGGAGTGCAATAGCTATTCATAGGCTGCACCCCAATACTGATTAGCACAGGAATTTTTACCTGCTCTGTTTCCAACCTGGGCCAGTTCACCCCTCTTTGGGTAACCTGGTGGCCTCCTGGCAGGTCGTCATATTGATGCAGAGCTTAGCACCAGCACCCAACTGGCATAGTCAACTTCAGCCCAGAGCTCCTGGCCTCAAATGATCCTCCTGCTCCGCCTCCTGAGGAGCTGGGACTACAGGCATGTGCTACTGTGCCCGGCAGTTCCACCTTGTTTTAATCCACCACTGGTAATTATGATTGTTGATTTTACGGCCAGCTCTTATTTAGATTTTACCCATGTTTCCATATCTCCATTCATTGCTTCTTGCAGAATGTGCTTGGTACAGGGCTTGATTCCCTTCTTCCTTAGGTCATCTTTTACTAGCTCTTTCAGCAAAGAGCTGTGAGTGGTAAAGTTCCTCAGTCTTTGTCTGAAATGTCTTTATTTTGCCCTTGCCCTTGAAAGACAGTTGAGCTGAAAGACAGTTTTGGTTGACAAATATTTTCCTTCGTCCTCTTGAAGAGATGATAATTACATTTTTGTCCTCTGTCATTGCTGATGGGCTTCGCTGTTTCTTTGTGGGCTTCGTGCCAGTGGTGAAGGCATGTGTCCTGGACTCCTGAGCTGCCTGGGTCCAAGTCCTGGCCCTGCCATTCATCATTTTGTGAATTTGTGCCTGGTTATCTACAGTCACAATTCTGCAATTTGGATTGGGCTCAGCTGGGCAGCTCTTCTGCTAGTCTTGCCTGGGGTCTTTCACATGGCTGCTCTCACCTGCGGTTTGAATGATATATTCGTTTGCTAGGGCTGCCTTAACAAGATACCACAGGCTGGGTGGGTTAAAAACAGAAAGCTGCTGGGCACGGTGGCTCACACCCGTAATCCCAGCACTTTGGGAGGCTGAGGCAAGAAGACCGCTTGAGCCCAGGAGTTTGAGACCAGCCTGGGCAACATGGTGAAACCCAGTCTCTATAAAAATACAAAATAAAACCTAGCCAGGAGTGGGGGCATGCACCTGTGGTCCCAGCTACTCAAGAGGCTGAGGTGGGAGAATCACTTGAGCCCCAGGAGGTGGAGGTTGCCATGAGCCGTGATCGTACCACTGCACTGCAGTCTGGGCGATAGAGCAAGACTCTGTCTCAATATAAATAAAATAAATAAATAAATAAATAAATAACAGAAAGGTATTTTCTCACAATTCTAGACGATAGAAGTCCCAGGTCAAGATATTGGCACAGTTGGTTTCTTCTCTCCTTGGCTTACAGATGCCCCTTTCTTTCAGCATCTGCACACAGTGCTTGCCTGTGTGCTAATCTCTCTTTTTTTTTTTTTTTTTGAGATGGAGTCTTGCTCTGTTGCCCAGGCTGGAGTGCAGTGGTGCCATCTCGGCTCACTGCAAGCTCTGCCTCCCGGGTTTACACCATTCTCCTGCCTCAGCCTCCCAAGTAGCTGGGACTACAGGCACCCGCCACCACGCCCAGCTAATTTTTTGTATTTTTTAGTAGAGACGGGGTTTCACCGTGTTAGCCAGGATGGTCTCGATCTGACCTTGTCCTCGTGATTCAACCGCCTCTGTCTCCCAAAGTGCTGGGATTACAGGAGTGAGCCACTGCACCTGGCCCTAATATTAGTCACATTAGCTTAGGGCCCACCTATATGACCTCGTTTTACCTTAATTATGTCTTTAAAAGCCCTCTATCGGCCGGGCATGGTGGCTCACGCCTGTAATCCCAGCACTTCGGGAGACCAAGGCGGGTGGATCACAAGGTCAGGAGATTGAGACCATCCTGGCTAATACGGTGAAACTCCATCTCTACCAAAAATACAAAAAAATAGCCAGGCATGGTGGCACGCGTCTGTAATACCAGCTACTTGGGAGGCTGAGGCAGGAGAATCACTTGAACCTGGGAGGCAGAGGTTGCAGTGAGCCGAGATCACGCCACTGCACTCCAGCCTGGGCGACAGAGCGAGACTCCGTCTCAAAAAAAAAAAAAAAAAAAAAAGGCCCTCGATCCTAATAAAATCACATTCTGAAGTAGTGGGGTTAGGACTTCAACATGTGAATTTGTGGCAAGGCAGGGGGGCAGGAAATGATGTAATTCAGCCCATAACACCTGGGGTGGAGGGTTCTAGATGAACTCACTGCTATGCCTGGCAGGTGGTGTTGGCCATCTAATGGGTGGTTCCCTTCCAACAGAATCTACACTAGGCTTCTTTTTATTTTTTATTTTTTGAGATAGGGTCTCACTCTGTTGCCCAGGCTGGAGTGTGGTGGCACAATCACAGTTCACTGCAACCTTTGCCTCTAGGGCTCAAGTGATTCTCCCGCCTCAGCCTCCCAAGTAGCTGGGACCACAGGTGTATGCCACCAGGTTTGACTGATTATTTTATTTTATTTTTAGTAGAGACGATGTCTTGCCACGTTGCCCAGGCTGGTCTTGAACTCCTGGACTCAAGCAATCCACCTGCCTTGACCTCCCAAAGTGCTTGGATTACAAGTGTGAGCCACTGTGCCCTGCCTACACTGGGCTTCTTGTCGTGTAATTGTTTGTTCTAAGATAGCAAAGGTAGAAGTCTTGCAGCTTCTTAAGGCCTGGCTTTGAAAGAGGCATAACATCATCTCTGCTACCCTCCATTGGTGAGATCTCAAGGCCATTCCAGATTCAAAAGGGGTTGAAAAGGACTCAGCTTCTCACTCTGTGGCAAGAGTATCCTCTTAAGGGGAGGAGTAGCAAAGTCATAGGGAAGTGTGATTTTTGTTTTGTTTTGTTTTTGTTTTTGAGACAGAATCTTGCTTTGTCGCCTAGGCTGGAGTGCAGTGGTGCGACCTTGGCTCACTGCAATCTCCGCCTCCCGGGTTCAAGTGATTCTCCTGCCTCAGCCTCCCAAGTAGCTGGGACTACAGGCACCCACAACCATGCCCAGCTAATTTTTGTATTTTTAGTACAGATGGGGTTTCACCAAATTGGCCAAGCTGGTCTCAAACTCCTGACCTTGTGATCCGCCCACCTCGGCCTCCCAAAATGCTGGGATTACAGGCATGAGCCATTGCGCCTGGCCGATTTTTTTTTTTTCTTTTTCAGACAGGATCTCATTCTGTTGGCTCAGGCTAGAGTGTAGTGGTGCAATACAGATCCCTACAGCCTCGACCTTCTGGGCTCAAGCAATCCTCCCACTTCAGCCTCCCAAGTAGCTGGGACCACAGGCGTATGTCACCACACCCTGCTAATTTTTGTACTTTCTGTAGAAATGGGGTTTCATCATGTTGCCTAGGCTGGTCTCGAACTCCTGAGCTCAAGCAGTCTGCCTGCCTCGGCCGCACAAAGCGTTGGGATTACAGGTATGAGCTACCACGCCTGGCCAAATTCTTCAGGGGTCATTATTGTAACAAAAATTAAGTAGCATTAACTAATAAAGATTACTTAAGCTTTTTGTCGCTTGATTTTTTCATCTTTAAAATGTGGATAATAACATTAATAGTTGGCTGGGTGCGGTGGCTTAAGCCTGTAATCCCAGCACTATGGGAGGCTGAAGCAGGTGGATCACTTGAGGTCAGGAGTTCAAGACCAGCCTGGCCAACATGGCGAAACCCTATCTCTACAAAAAATACAAAAACTAGCCGGGCCTGGTGGTGCGTGCCACCAGTGGTCCCAGCTACTTGGGAGGAGGTGGAAGGATCACCTGAACCTGGGTGGTCAAGGCTGTGGTGAGCTGTGATCATGCCACTGCACTCCAGCCTGGGTGATAGAGTGAGACCCTGTCTCAATAAATAAAATAAAATAAAAATAACACTAATAGTGTTGTTTTGAGGACTTAAAGAGTCAATGTACTCAGAACACCATTATATGTCTTTATTATGGATGCTGTTAGATAATCTCTTCTTCTTTTCTGGTTTAAGTCATTTTCTTTGTCTTTAGGATTACATATTTGGTATAGATAATTGGGTTTGGTTCACTATTATTTATCCTTCTTGTGGTTGATGCATTTTTTTTTTTTTTTGCGCCACTGCTCTTGGCTGACTTTTTAATTTTTTGTAGAGACGAGGTCTCACTATGTTGCCAGGACTGGTCTCAAACTCTTGGGCTCAAGCTATCTTCCCACCTCATCCTCCCAAAGTATTGGGATTACAGGTGTGAGCCACCGTGCCCAGCCTGATGCACTTCTTAAATTTGAGGAATTGTGTCTTTCATCAATTCTGGAATATTCTCAGACATTATCATGCTGAATATGATCTCTTTTCCATCCTCCTTATAATCTATCTCTTTCCAGGTCTTCTCTAAGCCATATGTTGGACTCTTTTATTCTTTTCAATGTGTTTCTATTTTTATTATTTATCTCTTTATCTTTGTTTCTTTAAAAAAATTTTTTTAGAGGCAGCATCTCACTCTGTTGCCCAGGTGGGAGTGCAGTGGTGTGATCACAGCTCACTGTAACCTTGAACTCCTGGGCTCAAGCAATCCTCCTGCCTCAAGCCTCCCCAGTAGCTAGGACTAAAGGCATGTGCCACCACACCCAGCTAATTTTTAAAATTTTTTTGTAGAGACAGGGAGTCTTGCTATGTTGCCCAGGTTGGTCTCAAATTCCTGGTCTCAAGTGATCCTCCTGCCTTGACTTCCCAAAGTGCTGGTATTATAGGCATGAGTCACTCCATCTGGCCCTCTTTATCTTTGTGGGCTACATTCTGGGTAATTTCCTCAGTTCTGTCTTTCAGTTCATGAACACTTCTTCAGCTGCGTCTTATCTGCTATTTAACCAAGGCATTGAAATTTATTTTCAGTGGCTACGGTTTTCCTTTCAAGAAGATCTTTGTTTTTCCTTCAACTTTGCCTCTTATTTTTGTTTGTGTTGTTTTCTTTTCTTTTGTTTTCTATTTTTGAGACAAGGTCTGGCTCTATCACCCAGGCTAGAGTGCAGTGGCGTGATCTCGGGTCACTGCAACCTCTGCCTCTCAGGCTCAAGCCATCCTCCCAACTCAGACCCCTGAGTGGCCGCTGGGACTACAGGCGCTCACCACCATGCCTGGCTAATTTTTATACTTTTCATAGAGACAGGGTTTCGTCATGTTGGCCAGGCTGGTCTTGAACTCCTGACCTCAAATGATTCGCCTGCCTTGGCCTCCCAAAGTGCTGGAATTATAGGCGTGAGCCACTAGGGCTGGCTGCCTCTTTTTTCATGGTGTCTTTTCATTTTCTTATTTTTTTTCTTTTAATAATTTAAAGCACACTTCTTTTGTAGTCTCTTTCGGAGTGTGCTCTTATCCCAATTTCTTGGTGGTCTAATCCTCTTCTTGTTTTGTCTGCTGACACTCCCTGTTGAGGATCAGTTCATTTTGCGGTTTGCATTTTTAGCTGTGAGCTCCTGTTCAGCGAGGATCTTGCTTTTTGTTGGGTTCTCAGCTACAGAATGGCTTCTTGCTCCAGTTGCCTCCTCCCAAACTCCAGTACTGGGTGATCTCCCATTTTTTCTTTCAAGATCAATTTTTTTTTGTTGTTGTTGTTAAATTTTGTCCATATTCCTCAGCAGGAGCAGTGTCAACATTAGCTCAGTCTGCTAGGTTAGGTTAGTCAAATTTAATAGATGATAAAGACATCATTTAAAATCAGTAGGGAAAAGATGAGCTATTTATTAAATGGTATTAAGACAACTGTTCAATATCTGGGGGCGGAGGGAGGCTGTTAGCCTTAACATACACCATAACTAAAATAAATTGCAGACAAAACGAAAACTTAAATATAAAAGTGGAACTATAAAAGTGCTAGATGAAAAGAATGTGATGGGAAAGGCCTGTTTAATTATTCAACGGATGGTAAAATCCTCCTGAAGCTTTGCTACGAAAAAGTTTGAAAGTTATGTACATGGAAGAACTACGAAAAAAAGCCCTAAAAAGTAAGTGACCAATTAAGAAGATATTTACAAGAGATGATAAAGGCTCAATATCCTGCATCTACAAAGAGCTCTCACATATCCATTAGAAGACAGTGAATACCTAATAGGGACATATGCAAAGGACATGAATTAGTAATTCACAAAATAAGAAATAAAAAAAGCCAACAAGCATATGAGAGTAGGTTCATCTTCACTAACAACAAAAGAAATACATGTTAAAACAAGTTATCCTTTTACCCTATCAAATTGGCCAAAAATTTCAAAAAGATTAAAATATCCTGTGTGGTGAAGGAAAAGGGGTTCTACAGAATCCCTCTTCCCTTGGTCTCAAACTCCTGACCTCAAGCAATCCTCCCATCTTGGCCTCCCAAAGTGCTGGGATTATAAGCAGGAGCCACCGCGCCTGCTGTCTTATTTGGAAAAAGGTACATTTTGTCAATGTAATTAAGGTAAGAATTATTTATTTATTTATTTATTTTGAGATGGAGTTTTGCTCTTTTTGCCCAGGCTGGAGTGCAATGGCGCGATCTCGGCTCACTGCAACCTTCACCTCCTGGGCTTAAATGATTCTCGTGCCTCAGCCTCCTGAGTAGCTGGGACTATAGGCGTGCGCCACCACATCCGGCTAATTTTTTGTACTTTTAGTAGAGATGGAGTTTCACCATGTTGGCTAGGCTGATCTCAAACTCCTGACCTCAGGTGATCCACCCGCCTCAGCCTCCCCAAGTGCTGGGATTATAGGCGTGAGCCACCACTCCCAGCCAGGATTTTTTTTTTTTTTTTTTGAGTCAGGTTCTCACTCTGTCATCCAGGCTGGAGTGCAGTGATACAATCATAGCTCACTGCAGCCTCAAACTCCAGGACCAAAGCAATCCTCCCACTTCAGCCTCCTGAGTAGCTGGGAAAGCAGGTGTGTGCCACTATGTCCAGCTAATTTTTCTATTTTTTGTAGAGATGGGGGGTGTCACTGTGTTGTCCAGGCTGTTCTCAAACTCCTGAGCTCTAGCAATCCTCCCACCTCTGCCTCTCAAAGTGCTGGGATTACAGGTGTCAGCCACCTTGCCTGGCCAAGTTAAAGATCTTGAAATGAGGAGGTTATCCTGGAATAAGACACTTGGGGAGAAGACAGACAGACAGATAGAGGAGGAGACTGGAGTGATGAGTCCACCAGTCAGGAATACCAGCCCTGAGAAAAGCTGGAAAATGCAAAGAAGCATTCTTCCCTCTAATCTTGGGAGGGAATGCAGCCTTGATGACAGCTCGATGTTGGGCTTTGAGCCTCCAGAGCTGTGAGAGAATGAATTTCTGTTGTTTTAAGCCATCGAGTGCGTGGTCATTTGTCTGACAGCCCTAGGAAGCCAATACAGAGTGTCATCGGGACATTTTGGAGGGTAATTTGGCAGAATGTAGCACAGGCCCTAAAACGTGCATCTCTTTCCTTCTAGAAATTTCTCAAGATTAATAATTGAGAATTTGTCAAAGATCCCTTAGCAAGGACATTCACCGCAGCCTTCTTCTTTAAAGGAAGTTGAGTAAACAACCTATATGTTCAATAATAGGATGGATTGAATAAACAATTGTTTAGCTGTATAATGATAAAGATTAAAAATAATCATAGCCACAGCCAATAGTGTGCTTTCGACGGACTCCACATGAAAGGAGTGCTTCCTGCCCGTTTTCTTATGTAATTCTCACCACAATGCTATAACGCAGGCTTTAGTAACCCCATCTCCCAGAAGAGGACCACACTGAGGTCAGAGGGTGTAGCCACCAGTCCAAGGTCACATAGCAAGGGGCCAAGATTCTGACCCTAACCCTTGTGCTATGCCTTTACCACCCAACAAGACAGATCATGGTGCAGCCTTCAGATACCAAGATGCTGACGACAGGTCTTTACACAGAAGGATGTCGGTGGCATAGTGTTGGGTGGAAAAAGCAGTCGAGCACGTACCATTTTTGCAAAAATAAAAAGCACATTCAGTGTGCAGAGAAAAAAAGCCTGGAAGGATTTACTGTGCACGTTAGCAGGGAGGTTACCTCTGGGGATGGATTCAGTGATTTTTATTTTCTACAATGAGCACATACAGCTCTTGTCGTCAGGGCAAAATATTAAAAGACAAAACAGCGCTGGCGGTTGGACTGACCACGCCTGCCTCTGAGGTGGTTCTGGGAGGTGAGAAAGAGCCCGCTGCAGCCCAGCCGGCCTGGACCCCGGCGTCTGGCTCTCCCCTGCCCTTGGTCTTCTCCCCAGCACTGTCCGTACCTTCCCTGCACCTGTGCTTCTGCGGGCATCGATTTTTCCATCCTTCAGAGAAGCGCCTGAGGAAAAGGAAAGAGCATCTTCGGATCAATGAACACAGCCCTGCAGCCAGGGGTGGGGGTGGCCGCGGGCCGCGCCTGCTTGTCACTGCCGGGTCCAGGATTTGAGGGGGGCTCAGCGGGGGAAGGCGAGACTGGCTGGGCTGCCCAGGGCGGCGAGTGTGTGTGTGTGTTGGGGGGCGTGGGGAGTGGTGGAGGGTAGGTGTGGTGGGGGTCTATGTGAGGTGTGGAGTCGGGGGGTTACATACACGTGTGTGGTGGGAGATGGGTGAGCATCCAGGGTTGCATCAGGGAGGGGGTGTCGTGGGCTTCCTCCGAGGGGCTGCTCTTTGCCTAGAGGAGCAAGGAGCGGTGCAACCTCCTCTGTGAAACACAGTCTCCCACTAACTCAGTTCACAGCTCTGTGAGGAGGGGCTGGTACACACCCATTGCCCAGATGGGGAAACCGAGGGCTGCGTGTGTTCGTGGTGGGGGCGGGGAAGAGGTGGATGGAGAGGGCAAAACGGCATTGTTTGTGTCAACTGCAGAACAGAATCTTGTATTCAAGAGGCAGTCTCGTATTTGAAAGGCACTCACCTGTTCTGGGCACTGGGAGATGAGTGGGTGGGGACAGAGAGGGGGCAGCCGAGGCTCCCTCAGGAGCTCACAGTGGGTGCAGGGGGTGGAAAAGGAATGCTCCTGGGCCTATCGGGTCAGTAAACCCAGACTCTACATTTGCTAGGCCTGTCTGAGCCTCACCCCAGCCTCTTCTTTCCTGGCCAGATCCCTTCCCGACATGTCATGTGCCCAAACCCTGGACCCCTCACTCCTGCTCATTCCGGCAGCCCCCACAGATGGCTCTCAGGCCCCAGAGCTCTCTGTGCTTCTGTTCCAGGGCAACAGGAACAAATGCCCTACGAGAGCTTAATTCCCTGCTTACCGTCTGCTCCCCTCCCTGCCCCCGGTCTAGTCTATGAGCTCCTCTGGGGCAATCGGGCTGGGACTGTGGGGCCCTCCTGGCTCAGTCTGCATTGCCCGTTGCCTGGCCTGGCACCAAAAATGGCTCAACATACATTTATTGCATGAATGAATGAACCATGATCATTGCTAAGGAAAGAAATGTGCAGATGGCCTGCTTTGGGGTTCAGTGTGCGTGTACTGCGTTGGTGTCCACGTGCACGTGCAGCATGTGTGTACCCCTAGGCACACACGTGGTGTGTTGCATTCATGTGAATCCATGTGTGTGTGTTTGTGTGTGCACGCACATGCATACAGTGCTTGCTTGTGTGTGCAGGTGTGCGTTCACATGTCCATGCCAAGGTGCATGCATTTTTATATGCCAGCGTGTGCATGTATATGTTTACCTGTGCACACTCTGTGTGCAAGGAGTTAACATATCTTTCTCTCACGTTTTGCTCTCCCCCTGACCTGCATCCTGCAGCCTACCTTTCTGCCTTGTATTTTTTGAGACAGGGTCTCACTCTGTCATGCAGGCTGAGAGCAGTGACACGATCACGGCTCACTGCAACCTCAACCTCCTGGGCTCAAGCCATGCTCCTGCCTCAGCCTCCCAAGTAGCTAGGACCACAGCTGTGCGCCATCACATCCAGTTAATTTTTTTCTTTATTTTTTTTAATTAACTACTTTATCACAAACAAATACTTTGCTTTTTTTGGCGGGGGCGGGGGGCGGCGGGGAGAAGGATATCATTAGTTACAGCATCTGACTTTGCCCTGTACATGGTCCAGAAAATGCAGGTTGCATCCAGCTTGCAGGGCATCCGAGGGCACTCATCTTTCTTCCATTTGTTTTCATCCAGATCAAAAGCAAGAATGGAATCCCTGAGATAACTATTATAACAAAGGCCTCCAAGAACTATTATTTTTCTGTGCAGTGCAGTCACACCATGGCTACTCCTGCCAATTGGCATGGATGCCAAGATGGTCCACTGATCAGTCTCTGGGCTATATACGTCTGTGGAAGGGCATCCCTGAGATTCCAAAGAGGCCCTCAAGATCACGCAAACAGCGCCAAGGACAGAAAGAAAATCCTGGGCCAGGCATGGTGGCTCACACCTGTAATCCCAGCACTTTGGGAGGCTGAGGTGAGCAGATCACTGGAGGTCAGGAGTTTGAGACCAGCCTGGCCAACATGGTGAAACCCCATCTCTACTAAAAATACAAAAATTAGCTGGGCATGGTGGTGGGTGCCTGTAGTCCCAGCTACTCGGGAGGCCGAGGCAGGAGAATCACTTGAATCAGGGAGGTGGAGGTTGCAGTGAGCCGAGATTGCACAACTGCACTCCAGCCTGGGTGACAGAGTGAGACTCTGTCTCGAAAAAAACAACAACAAAAACAAAACAAAACAAAACAAAAAACCAAACATTTCTGAATAATTTTTTATTATTTGTAGAGATGGGGTTTCACCCTGTTGCCCAGGTTGGTCTCAAACTCCTGGGCTCAACTGATCCTCTGGCCTCGACCTCCCAAAGTACTGGGATGACAGGCATTGAGCCACCTCATCTGGTCCCTTTCTGCTTTCTGCATTCTCCAATCCCAGTCCCTGCCCCTCCCACCTCCAGCAACAGTCCCCACAAAAGACTCCAGCTCCACCTGACATACCAGCCACATACCATGGCTATGCTCAAGCTCCTGGAGCCTGCATCTGCCTGGAGGAGGCGTCAAGCATGCAATCTTGTCTGGATGCCTGCCTCTCTCAGTCTCCTCATCTGTAAAATGGGGTTAAGAGCCCTGTGCTCACAGCACTGCTTTGTCAAAAGGATGCACACGAAGGGCTTGGGCCAGCACCTGGCACAGAGCGAGCGCTCAAGAAATGCTACTGCCGGGACACTAGTGACGGCGGTGATGATGGCGATGACCCTCCTCTGGTGGTGGCAAATGAGGGTGATGAGGCTCAGCCTTGCTGCGTCCAGGGGACTTCAGGAGGGGCTGGGAAAGCCCCTGGGGGAGCCAGAAGATCAACCCCTTCTCTGGGCCATTGTGTTTCTGGATAATGGGTGGAGGTGGGAAACGAGAAAGGTGCAGGCGCTTGAAGAGCAAAGGCTCCTCCTAGAGCCGCTTCTCCAGCCTGCTGCAGCCAGGCCTGGGTTCCCCATGGCAGCTCCCCCTGCCCTCTCCACGCCAGTCCTGTGTGAGGCATGCACTTGAAATCAAACCCAAATTCCCCTCTGCAGCCTGCATGCCCCTCCTGGCCTCTGCTCCTCTGCTCAGCCACACAGCACGTTCTGTCCCTCAGGGCCTTTGCATAGGCCTGGGGTACTCTGTCCCCGGGCTCCCTCCTCCGGGAGGGCCTTACTCCCCATGCGCTCCCATCTGTTTACCTGGCTCTTCGTGTCTTCCGCATGTGGCTGAGCTCCCAGCGCAGTGGAAGGCTCTCAGTAAAGATCTGTGGGATGGTAGGGGCGGAAGGGCGGTGGCCCTCTCTCTGGCTCCCCGGATTCCAGTCCTCACAGCCCATTAGTAAGCACCTACTGTGTGCCAGGGCCCAGCCCAAACTAGCCAGTGGGGTGACCTTGGGCAGGTGGCACCACCTCTCAGACCCCTAGTCTGTCCATCTTTAGCATTAAAGGAGGCACAAGTCCCCGAGGGCTCCCCACTTTGGTTTTTTTTTTTGTCTTTTTTTTTTTTTTTTTTTTTGAGATGGAGTCTTTCTCTGTTGCCCAGGCTGGAATGCGGTGGTGCGATCTCGGCTCACTGCAGCCTCTGCCTCCTGGGTTCAAGGAATTCTCCTGCCTCAGCTTCCTAAATAGCTGAGATTACAGGTGTGTGCCACCACACCCAGCTAATTTTTGTATTTTCAGTAGAGACAGGGTTTCACCATGTTGGTTAGGTTGGTTTCAAACTCCTGACCTCAAGAGATCCACCTGCTTTGGCCTCCCAAGTGCTGGGGTTGCAGGCGTGAGCCATGGCGCCCGGCCCCTATTTTGATTTTGATGGTGGGTCTAGGCTTTCTGCAACTGGGCAGTCTGCAGAGCTCTGTGGGGCCTCTGGGGTCTGCAGCTTCCTGGGCACCCCCCAGACTCCCATGTGGCTGCCTTTGCTGAGAGCACCCTCCCTGCTTCTCCTGGTGCCTCCAGGGGACACCCCCTGGCTCAGGCCTCCTTCAGAGCTGTCCTCACACCCCATTTTGATTGTTTACCCCTCTGTCTCCCACTGGGCTATGACTGGGACAAGGCATTTTCTTTTTGCATCCTAGCTTAGTTGGGGACACCCTGTGTGGCCAAGTGTCCCCAGGCTCACCCAGCTGAAACAAGATCTGGGAAGGGTCTGGCAACCCTCCCACCAATAGCTTCCCAATGGGAAGAAGCCACACCCTTCTGTGTCTGTTGAGAAGCTTTGGGGCTGTTTACTGCCCACCAAGCTCTCGAAACTGTGGCTCTCGAAACCCAGAGGGAAGGGGAGCCTTATCACTAGTCATGGCTTCTGCTTGATATCTGTCCAAAAGGCCTGACTTCATCAGCCAACAGGCATCCCAGCCTTTTCTGTTAAGTTGGGGTCTGTTTCCACACTGAGAGTCCCTGGGGGGCCTCTGGAGTGGGGATGCAGGCATGGCAGAGCACTAGGTGGGCACCCAGCTTCTCAGACCTCTCTCTTTTCCCACCCAAGCTCCAGGGGCAGAAAACAACCCACACCTGCCAGAAACCTGACCAGGCTGCAGAGCTGGAAAAGCTGGTTTAGTGCAGGGAGGGTGGGGGCAGGGAGGCGGGCAGGGTGAGCCCTTCTGAGGCTGCCAGGCGCTGCTCACATCAGCCGACTGGCCGTTGGCCTCTCAGGACTGTCACTTGGAAGTTCCTTCTCCAAGAGATGGCTATTGCCAAAGTCATCTGTGCAGTGACCACTGCAGGGCCTGGGCGCTCCCGGGAGCCGCAGCGCAGGGACAGTCCGTGCAGACGGGTGGCGGGGGAGGCGGGGGAGGGCAAAGGCCTCCACTCTGCAGGTAGCCCGGGCCTGGTGGGCGAAAGGACTCAAACGCCAGAGCTCTCTGACCCTCGGCCGCCAGGGTTCAAGGCTGGGCCCAGCCGCGCTTTGCCGGGGTCCAGGGCGTGAAGGATCGTGGGGGACCCGATGGATCCTGGGGCGCCCGCTGGGGGCCTCGCGCGGGGACCTCCCGGCTGCTTGAGAGGCGGAGGCAGCAAGAAGCAGGAAAAGGAACTGGGGGGACGCGAGCGAGTGGCAGGCCCTCCTCGGTGGCCGCCGAGCGCGCGCCCAGCTTGGGGAACGCGCTGCCTGCGCACCCGGGCGCGCCCGGGAAGGCCGGCTCGCTGGCACCGCGTCAGTTTCCGAGCTGTCTGTGCATGTCTATTTCTTTCACTAGAGGTTGCTCACTTTCACTTCTTGGTTCCTTTCGCCTCCTCTGACGGCTCCGGGAGCGTCTGTGCGCGCGCGTGTGTGCGTGCCCGTGTGCCCGCGCGCGACCGGCGACCCCGCCCCGCGCCCCTGTCCCTAAAGGGAAGGGCGTCCCGCCGGGCGTCGCGGGGCCTAAATGAACATGGGAACCTGCGCTGGGGAAGGCCCGCCAGGCCCTGCTGGCCCAGGAGGCCCGGATTACAGCCCAGTCTGCGTCGCTGCGGGCAGAAGACCGCGTTCATTACCGGTGCCCCTCGTCCCCACCCACTTCTCTCTCTTTCTGGGTCTCCAGACAACCTTCCCGGAAGCTGCAGCTACTTCTTCTGACTTGGACTGGGGGTAGGGTAGGGTAGGGGGCGCTTTCTGCCACCCCTTTCCCCCATCCCAAGGAAACCGAGGCCAGTATGGACGGGGCCTTGCTCCACTGAACAGGAAGCGACACCCTGAAACTTTTGCTTGAGCAAGTGAGGTTTGGATGGGACCGAGAGGGACCTCCGCAGCTTCTCCCCTCCTCCCCACCCACTCCTTACAGTTCTTTTACACACCCTGTTCCTGGGCCCTACCTCAGGGCCTTTGCACGAGCTCTGGGCTCCAACAGGCCAGAGACCTCTATTCCTCACTAATTGACCTTAGGCAAATTCCTTAACCTCTCTGAGCATCCATTTTCTTGGCTGTAAGATGGGCTCAGAATAAGATGTTTGAGGGTTCAAGGTGATGACCAATACAGAGCACAGGACCAGGCACTTAGGGCAGAGCAAAGGACATGCGTTGGGCCAGGGCAGTTGTGGGGATTATACAGACGCTTCCCTCGCCTGGGGTCCCTCCACTCTCTCCAGGGAGCCTCTTCACCTTCCACCCACCCGCAGTCCTCAATGGCTGACTTTCACTTGGTACGATTCCCTGCCCCAATCCCTGCTGTGAGGACCATCCGGTGGAAATAGAAAGAGGGCCAGGTCTGAAGGCTGGAGAGCTGGGTTCAAATTCTGGCCAGTTCTGTCTGGCTGTGTGATTATGTGCAAGTTGCTAGGCCTCTCTGTGCCTGAACTTTTTTCTCTGTGAAACTGAGGCAGAAGGCTGCCTGGCCTGCATCTCAGGGCCCTCAGAGGATGAAGCAGAGCGCGGTGGGATGTCATTCCAAGCAGTGAAAAGCCTCAGACAGAAGCATGTCGCCACTGTCATTTACACCCGTCCTTGCAGCATGGATTCAGGCTTGAGGAATCAGCTTGTCAACCCCATCAGAGAGGTCCCTGCCTCCTGTGCTAATGGGAGGTGGCTGGAAGGCCACTTCCAAGAAATTTGCAGCTTGATGGGCTCTACCACTCACATGTAGCCTTGGACATCAGTTCCAACAAGGAGGGTACTTGAGGCACGGTGACAGCCCCAAAAGGGAGTGTCCTGGGAAAAGAAGCAATGTGTACTTCTCCAATGAGTAAGGCCTTGGCCAGGGACCATGGTGCGACCTTCCTCAACCCTGCCACCCGGCACCGACATTGACTCTCCCTCACCCCACATACTCCCTCCTGGGCACCAGCCCCCGAAAGGACCCAATGTAGTGGCTCCATCCAGATCTCCCATGCCCCTGTATCAAAGCTGCCATCTTTCCCCCAAGTTCACTGCTCCTCAGTTACTGACGCCATCACCCACCCGATTCTTCAAGCCGCAGGCTCATGGTCCACTGGTTTTCTCAAGACAGAAGCACTGACATTGATTTTGCTATATGCGTACTGTAAAACCACAGACGATATAAAACATGTGCATTGGAGAATGAAAGTTCCCTCATTATATGCCCTCCTGAAATCGCCACATTTCACAGTTTGGTGAATTCCTGTATCAGTTTAAACTCTGTGTTACAACAGACAGAAAATCCAACCAAGATAGGAAATAATGGGCTCATGTAAGGAAATGATGCAGAGGTGATAGTGGGTTTCAGGCATGGTTTGATCCAGAGGCTCATGATGCTGTTGGGGCTCTGTCTTGGCTTCTCTGCAGTTCCCGTCCCTTTGCCTTCCTAACAGTATCAGCTGGGCCCATTCAGGGTGGTGCAGTGACTGCTGGGGTCCCAGAGAGTCTGTCCTCAACACTGCACCATCAGGCACAAGATGGATTCATTTGCTCCTGAGGATAAGTGAGGAAATCTGTTTCTCAGAGGTGCGCTCATCCACTCTGGGGAGGGTCAGAGAAGACTTCCTGGAAGAGGCAAGGCCTAACCTGAGTTGGTGTCTCCTCCTTTACATATGCAAAAGCAAAGTCCCCTTTCACCTTTATGAAACTTGGAGCTCAGAAGTGTTAAGCGATGGGGTTGAAGAGGCTGAAGTGACCGTAGGGCCGTGTGCATGAAAGTCAAAGGCAGATGGGGCTAGGCTGGAGCACCAGGCTGTGTGGCCTCAGGAAAGCAGGACCTGTGGAACAAAGGCACACGAGCCTCCGGATTTATTAGGAGGGATAGGCCCAGCCCCCAAATGCACTCCAGGATTTGTTTATATTATTGTTATTGGAGGCTTTGTCATTATTGCCACTTCAATAGAGCCCTCGGCACAGTGCCAGGCACCCAGCAGGCACTTAGGATGTAACAGCTGGGATCCTGGCCAGGCGTGGTGTCTCACATCTGTAATCCCAGAACTTTGGGAAGCCAAGGCGGGTGGATCACCTGAGGTCAGGAGTTCGAGACCAGCCTGGCCAACATGGCAAAACCCCTTCTCTACCAAAAATATAAAAATTAGCCAGACGTGGTGGCAGATGCCTGTAATCCCAGCTACTCGGGAGGCTGAGGCAGGAGAATCACTTGAACCTGGGAGGAAGAGGTTGCAGTGAGCTGAGATTGCGCCATTGCACTTCAGCCTCGGCGACAAAAGTGGAACTCCGTCAAAAAAAAAAAAAAAAGCTGGGATCCTGATTTTCATCCCCAGCTCCCTGGGGCAGAGCAGGCTGTGGCTGGGCCCACCTGAAACCCACCCCTCCGGAGGAATGACAACCTTCACCATTAATGAGCAGACAAAATGTGCCATGGGACAGGCTCAGGCAGAGCCAGTCTCCCTGGCAGCGTCCTTCCTGCACATCCCCTCACTCTCCACCCCCACCTCCCAGAGGGAGGGGGATTTCCAGGCTGGGGTAAGTCCTCCTGCTCCCTCCATCCATCTGATCCTGGCTATGCGTCTGGCTGTCCGGCCATCCTTCTTCTTCCCTGGCAGACAAGCCATTAAGCACCGGTCCCCCAAAGCACCGGCCTGCAGCCTCAGCACCAAGTGCATTTGCTGCCATTAGCAAGAAGCCCCGGCCAGGCTAGTCTGGTTTAATGCACAGCCCACTTCATCCCTACTCCCTGGGGACTGCTTGTCAAAACTCCATCCATTGAGGAATAACAGAGCCTGAGAAGAAAAGATGGGGGCTCCAGGACCCAACATGGACAGTCGTGTAGGTTGCTCACTGCACAAGTGGAGCTGCAATGCAGCCAGTCCTCCACTTGCCAGGCTGAGGGCCCTGGCACAGGCTGCATTCTGCACATGAGGCGGTGCCCTTTTCTAATCCCTTCCAAGGTGCTATAGGGGAAGCACCATGGCCTATGGGGTTGTGGGAAGAAACTACCTGAGAACTCGCGGCACCACATCTGTTTTTTTTTTTTTTTTGAGACAGAGTCTTGCTCTGTCAGCCAGGCTGGAATGCAATGGCACGATCTCAGCTCACTGCAACATCCGCCTCCCAGGTTCAAGCGATTCTCATGCCTCAGCCTCCCAAGTAGCTGGGATTATAGGCGTGCACCACCACACCTGACTAATTTTGTATTTTTAGTAAAGATGGAGTTTCACCATGTTGTCCAGGCTGGTCTCAAACTCCTGACCTCAGGTGATCCACCCGCCTCGGCCTCCCAAAGTGCTGGGATTACAGGCATGAGCCACCGCGCCTGGCCGCTACATCATTTTTTTTCAAGTTGCATTTTAATTAAATTCCTTTTGGAGAACAGTTCTATGAATTTTATCTCAAGCATCAATTTGTGTAACCACCATCACTATCAGCATCCAAAACAGTTCTATCACCTGAAGAGGCTTCCTCTTCCTATCTTTTTGTAGCCATGCCCTGGCCTCACCCCTAACCCCTGGCAACCACTGATCTCCATCTCTATATTTTGACTTTTGGAGGGTGTCATATAAATGGAATTGTGTAGTGTGTGATCTTTTAAGATTGGCTATTTTTTTCACTCAGCGTTATGGTCTTGAGCTCTGTCCAAGGTTTTGCCTCTATCAATTCTTGGCTCCTCTTTATTACAGAGTGATAGTCCACGGTATGGATGGACCACAGTTTGTTTATCCATTCATCCACTGAAGGGCATTTGCATTGTTTCCAGGCTATTACAAATAACACTTCTATGAACATTCGTGTATATGTCTTTTCATGGACCTAAGTTTTCATTTCTATGGGATAAATGTCCAGGAGTAGGATGGTTACATCATACTATATGAATACATTTCACTTTTTAAGAACATGCCAAACTGTTTTCCAAAGTGGCTGTATCATTTTGCATCCTCACCAGCAATATACGAGAGTTCAAGTTGCTCTGCAAACTTGTCAACCAGTATTTTTTTTAGCCATCTAAGGAGGTGGGGAGTGATATCCCATTGTGATTTTGACTTATATTTCCTTGGTGGCTAATAATGGTTGAGCACCTTTTCATAGGTTCAGTTGTCATCCCTGTATCTTCTCTGATGGAGTGTCTGTATGAGTCTTTTTTTCCACTTTTAATTAGTTATTTTTTTTTAACTGTTGAGTTGTTAGAGTTCTTTATAGTTTCTGGATACAAGTCTTTTGTCAGAGATGTGATGTGCAAATATTTTTTCATAGTTCATTCTCTTATCAGTGTCTTTCTTAGAGCAAAAGTTGTAAATTTTTATGAGATGAAATTTATCATTTTTTTCCTTTATGGATTAGGCTCCATTGTCATATCTAGGAACTCTTTGCCTAATGCCAAGTCCCAAATTTTTTTGTGTGTTGTTTTGAGACATAATCTTGTTCTGTTGACCAGGCTGGAGTGCAGTAGGCAATCTCGGCTCACCACAACCTCCACCTCCCAGGCTCAAGTGATCCTCCCACCTCAGCCTCCCGAGAAGCTGGGACTATAGGTATGCACCACCAAATCCAGCTAATTTTTGGGAGAGATGGTGTCTCACTATAGACCCCATCTCTTTAGTATTTTTTTAGTAGAGATGGGCCTCACCATATTGCCCAGGCTGGTCTTAAACTCCTGGGCTCAAGCGATCCTCCCAAACCAGCCTCCCAAAATGCTGGGATTATAGGCATGAACCACTGTGCCCAGCCCCAAAGATCTTTTCCTAGGTTTCCTTCTAAAAGTTCTTTACAGTTATAGATCTTATGTTTAGATCTATGATCCACTATGAGTAGATCTTTGTATATGGTGTGAGGTAAAGGCCAAGATTCATATTTTGCATATGAGTGTCCAATTATCCCTCAGTATTTATTAAATGAAGAAATGAAAAGCACAAAGGATCTGATAGCAAGGCTGGCAAAATGAAGGAGGTCAAGACTGTGTAGTAATCAATGAATAAAGAAAACTTTTTTTCAACATACGAAGTTTCAACAAATGATGAACAATTGGATATCTTGTGTGTGTGTGTGTGTGTGTGTGTGTGTGTGACAGAGTCTCACTCTGTTGCCTAGGCTGGAGTGCAGCAGTGCGATCTCAGCTCACTACCACCTCCACCTTCTGGGTTCAAGCGATTCTTGTGCCTCAGCCTCCCGAGTAGCTGGGATTACAGGCATGCACCACCTTGCCTAGCTAATTTTTGTATTTTTAGTGGAGACAGGGTTTCACCATGTTGGCCAGGCTGGTCTCAATCTCCTGACCTCAAGTGATTTGCCCACCATGGCTTCTCAAAGTGTTGGGATTATAGGTGTGACCCACCATGCCCAGCCAGATTTTTTTTTTTTTTCTCTGATGCAGTGTCTCTTTCTCTCTCACCCAGGCTGGAGTGCAAACAATCATGGCTCACTGCACCTCAGCCTCTCAAGTAGCTCAGACTTCAGGCATGTGCCACCACACCCGGCTACTTTTTAAATGTTTTGTAGACACGGGGTCTCACTTTGTTGCCCAGACTGGTCTCAAACTCCTGGGCTCAAGTGATCCTCCTGCCTCAACCTCCCAAAGTGCTGGGATTACAGGTATGAGCCACCGCACCCAGCTTGGACATCTACTTTTTAAAAAATGCACTAAGTGCATTTGCTGCCATTAGCAAGAAGCCCCGGCCTGACTAGTTTGGTCTAATGCACAGCCCACCTCATCCCTACTCCCTGGGGACTGCTTGTCAAAACACCATCCATTGAGGAATAATAGAGCCTGAGAAGAAAAGATGGGGGCTTCAGGACCAACATGGACAGTCGTGTAGTTTGCTCACTGCACAAGTGGAGCTGCAATTCAAATCTCATATCTTATACCGAAATTATCTTGCTCCTTTCAGATTAGAGGAGGGTCAAAAATTAATAATAATTAACTAGCAGACTGGAGATGGTGGCTCATGCCTGTAACCCCAACATGTTGGAAGTTCAAGGTGGGAGGATCTCTTGAGCCCAGGAGTTTGAGACCAGCCTGGGCAATGAAGCAAGACTCCATCACTACAAAAATTACAAACATTAGCCAGGTGTGGTGGTGTATGCCAGTAGTTCCAGTTATTCAGGGGGCTGAGATGGGAGGATTGCCTGAGCCTGGGAGGGGGTTGAGGCTGCAGTGAGCTGTGATTGTGCCACTGAATTTCAGCCTGGGCAACAGAACAAGACCCTGTCTCAAAATAGAATAATAATAATAATAATAAGCTAGTAATGGATCATAGATTTAAATGTAAAATATAAAGACAGAGAGCAACCAGGTCTGTATCACGTGGGATTCTCAGCCTGGCCCCACTGTTGGATGATGCAGAAGCAGTGAGGATTATGGAAGCTCAAGGGACAAAGTCACGTGGGCACCTTCTGTGTGGTCACACCTGACCTGTCCCTGAGTTTAAGGATGGAAGGGAGGGAAGTAACATTTTTCAAGTGTGATCTCTGCACTGCAACCTCCACTAAGTGAGTTCTTAGCTTCGTCTCATTTAATCCTAATACAAATCAATACACTTTTGGAGGTTGGAGTTTTTATCCTGGCTCTATGAGTGAGAAAATTGAGTTCAGAGAGGTTAAGGAACCTGTCTGGGGTCACATAGTAAATGGGGGAGCAGGGCTTGGACCCAAGGTATTCACCTCTGCTAGAGGCAGACGGGGGACAGTCAGGCCAAGCTGATGACTGGACCTGCATTGTTGCCCACCTGGTTTTAGGCCCTTGGTCAAGGTGGGTGTGGGGCATGGGAGCCTTTTTTCCAATATTCTGGGGCGATCTGAGGCCTCCATTTTCCCAAGAGCCTCAGCTCAGTCCCCTTCTTGATGAGGCCTCCTCCGGGGTGGCTGTTGTTCTTAGGAACTCACCAAACCCATCCCCAACAGTGGGGCACCATCCCAGGCCTGACAAGGGTGGATGCGTTGATGTCCTGGTGTCAAACCCTCCTGGATGTATAGAAATAAGCAGAAGGACACGCCCCAGACCTGGGCCGACCTGTGTCCATCCCTGCCTCCTGTGACTCGCCAGCCGCTGCAGCCGACTGACCTTCTCTAAACTCCTTTTGCATTCCCACTCCCACACCGTTGCCCAGGCTGGAGCCTCCTCCCAGGATCCCTTCTCCACCTCCTCTCCCTTCTTCAAATGCGGCCGCTGTTTCAGCATTCAGCTCAAGTCATGCCTTTCCCAGCAGCTCCCACGAGCTCTCTCTCTTCTGAACTCCTGCAGCTGATAAATACGGTCTAGTCCCCCATGGTCTCAAAAGCTGGTGTTTGCCAGCATAGCCTTCTAGAGAGGCATGGACCTTCTAGAGCCTTCTAGATGCTCCCAGAGAGGCATCTCCAGCAGTCTCATGACCAAACAGCTTGGGAGTGTTCCAAGGGTAGGAGCTGAGTTTTAAGCCCCTCTCTGCTTGGCACAGGGAAAGCTGGTTCCAGCCCATGGCTCAGGATCTGAGAGCCCAGTCTGCCATTTCTTTGCTGCGTGCTCAGTGCCTGGCACAAAAACTGCTCGATCAAGGGCAATAGTTGCTGCTGTGGTTTTCACGGTTATTATTTTTATTATCAAGATGATTTCTGGAACCGTGTATGGAAAGTGGGAGGGTCCAAAGTCCTCCTCGAGTAGGAAGCCTCCCCTCCTGGCCACTCCACTCCCCCACTCCTGAGGCATGCCCACCTTTCCTTCCTGGTGACCTGCTGCTCCCAGCTGCTCCTCCAGCCTCCCCAGCATGGCTGCAGGCTCCTGTAGGGGATCGGGGTGGGTGGGGACAGAGGCGGGCTTTTAATTCTTCTTCCGCCACTCAGAGCCTTGAATTGACCCTCAGTGTGACACTTAAGGGGCCCCAGGGATGCCCGGATCAGCAGAGGGGAGTGGGCTCTTGCCTAATGGAGTCCACCCAGGGCCCAGGCCTCCTGCAGCCTGATTAGATTTTATGATCCCAAAGGAGCTGCCCTGGATCCCTGCTCACCTTCAAGCCTCATCAGCACCAGGCCCTGTCCATTGTGAATTTCAAACACAGCCTCTGCTGACACAACCTCCACCCCGGACCGCTCCCGCAACCGCGTACCACCCCCTCTACCCCGCCCCCCCAAAGCCACACGGTCCTGCCCTGTCACCAGGCCGCCACCCTCTCCAACCTAGGTGCTGCCAGGCCTCTGCCCCTCCCAACTCTCCTCCCCGCCCACCTTTGCCCAATAGCTGGGGATCCATTTCTAGAACACAAATCTGGTTGTACCCCCACCTCCCACCCCTCAGACTCCTGCTACTTTCAGCAGAGGGTGGGGGTTGGGGGGCTTCTCTTGACTTTCATGTATAATTATCACCAGGGGAAACTCTTAAAGATAGCACCTTATCCTTATCGGAGCATGGCCTCCTGGGTAGGGCCCAGGAATCTGCATTTCACAAGTCTCCCTTCAGGCTGGGGGACTGTGGCCACGTTCTGTGGACCAGTTCACGTTCTGGTGGAAAACGCTGAAGAGACAAGAATAAAAATGAGAGCCTGGCAAGAGTTCTTTAGCCAGCAGCGTCCTAGCTGCTTCTCTGACTTGGAAACATCTAGACCTTTTCTACCTGGACCTCCATTTCTACTCTTGCCCAGGGCCCACACGTCAGGGGTGGGCCTGCTTGGAGCCAGCTCTTTAATCTCTCATCTGCAGGATAAGGTGCAGGGCGCTCAGCTTGGTGAGTGAAACCCACTCACTTGGGGCCTGGCTCCCTCTTTGGCTCCTACTGAACGCCTCCCTCCTCCACATCAACCCCAGCACTCAGCCTATGGTATTTGAATGTTTTGGGCAGGTTCTTGCCTCTGTGCCTTTGCACATGTTCCCTCTGCCTAGAACATTCTTCTTCCACGTATTCCCTTGGGGAACTCCTATTCCTCCCTCAAAACCCAACTTAGATATCATGATTCTTCAGGGCCCGTTTGTTCCCTCACCCCATTCTCTGCCTGCATGGACCCTGCTTCGTTATAATTATTTCATCCTGCTTCTTCTCTGCAGGCAGCTTATCAGCTTTACCATGATGATTTTAGAATGAGGAGATCTGGCTTTGCCTCCGGCCTTTATACTTTCCAGGGCTCTGAACTTGGGTGTTATCTACCCACCTGTCTAAAGCCTTTTTGTTCGTGATAAAATGGGGACTTAAAGTATTGCCCACTGCGTTGTGTTACCTTGACATTGAGACAAGATCTCACACGTGAAGGGCTCAGCACAGCATGTGGCACGGAGTCACAGCACTGGTTATTTCTTTTCTTTTTTCTTTCTTTCTTTCTTTCTTTCTTTCTTTTTTTTTTTTTTTTTGATACAGAGTCTCGCTCTGTCGCCCAGGTTGGGGTGCAGTGACATGATCTCATTTCACTTCAACTTCCGCCTCCTGGGTTCAGGCAATTCTCCCGCCTCAGCCTCCCCAGTAGCTGGGACTACAGGCACGAGCCACCACGCCTGGCTAATTTTTGTATTTTTAGTAGAGACGGGGTTTCACCATGTTGGCCATGGTGGTCTCAAACTTCTGACTTCAAGTGACCCGCCTGTCTCGGCCTCCCTAAGTGCTGGGATTATAGGCATGAGCCACCGCACCCAGCCAGTACTGGTTATTTCAACGTCTTTCCTGTGGGCAGGCAAGCTCTGTGAGGCCGGGGAGGGCATTTTCTTCATCTTGGGATTCATGGAGTCCAGGGTGGGGCATTTCCCAGGGTGGACCCCAGGAGGACAGATCTGTGGGTGGCTCCGGGCTCTGCTGCTCTGCCCCTTCCCTGGAAACTGTCCCCACTCTGAGTGCCATTGTTGGCTGTGCTGTGGGGATAGGGCCTCATGTCCCTCGGGGGGGGTCTCCATCTGGAGGGAAGGAAGCCAGTGGGGCCCACGGGGTGAAGGGGCAGGGTTGGGGGCACAGTCAGGACAGAGGGGCTTTGACCTTCAGAGCACCGTTGGCAGAACTTGGGGCCTTTCCAAGGGGGGCTGCCTCCATTCCGTCCCCTAAGGACCTGCCCAGCATGGGGGGAGCAGGGCAGGGTGCCCGGGAGGCATGAGGACTGGCCCCAGCTGCAGCACTCGGCGAGAATCTCTTGATCTCTCGGCTGCACTGAGAGGCGGAGGCAGCCGGGCCCTGGAGATGGTCTCCATGACAACCGCTGCCACTCACTCCCCATCTCGGATGTAAATTAGTTACAATTTTATTAGTGTGCAGAATTTCAAGAGGCCAGATCCTGTCTTGGAAGGGAAAAGGATGGCGCGGGGGGACAGAGGAGAGTTTCCGAAGCTTCACACCCCCGCAGGGACCCCAAACTCCAAGGTAGATCCATGGACAGTGAATTGGGCTGCACGCCCTCATTCGTCAGCCCTGGTCAGGCTCTCTGGAGAGGAGGAAACACACAACACAGGCCCGTCCCCACTCTTCTGGCCGCCTCCTCACAGCAGCCTGGGAGCATTCCCTCCACAGCAGACAGGGAGGCGGCTGAGAGCCGTGGGGGTCATTAGCTGGTACAAGGGCACGCAACTCGCCAGGAGCCAGACACTGGCTCTCCCCCTCTGCCCAGCAGACCCCCAAGGTTGGTTAAGGTTCACTGAAACACTGCTGAGCACCACATACGCAGGCAAGGGCATCCCCCAGGGGCTTGGGCATCTGGACAAACATCAGGCCCTGGGTGCCAAGAGTCAGCATGTAGAGCCACTATCCTGTGGCCGGAGGTCATGTGTTTGTCCCCTCTAGCACTGGGCAAAGACGGCTGGGAGGATGGATGAAAAGATAAAAGATAGATGGAGGATGGATGGGAGGATAGATGGAGGATGGATGGAGGATGACTTAGAAGATGAATGAAAAAATGGATGGAGGATGGATGGGAGAATGGATGGGAGGATGGTTGAAGGATGAATGAAAAGATGGATGGAAGGATGAATGGGAGGACAAATGGAAAGATAGAATGGATGGGAGGATGGGTGAAAAGATGGATGAGAGGATGAATGAAGAATAAGATGGAGGGAGAATGGATGGGAGGATGAATGGAGAATGGATGGAGGATAGACAGGAGGATGGATGGGAGGATGGATAGAGGGTGGGCAGAGGAATAGATGAAAGATGAATGGAAAGAAGGATGGGAGGATTGATGGGAGGATGGATGGGTGAATGAATGGAAGATGGATGGAGATGGGTGAAAGATGGATGGAGAATGGCTGGGAGGATGAATGAAAAGACGAGTGGAGAATGAATGGGAGGGTGGTTGAAGGATGAAAGGAAAGATGGATGGGAAGATGCATGGGAGGACGGACAGAAAGATGGATGGGAGAAAGGATGGAAGATGGATGGAAAAAATGGATGAGAGGATGGATGGAGAATGGATGGAGGATGGATGGGAAGGTGGAAGGAAGATGAATGGAGGATGAAGAGAGGATGGATGAAAAGATGGATGGAGAATGAATGGGAGAATGGATAGGAGAATGGTTGAAGGATGGATGGACAGAGGAATGAATGAGAGGATGGATGAGAAGGTGGAAGGAGGATGGATGGAGGATGAACAGAGGATAGATGAAGGATGGATGGAGGATGGCTGGGAGGATGGATGAAAAGTTAGATGGAGAATGAATGGGAGGATGGTTGAAGGATGGATGGGAGGATGCATGGGAGGATAGACAGAGGAATGGATGAGAGGATGGATGGAAAGACAGATGGGGATGGACAGAGGAATGGATGGGAGGATAGATGGAAAGATGGATGGCAGGACGGATGGAGAATGGATTGAGGATAGATAGAAGAATGAATGGGAGGATAAATGGCAGGGTGAACAGAGGAATAAATGGAAGATGGATGAAAAGATGGATAAGAGAATGGGAGGATGGATGAGAGGATGAATGAAGGATGGGTGAAGGATGGATGAAGTGTGGATGGAGGACGGCTGGGAGGATGGGTGAAGAGATTAATGGGGGATGGATGAGAGAATGGATGAGATGATGGATGAAGGATAAAGGGAAAGATGGATAGAAGATGAATGAAGGATGGATGAGAGGATGGATGGTAGATGGATAATGGATGGGGGATGGATGGAAGGATGGTTGAGAGGATGATTGGAGGATGGATGGGACGGTGAATGAAGGATGGATGGGATCATGGAGGGAGAATTGATAGATGGGAAAATGGATGGATGGGAGAATGGATAGGATGATGGAGGGAGGATGGATGGGAGGACAGCTGAAGGATGGATAGAAAGATGGATGGGAGAATGAATGAAGAATGGATTAAAAGATGGATGGGAGGATGGATGGAGGATGGATAGAAAGATGGATAAAAAGATGGATGGGTGGAAGGATGGAAGATGGATGAAAAGATGAAGGGTGGATGGATGGGAGAATGGAAAAAGAGAGAATTAATGGAAGGATGAATGGGAGGATGGACAGGTGGATGGATGGAAAAATGAATGGGAAGATGGATAGGAAAATGTATGGGAGAATAAATGAAGCATAGATGGGAGAATGGATAAAGGATACATGGGATAATAAATGGGAGAATGGATGGGAAGACGGATGGAAGGATGAATGGGAAGATGGATGGAAGGATGGATGGGATGATGAATGAAGGATGGATGGGTGAATGCATGAAAAGATGGATGGTAGGATGGGTGAAGAATTGATGGAAAGATGGATGGAAGGATGGAGGATGGATGGGAAGATGAAGGGAAGATGAATGAAGGATAGACGGGAGAATGGATGAGATCATGGACAGAGGAATAAATAGGAGGATGGATGGAAAGATGAATGGGAGGATGGATAGGAGGATGTATGGGAAAATGAATGAAGAGTGGATGGGAGGATGGATGGAAAGATGGATGAGAGGATAAATGAAGGATAAGTGGGAGGATGGATGGAAGGGAGGATGGGGAATGACTGGGAGGATGAATAGAGAATGTATGGAAAGATGGGTGGGAGGATGGATGGAGGATGGATGGGAGGCTGAAATGGGAAGGTCGACGGAGGATAGATGGGAAAATAGATAGGATTGATGGAAGGATGGATGGGGGATGAGTGGAGGATGGATGGAGGTTGGTTGAGGGATGAATGGAGGATGACCGAGGGGATAAATGGAAAGATGGATGGAGGATGAGTGGGGGACGAATAGGAGGATGGATGGAGGATGAGTGGGGGTTAAATAGAAGGATGGATGGGAGGATGGATGGGTAGATGGATGATGGTCGGGTAGTTGGATGATGGATAAGGGGATGGTTGAAGGATGGATGGAAAGATGGATGGGAGGAAGAATAGGAGGGTGGATGGGAGCATGAATGAAGGATGGATGATAGGATGAATGGACGATGGATGGGAGGGTGGATGGTAGGATGGATGAAGTATGGATGGGAGAATGGGTGGGTCGATGGGCAGGAAGAATGGATGAGAGGCTGTTTCAGACAGTTATACCCATGTGCTACAGTGACAGACCAGACTAGGATTCAAATCCCAGCTATTCCATATGATAATAGTGTCATCTTGCATAAGTGTTGTAACCCCACTGAGCCTCAGTTTTCTTGGGTGGGAGGACAGACAGGAGGATATGCAGATGGAATGATTAAGTGAGTACTCTAATACCTGTAGAATACTTAGGACAGGCCCTGACACACAGTCAGTGCTTAATAAATGTTCACTCAATGATTGCATCCCACATTCTGAACTCAGCCTTGGGGACGTGTGTGAGGAGTGAGGTGCTGGGGCTGCCCTTGGGGACTCAGTGTCCGCTGAGCAAAATGATCAGTCCTGATTCAGGGCCCCTTGGGATGGTCAGGGAAAGGGCCCCATGGGTGGCCTGAGTTGGAAGGGAGGAAGCGGGGAATGATCACGAATCTGTATTGGCCAGGCCCAGGGTCAAGGTGTTGGCAGCCACAGAATACTCAGGGGACCAGGAAGAGGTCCTGGCCGGCCCTGAGGGGCATCAGGGCTGGAGGCCTGGAGACCAGAGGAAAGCCAGGGGAGGGCGGGAACAAATGTGGCAGGGATCAAAGGGGAGAAGAAAGAAATGGGTCATTTGGATTTGGCCCCCAGCAGCAGCTGGGGATTTCTGAAAGAGCCGTTTAGTGGTGGTGGGGCTGGGAGGCCATCGGCCGAGGACCGCAGTGAGGGCTGGGCAAGGGGGCAGAGAGTGGTTCACACCACGGTAGCTGCTTTCAAACACCAGAGCGGCCACTCTGACAGTTCTCTCCCTTGCTCAGGCAGAACCAGGGCCCGCCCCCTACCCCGTGTGCATTTCCAGGCCTGCCCTGGGCGAGAAGGCTCCTCCGGTTCACAATGTGCGCAATGACAAACTGCGGGCTCTGGTTGGATTCTGACAGTCTGAGCCCCATTCGGGTGGACGGGAACACAGAGGCCTCTCCTCCCCAGGAGGGAGCTGGCCAGGGGGACAGCCTTTCCCAGCAGGCCTGGAGAACCACAAACCAGGTGGTGGGCCTCTTCCTGCGGTGGCCCACACTCTCAGGATGTGAGAGATGAAAGTATGAAGGATCTGAAGCGGGGGCTCTGTGTCCAGGGAACTGCCAATTTGTCATTTGATTGTGCCCAACAGCCCCCAGGTGATCCTGTCCTGAAGTCCTTTGATGCTATAGCCAGGGCAGGGCCCCTCTTGAACGCCTCGTGTCTGCTTCTGAGGCCCCAGGGAAGGTGGCAGGCTCCCCGAGGGTCATCTGAGCTCAGCTTCTGGTCCTCTGTGAGGCAGAGCTGCCTGGGGACCCCTTGCCCACCTGGCATCCTGAGGTGACAGCTCCGGCTGGCTTGCCCCTCGCTTCCCTCCCCTACGTTACAACTTGCCATATTTTGTGGCCCGAGGGCTGAGAATTCCAACAGGCAAGAGCAGGGATGGGACCGCCCACCCAGTTCCAGTCGTGTGTCTTACTAATTATGCCACACACCGGAAAACTTAATTAAATCGATGCTTGGTGTGTAATTTCAACTAGTTTGGAAGTCAGGGGAAATCAAACAAACAGCCGCATGGCCCAGCCAGCCCCCGTCACCTTGGCAAAATCCCGCTGGGTCCCGGGTGCTGGGGTCCCGCCCTGTTCGGCTGTGGTGAAAATGCCTCCTTCTCTCAGGGTCCCCAGAGGAAACCCCTGGTCCCTCCACTCCGCAGCCTCAATTACAAACACGCACACACATATGCCCCACAGACATGCACATGCACACACACACACACGTGCACACACACACACAGCAGGAGTTGCAGGAGGAAGCCAGGCAGCCAGCGGGGACCCAGGAGGGTGGGAACACCCCAAGAACCAGGGCTGGTTTTCTTTCTTGCATTAAATGTTTATGCAGACAGCAGGAGAAATACACAAGGAAAGGCCAGGCGTCCCGAACGCAAGTCCAGCGCCTGAGCTTCCTGAGCTTCCTGGCATTCATTTCCAAGTCTCTCTTGGGCCCTCCCCCTCCTTCTCTCTGTTCCTCTTTGGGACACACCTGTGCTCTATGTTCTGCATGGAGGGGGACCTCAGCCACAGGCAGTCCTTGTCCCACAGGGGCCCAGGAAGAGCGTCCCGGTAGACAGCAGTGGCAGAGGGAGACCCCAGAGGTACAGAGGCGGAGGGGACAGGAAGCCACTGCTGGGCTGGACCTGGGCGTCCTCTAGCTCATCCCAGTGTGGGGTTTTGAACTGTGTACTCTGTCAGCAAAGAGAATTTGGAGATAAACAGAAGAGGGGCTCCAAGGCAGTGGGAGAAGCTCAAGTGAACATTTACTCAACAGCCTCCACCACCAGAATCTTTCTCCGGGGCTGAAGACGTGTGGGGTGGCACATAGCGTCACACAGGACAGACAGGCCCTGCGGAGGAGATGCGGTACCGTGAGACGCGAGGGAGCACACGGACGTCAGGAGAAGCCTGTGGCTTCCCACTCCCCTTAGAATAGTCCCCAGAGGCCACCCCTAGTTTGCGGGTGAGGAAACTGAGGCCCAGAGACCTGAGTCAGTGCGTGGCATACATTGAAGCAAATTTGAAGAGGCTCAGCCTCGGTGGGTGGCTGCGTGCTGGTGAATTGTGACTGAGGGGGCACACAGGGACAGGGACGGTGCTCAGGGCAGGCCTCTCGGGGGGTTTTGAGCTGGGGCCCAATGGACCAAGTGTTGGCTCTGGGCCGGGCACGGGGCTTTTTTTGGCAGGCGTCTCACTTCTGGGTAGCCTGCCCGTGGCTGCATTCTAGAGACCAGGAGACTGAGGCCCACAGAGCTTACGAGGCAGCCTGCGTTCTCAGGGTTGGGGAGAGTAGCCAGGGGCTCGGACCTCGCCGTGCCACACTCGCCCGTCCACCATGCCGCCCTGTTCTCACAAGGCCATGGCGCTCCCAGCACACAGGAGGAGCCCAGATGGGAAAGGGCTGGAGCATGAACGTGACGAGGCCTTGCCTTCGGAGGGGTGAAGGTCATCCCAGGGTCCCCCGGCCCCCCTGCGCACTCCCAGAGGGACGGCCCTGCAAGCGGTGGCCACCCGGACCTTGCAGGGGTGAGGCCCCAGGCTGCCGAGGAACGAAGGAGGGGCTGCTCTCGCTTCCCACGTTCCCGGGCCCTGGGTCCCTCAGCCTCCCGGTGGCCCCGCTACCCAGCTCTCACTGACACCAGCTCAGGAGCAAGCAGGAGACTACCCGGTGACCTGCCAGGTTCAGGCCTGGGCTCCAACCCTGCGGGCCACTCCCGGCCTGGCCACCCCACCGCATCTCCAAGCCCCATCTCCCTCTTGGGGACCGTGTCTCTGGGTTTTGTGAGGCTGAATTCTTCTCAGCTCTCAGGTGTTAAGACCATCTCCTCCAAGAGGCCTCCCTGAGCCCCGGCCCCCACGATGATCCTGCTGGCATTCTCTCTCCTCCTCAGGCGGCTCTGGGTTTCTTCCTGTCTAGGTGGAATGGGCTACTTCCTGCCATGCTGTCCCTCTACTCCCAGGATCCAAGGCAGACCGGAGACTGGCCAGTAGATGCAGGTGACTCCAGGGGACAATCCGGGTCCCTTCTCCTCCGGGGTGCTCGAGTCCTGAATTGACTTGGAATGTCCGGGCCCAGCCCCTGCTCTGGGCCCTGCTAGGTCACTGGTGGGTCTTCTCCAAGGAGCCGGGCCCTAGCCTAGGCCCACCCTTCCAGTGACCCCAACAAAAGGAGGGTGGGGGCCTCTGTCTGGAGCGGGCCTGGAAGGGGAACCCACTGCTCAACCCTGACAGCCCCTGCCACACTCCCCAGGATCCAGTAGTGGGGCAAGGGGGTGGGAGGGGCACGGGGATGGGAGGAGACCAGCGTAGGTGCTGAGTCTCTTGGTGGTCTGTGCCTCAGAGCCCCAGAGACACTTCACCCCTCCCTGCCCCCCTTTCTCCTGCCCTCCCTCCCTCCCTTCTTCCTCCCTCCTCCCTGTCCTGCCCTCTTCCTTCTCCTCCCCCCTTCTCCCTCCCCCTCCTTATCTCCCTCTTTCCCTCCTTCTCTCCCTCCCTCCCTCTCCCTTCTCCCTCCCACCTTCCCTCCCTCATCTCCCCAACCTCCTCCCCAGCCCTGCCCTTCACAGCTCTGCTCTCCCTGTTCCTGAGGTTCTCTTGGTCCCTGCCTCTCCCCTTTTCTCTCTCCATTTCTTTCCTCCCCACCTCACCCCCATCCAAGAGAGGGGCCGTGGGGGGCAGAGGCTTGCAGTTCCCAAAACAGTCATCTCTCTGCATCTGCACCTCTGCAAAACTGGGCGCTCTGGAAAACTGAGGCTGCCTGAGCCTGAACCTGCAGCCCTGCTCCTCAACTCCTCCCCACGCTCCTCCCTCCTCCCTCCTCCCCACCTCCTCCCTGCTCCCCAACTCCTCCCCACCCTCCTCACTCCTCCCCACCCTCCTCCCTACTCTCCTCCTCTTCTTTCCTGCCCCCTCCCTCCCCCTCCTCCCTCCTTCACCCTCTTCCCTCTCAAGCCAGTATTTTTAGCTCGCTGCTGTGCATTCGTGTGCAGGGTGCTCTCTGATGCCTGGATGAGGTTTTATCTGTCGTGGTAACCCCAAGGGCAGCTGGCAGACTTTTTCCTCTTAAGTTTGGAGCGCACTCCCCTCTTCCCCAGCTCGGGCCTTGGCTGGATTGGGGCAGGTCTCTCGCCTGCCTGGGTCTGGGGCCCGGGCTCTGCGTCCAGGCTGCCCGGCCTCCCCTCCCTGCCGCTGCCTCCTTCGCCTGCTCCCCCTCCTCTTCCTCCTCCTCGGCCTCGGGCCTTTGTCTCTGGAAGACCCGGAGCTGCTGGAGCGCCTGCCCGCGCCGCACCCGGGCTCTGCAGCCTCTCGCCGCCTTCCCCTCCCTTCTCTTCTCATTTAGCCCTTTCCTCGGGCAGCCTCTCTCAAGGCTCCAATCCTTCTGCATTTGTTCCTCGCCTTCCCTGCCTTCCTTTTTCCACCTCCTCCTTTTCTCCCTCCCCCTTTTCTCTCCTCTCCTGACACTGTTCTCCTTGCCTTTAGGGAATGGAAAAAACCCCACAGTTGGAATGTGGGGACCCCAGCTTCTCTCCCCCATCCCATATTTTTCTCTGCCCTCAGCAGCCTCCCCCTGGACAACAGGGTGGGGGGGGGAATCGGGGGGGGCATTGTGAGGGGATTCTGGGGCTGAGGGGTTTCCTGGAGCCCACGTCTCCAAGGCGAGCCTTCTGCAGGGCCCACCCTGACGCCCATGCCTTTCTGGGACTCTCTGGGGTCCAGCCTGGCTCTGGTGGGACCCCCATGTGGCCTGGGCAGGAGCCAGCACAGCTCTTCTCCTTCCCCAGGCTGTCTCTGTCCCTACAACCTGGGTTCTCAGAGATTTCTTCTCAAGGCACCTCCCTCCCTCTTCCCCGATCTGGCACCAACCTGAATTTACCTTTAAGAATATCACTTAAAATAAGCAACCTGTTGTCCTCAGCACTTTACAGCTTGCACATCTCTCTGCTCAGGTCATGGCAACTATGTACCTTGGGCCCTATTTCACTCTCCCTGGTGATAAAGGAGGCACGTGCCCAGCACCTCGGGCGCTGCCATCAGACCCACCTGAACTGGACCCAGGTCTCACCTCACTGAGCCTTCATGCGAGCACCAGGCTGAATACCTTCTTGGGGCTCAGAGACTCAGAGAGGCAGTGTCCTCCGCCCGAGGTCACACAGCCCCAGCTGGTGCAGAGGAGGTGTTTGGGGGCTAAGTGTGAGGAGCTTGCGACCTCGGGGGACTCTACCATCTCCTTTTGGGGCTGGTCTCATGCCTGTCCTCTCCCCAGGTCAGGATGGGGCCGGGACTGAGGGAGCCCCCACTTTGCTTCCTCACCTACTCCTGACCCCCCGGGCTTTTCTGTGGGGCTGACTCGGGATGGTTGGTGGAGAAGGTGCTGCCTGTCCTCCTTGTCCCATCCAAGACCCCCAGCCTCGGTACCCCTCTGTCCACTCCACTCTCTGGGCCCCCTGTTGCAGTCTGGACTCAGCTTTCCTCCTCCTCCCCTCTCCTCTCTCCCTCAGGCCTCTGCTTTCCTGATTCTTCTACCTGGGCTGGCCCCTGGCTGGGCCCCCTCCAACCCCTCTCTTGTCCCTCTCTCCAAGGGCCTCTCCCTGCAGCTGCGGTGCATACCCTGCTCTCTGTGCATTTCCAGCAGTCTTGTGTCACCCAGCCCTCTGCTGCCTGCATCTCCCCCTCTCTCCCTCTCTCTCCTGTCCTGCTGTTTCTGCTCACCCCAACATGGGCACATGCACACACATGCAAAGACACAGAGAGGCACAAGCAGAGGTCGGTGCAGACATGCAGCTCATACACGCAGCTCATACACCCAGCCCATGCAGTTGCTACTGCAGCAGTGGAGGGACAGAGGCTGGCCCCAGGAGGAGGCAGAGGAAGGGGACCCCCTGCCCAGCCCTGATGTCGCCAGGCCTGCAGGCGCCTCATGGTGGGGTGGAGTTCCAGGCTGGGCAGGCTCCCATGGTCCTGTGGCTCCGTCTTCTGAGTCTCAGGGGCAAGAGACAGCCTTGATGGGGCCAAAGCTTCCAGAATTCTGGCAGGACTCCCCAGCATACCTGACCAGTGCTGGTCCCCGGGCAAGGACCTGGAAGTGGGCACAGCCCTAGGGCAGAGGGGTTGGGTCGGGGCAGGGGCAGCAGAGACAGCCACTCACAACAGGATCTGAGGGGGCCAGGCAGCCACAGGGCCTGCACCAGGACCACTGTGTGCACCCTTGGAGGTGACTGAGCCTCCATGCCTGGGTCTAGTGCTGCCATGGACGTGGGGAGCCTCCTCGCCAGAGTTCCTGGGCCCTCTGTCCCCACTGCTCTCTAGGTGCTGGTGGGAGCCTGACAGTCCTGGGTTTGAATCTCGCCCCCTTTCACAAGCTGTGCAACTTTGAGGGGCGACTGACCCCCTCCCCCTCCCTAAGGGGGTGATGCGGCCACCTGCCCTCAGGACCCAGTGGGGCCTCCATATAGCCAGTCGGGGGGGTGGGGACAGCCCAGTGCTTCCAGGTACGGCTGTAGAGTCAGCCCTGGGTTCAAGTCCTGACACTTTCAGTAGAGGAAGGGGGCAGGGCTGGGGGTGAGCCTCCTCGCCCCGTGTGGGCCCGGGCCCTCCCCTGCAGCAGAGTCTGGTCTTGGCAGCCTTTCTCTGGGTTTGCACTGGGGTCAGAGCTGGCACTGGATGTTTCCAGTTTGGGGGGTTCTGTCTTGTGGGGGTCTGAGTGAGTGGGGGGCTGCTGGTATTGGCGCCTCTCGCTGGATGCCCTGGGCTCTCAGCCATTCTGCTGATGTCCGCTGAATGTCGTCGGCCCTGAGTTGGAGTCTGGGCGAATCTCTGGACCCAGGGAGCCTCTGTTTCTTCCTCCAGAAAATGGGGATAACAATAGCACAACCCTCCCGGTGTGAGGCTGCACTTAGATCACCCTGGAATGCTCTGAGCTCAGCAAGTGCTGAGGTTGACATGGGAGTGGGGGTTGTTCGCTGTTTTATCTGCTGGGCAAGGCTTTAGGTATTCAGCCCTTCCCTCTGCCCTCAGCCCACATGAAGTTTCTGCTCCAGGGTCCAGAGCTCAGGGGCCCTGTTCCCCAGTTTTCTGTGCCCAGCAGAAGAGCGGGGGGAACAAAAGGGGGACGGAGCCTGCCCCCTCCCCAGGGCTGGAGGGGGGGGCCTCCCACTGTGAGCAGGGCCCAGCCCCTCCCCAGCTCTGACGCAGACCCCTGGACATTGGGAGGGTGCTCTGCTCCCTCAAAGATCTGGCTTTGCCTCAAGATTGGAAGCCAACCAAGGAGGGAGGGGCAGGGGCTCCGAGGGAGGCAGAGTGTGGGGAGTAAGAGGGTCACCCGCACCTCCATGAGCAGGGGACAGGGTGGGCTGGAAAGACGCAAGGCCACAGGGGCATCCTCAGAGTGCTGTCCCCAAAGTCAGGGTCCGTCTCAGCTCCAGTAGTGAAACCCGTCTTTCTCCTGTCTGCATCCCCTTCCTCCTCATGGTACCTGTACCTCTACTGACTTTATATTTATTTGTTAATTCTCAGGCTCCGCCCAGAAGAGTGTCAGCTCCTTGAGGGAAGGGATGTGGTCTCATTGTCTGCTGCATCCTCAGCACTGGGTAGGGTGCCTGGGACATTGAGGTCTTCACCAACAGCTGTCGGGTGAATGAGTGAGTGAGTCAGTGAGTGGCTTCTGGGGCAGCTGAGGCTTGTGGCTTGAGAACACCAGCTCCACCTGGCCCTTTCTAGATGTGGACAGAGGGCAGACGCTGACCTGCTCGTTGATAGCCAGCCTGGGGGTGGGACAGCCTTCAGGCGTGGCTATGGAGTCAGCCCTGGATTCAAGTCCTGATGCTTTCAGTAGAAAAGGGAGCAGGGCTGGGGGCTCAGCCTCCTCACCCGGTGTGGGCTGGGGCCCTCTTGGGCAACAGGGTCTTGTCTTGGCAGTCTTTCTTGTGGTTTGCATTGGGGTGGGAGCCAGCACTGGATGTGTCAGGTTTAGGGGTCACGGTACCCCAATGTCTTTCTCAAAGCCTCAGGCTGAGGGCCTTGCGGGACCAGTGCCCTCCCTCCTTGCTTTGGTTTCCTTGGCTCAGCCCCTGGCCACTCCCCGGCACTACCAGTAGATCACCGTGTCCTCCCCACTTGCTCTCCCACCACGAGATCCTTTGCATAGGCCGTTCCCTCCGCTGGGCACGCCATTCCCGCTGCTTTCTGCATGGCTGCTCCTGAGACTCCTTCCCTCCCCCGAGGCAGCCCCACCTCCCTGCAGGGCGTGCCCGGTGACTCCCTTCCGCTTTTGCACTTAGCCCAGCCCGCATGCATCTCTCAGGTCACCGTGTTTCTCTTTGCAGGTCACTTGCCTGTCTCCTCCTTGGAAAGTTAGCTCCATGCAGGTTCGGCCTGGGCTGGCCTGCCTGCCGTTGCCTCCCCAGTGCCCTCACAGTGTACACCATGGAAGGTACCAGAGTTTAGAGCAAGACCTAGCGCACAGTGCACGCAATGGTGAATGAATGGATGAAAGAACAGGGGAATGAATGATGGAAGAAACAAGAGTGTGAGTTTTGGGATTAGACTGCCGGGGTTCGTATCCTCATCAGGTCTGACCCTTGGGCAAATTATTTAACCTCTCTTGGCCTCAGTTTCCTCATCTATAAAATAGGTATGATCATAGTGCCTACCTCTTAGGGTGGTTATGTGGATAAGTGGTTTCAGGGAGTATTCGATATCTGCAAGTGTGTCACATGTGAACATCACGTGAGCTTTTTGAGCATAACCTGTGCAGACCCCAACTCTTGATGGGGTCTCAGGAGCAGCAGTGCAAAGGGCAGCGGGAATGGCATTCCCGGAGGAGGGAACACCATCCACAGGATGTTTTGGTGGGGGAAAGCAAGAGGGGAGGGGAGAGAGATGGATTGGCAGTGCCAGGGAGTGGTTGAGGGGGCTGAACATCCACAGAAACTAGCCACGAAGAGGAGGAAAGCCAGGCCAGGGGGAAGCAGGAGGATGTGAACCAAAGCAGGGAGCGAGGGCTGGTCTCGCAAGGCCCTCAGCCTGAGGCTTTGAGAAGGCCATGGAGGTACAGTGACCGCCCCCAACCCCAGCCCCACCCTAGCTTCTCTTGTAGTCTTCCTCATCCCAGGAAATGAGACCTCCCACTGTTCATGGCACAGGAGTCAGGCTTGGTGCTTTTCTTTCTTCCACATCCACATCTGATCCTTTTACAAATCCTGATGGCTCTACTTACAATATATCTGAAATCCAGCCATTTTCATCTCCACTGCTGCTGTCCCCGACCAGGCCACCACCATCTCCCCTCTGGGCTCTGTCGGCTCCTGGCTGAGAATTCTGATCAGTTCCCCAGACTTCCCTCCAGCCCCTTCAGTCTATTCTCACTCAGAAACCACAGAGATTGTTTAAAAACACAAATCAAGCCGGGCACGGGGGCTCAAGCCTGTAATCCCAGCACTTTGGGAGGCCAAGAGGGGGTGGATCGCTTGAGTCCAGGAGTTCGAGACCAGCCTAGACAACATGGCGAGTCTTCATCTCTACAAAAAATTAAAAAATGAGCCAGGTATGGTGGCATGTGCCTATAGTCCCAGCTACTCGGGAGGCTGAGGTGGTAGGATTGCTTGAGCCCAGGAGGTTGAAGTTGCAGGGAGCAAGATCGCAGCACTGTGCTCCAGCCTGGGTGAAAGAGCGAGGCCTTGCCTCAACACACACACACACACACAGAGACACACACACAGACACACACACTGACCCTGGGCTTGCCTCTGCCTTCACCCTCCCTGGCTTCCTGGCTTCAGGTGTCCTTAGAGTTAGGACACTGGGCACACCCACCCCAGGGCCTTGGCACCTGCTGCTCCAGCCCTGATCCTCTGCTCCGGGCTCCCCACAGGTCTCAATCCCTCCCTCCACCCAGGTCTCAGCTCCAGTGGCATCTCCTCACATCCCTGGCCTCCCTGTCCAAAGTCCAGCCCTCTTGTTCTCTGCTCTAGCCCCTCACCCTGCTCCCTGGATCCTAGCATTAGTTTCCTGGTTCTTTGTCTTTCTTTCCCAGAATGTCAGCCTTGAAAAGGCTCGAACTTGGCTTTTCTGTTCAATGTCTCCTGTTGTATAGAAGAGTGCCTGGCAAGAGTCTGTGCTCATAAATATTGATTGGACAAACGAATGAATGCTAACTATGACTATTATTACCATTATTGGTCGGCAAAAACTAGAGGAAGATAGATTGAGGAGAGGGTTGATGTGATTATGTCTAATAAGAAAAAACAACAACAACAAACAGTGGCCTGCTCCTGCCTGGCTTCCGTCAAAGACCAAAGACCAGTGGGCTTTCTGTCCTCCGGGCTCTGTCTTCCTGCTGCCATGGTTACCACGCTCCGTGGGCTCCAGAAGAAAGGCCAGGCCAGGCTGACTTTGCGGTTCTGCCCAGCTTCCTTGGGTAGCCCAGGGCCTGGCAGAGAAAGATCCCATCCAAAAGCAGCTGGCTTCTCCGGTCTTATCTCCGTAGTGCCCAGATGGAGGGACAAGGGAGGCACTTGCTGTTCTTCCAGAAAAAAACAGTCCAGGTTCACTCTGCATTTGTGCAGGACCTGGTCATGCTCTGGGCAACTCAAAGACGTTCGGATCATGGTCCCTACCCTCTGGGAGGTTTCTGGCAGCGGGGTGGGGCCAGAGACAAGCACTGACTTAGCTGTGTATAAAAATAGCAAGGGCTTGCACGTGACAGGGACAAGTCAGGTGCAGAGAAGCAGGGAGAGCTCTCTCACCCATACCTGCCCCCCAGCCTCGCTGTCCTCTCACCCCAATGGACGCCCTCTTGGCCAAGGCGGCTGAGCTCCCATGTCTCCACCGGGTGCCATCCCAGACTCCCAGAGGCCTGGGGCTGAGGGGCTCCCTCCACAACCCCACGTCTCAACCAGCGGCTGACAGAGGTTAGAGGGCTTGCACAGATCTTACCGCTGGTGGCTGGCAGAGCTTCAGAAGGGTGCAAAAGGGACACTAACTTGGCAATAGCACCCTGGGATCTTCTTTCTCACCTCTCTGCTCCTTCAGCTGACAATCCAACCCTGCTCTCCACCGCTGAGAACAGGCTCTGGACCCCCAGAGACCCTCTGAACTAACCACTGCACCCCAAGGAGCAGCTGCAGGGTTTGGGGGTCCAGGACTGAGGCCTAGGACCATCACCATGGCGGTCACTGTCATCTCCATGACTACAATCATCACCTCCATGACCAACTGCCATCACCTCCATTATCACCACTATTGTGAGGGAAATTGTGTCCCCCCGAAAGATAGGTTCGGCCAGGCGCGGTGGCTCATGCCTGTAATCCCAGCACTTTAGGAGGCCGAGGCGGGTAGATCACCTGAGGTCAGGAGTTCCAGACCAGCTTGGCCAAAATGGTGAAACCCCAGCTCTACTAAAAATACAAAAAATTAGTTGGGCATGTTGGCGGGTGCCTGTAATCCCAGCTACTTGGGAGACTGAGGCATGAGAATTGCCTGTATCCAGGAAGCGGAGGTTGCAGTGAGCCGAGACTGCGCCAATGCACTTCAGCCTGCGCAACAAGAGCAAAACTCCGTCTTAAAAAAAAAAAAAAAAAAAAAAAAGATAGGCTCAAGTCCTAACTCCAGTCCCTCAGAATGCGGCTTTGTGTGGTCTTTACAGAGGTAACCAGGTTAAGGTGAGGTCGTTGGGGAGCCCTAATCCAATAAGAGTGAGGTTCCTATAAAAAGGGGAAAGGTGAACAGACATGGCAGAATGAAGATGACGTCAAGATGAAGGGCAGAAGGATGGGAGGACCGGAGGACAGGAGTGACACAGCCACACGCCAAGGCTGCCAGAAGCTGGAGAGAAGCCTGGGACGGAGGCTTCCCCGGGGCCTTCAGAGGCAGCATGGTCCTGCCCACGCCCTTACTGTGGACCTCGGGCCTCTGGAACCGTCAGACGGCTCTAGCAGGAGAATATAACCACCATCAGCATCACCACCACCATCAACATCACAACCACCACCATCAGCATCACAACCACCATCAACATCACCACCACCATCAACATCACCACCACCATCAGCATCACCACCACCATCAACACCACCACCACCATCACCATCACAACCACCATCAGCATCACCACCACCACCACCACCACCATCAGCATCACCACCAACATCACAACCACCATCAGCATCACCACCGTCATCAGCATCACCACCACCAACATCACCATCACCACCGCCACCACCATCAGCATCACCACCATCACCACCACCACCATCACCATCACCACCACCATCAGCATCACCACCACCATCAACATCACAGCCACCATCACCATCACCACCATCAACATCACAACCACCATCATTATCATCACCCTATCCTCATCCTCAACCTCAACACTCCTGTATTTGTTTCCTTCCTTACGGCTGAGGAACACATCACTACAAACCTGGTGGCTTACAACAACACAGATGATTCTCTTGCTGTTCTGAAGGCCAAAGGTCTTCAGCAGGCTCGGGGAGGACCCTTCCTGCTGCTTCCAGTTTCTGGCAGCTCTAGGTGCTCCTTGGCTCGTGGCTGCATCACTCCACCCTCTGCCTACGTCTACACACAGCTTCTCCTCTTCCGTAGGCACTTGTGATGACATTTAGGCCCCACTTAGGTCATCGAGGGTGACCTCCTCCCAAGATCCATAACTTAATGACATCAACAAAGACCCTTTTTTCCAAATAACGTCACATTCACAGGTTCCAGGGATTAGGGTGTGGACATATTTGGTTGGGGGGTGCACCATTTAACCCACTACAACCACCACCACCACCAGCATCGCCATGGTTGCATCAGTTAAGTTCTAGAAAGTACCAGGTCAGTCCAGGGCCCTCACCTGCGTCATGGCCTTTCTTCCTTAAGACAAACTCAGAGCAGGCTCTGTTATTTATTTATTTATTTATTTATTTGACGGAGTCTCTTTCTGTCACCCAGACTGGAGTGCAGTGACGCAATCTCTGCTCATTTCAACCTCTGCCTCCCAGGTCCAAGTGATTCTCTTCCCTCAGCCTCCCAAGTAGCTGGAATTACAGGTGCCCGCCACCACGCCCAGCTAATTTTTGTATTTTTAGGAGAGATGGGTTTTCACCATGCTGACTCGGCTGGTCCTGAACTCCTGGCCTCAAGTGATCCGCCCTCCTCATCCTCCTAAAGTGCTGGGATTACAGGCGTGAGCCACCACGCCCGGCCCAGGGTCAGTTATTACCCCCATTACTTAACACATAAAGAGGCCAAGTCTTGGAGAGAAGAACTCGCTGGCCCAAGGCTTCGCTGAGAAGGAAGGATTTGAACCCTAGCACTCTGGCGACAGTGGCCCCTGACTGACAGTTGTCCTGCCCCCAGCCCCAAACTTCTGATCATACAGATAATTCCACAGATGAAAGAGTGGGGCAACCAGCACCTGAATGGAAGGCACAGCGCCACGGTCCCATCTAGGCTCTATCACCAGCTGGTGGCGCATCTTAGCCCCATCTCCTTCCCCTCTCCAGGCCTCAGTTTGCCCAACTGTAAAACAAGAAGTGGGGGTAGTTGGTCTGGGTAATCTCCGAAGTCCTCCCAGATCTGGGGTTCTGCAACACTGGGTGTCTACTGTCATTTTGTCACAAACTTTGCCCAGGGCTCCGACTCTCGCATCAGCTAAACCCTCTGAACCCACCACCAGCTCTGCGTGGACGGTCAGCCTGTGGGGTGAGTGCTGGTGACTCGGCGTGGAGGGAGGTATAGGCCTGCCCGATGCCTGTCCGTATCTCAGGGCTGGGAACCTCTGTCTTACACTCCACAAGCGCTGGGGTGGGATGGGGTGGGAGTGGGGTGGGGTGGGGGTGGGGGTGGGGTGGGGATGGAGGATGCTCTTTCTTCTTGGAACCAGTGACTTTGGTTCACACATTCAGGGAGGGCTGTGCAGCTGAGAGCGGCTGGTGCTGGGAAGAGAGCTGAAGATCACTTTATCTTGAAAGGGCAAAGGTCTCCGTGACCAAAGGCTAACCGCATGTCCTTGGAAGAGAAAAAGAAAAAGAAAACATGAAACAGGCTAAAGGGGTCTCTGAAAGTTGTTTCCAAAACCTGGGTTGTTCACTAGGAGTTGCTTGTAAGTGTAAACACTTTTTTATTTTTATTTTTTGAGATGGAGTCTTGCTCTGTTGCCCAGGATGGAGTGCAGTGGCATGATCTTGGCTCACTGCAACCTCTACCTCCCAGGTTCAAGTGATTCTCATGCCTCAGCCTCCCTAGTAGCGGGGATTACAGGCGTGCACCACCACGCCTAATTTTTGTATTTTTAGTAGAGACTGGGTTTTGCCATGTTGACTAGGCTGGTTTCAAACTCCTGGCCTCAAGTGATCCTCCTGCCTCGGCCTCCCGAAGTGCTGGGATTACAGGCGGGCCGTGCCCGGCCAACATTTGTTTTTCTGAACCCATGGTATGGTGTGCACTGCAGAGGCTTTTTCCTCTGGCTTCCCTGTCCAGAGCAGCAACTGTATGCATTTGAGCTGATAATGTCCAAGAGTGGGGAGCTGAGTTAGGAACAGAATCACAAACTTTAATTAGCAGGATGACATTAACATCCCAGCAGGGGCTTGGGGGCGTCCTTCAGGCCCATCTGATCCCGGTGGACACCTCCCCACAGGACCCGCAATCTTGGGACACTGGAAGCCAGGCGCCCTTTGAGGGTGGAGGGAGGCCACCCACCTCCCCATGTGGCCAGAAATTGCATGCCCCGGCAGCCTGCCCTGGCTTGGTTCAGCAGGGCCCAGAATGTTCTGGTCTTTATCTGGTTTAGTTTTAAGTGCTTCCAACGGCAGCAGGGCTGTTCCACCACAGTCCCCAGGAAATTGGTCCGTGTAGGACGGAGCCTTCCCGAGAATGAAGTCATCTGTTCCTTTTTTATTTTTTGTTGCCTTTCTCCTTCAACGCGAGTCACCGGGCCTCTGCAGTCCCTCCCCGCGCCAACGCGCCCCGCCGCGGGGCCCGGACGGGGTGGCGGGGGAAGGGGCGAGGAGCAGGGCCCCGGGGTGCGCGGCCGCCCGACGCCCCCTGCTCTCGCCCTGCCCCCCGCCCCGGCCCCCGCCCGCCGCGGCCTGAAGGTGAGCTCCCGGGGGGCCGCCCGAGCTCCGGCGCGGCCCGCTCGGCAAACAATAACAGTAAATAACGCTCCCTTGTCAACGTAATAAAAACGGAAACGGTTACAATGTTTTTTAATAAGCGTCCCCCATCAATCTCCCTCCCCCTCGTCCCGGGCCGTGGGCACCGGGGAGGAGGGGGAAGGGTGGGGGGCACCGGGGCGCGCTGCTTGGGGGACCCGGGGTGCAGGAGGAGGACGCCCGGGGGAAGAGGGGAAAACACAGCAAGTGAGAGACGAGGGGGCGCGAGCGGCCGGGGTCACGCGCGCCAGCCGAGCCGGGAAGCGGCCGCGGTGAGTAACACCGTTGCCATGGCGACGTGGCCACGAGGAACAGGAAGCGGCAGAAATAGCAGCCACCGCGGCCCGCGCCGCCCGGCCCCTCCCCCCAGCCCGTTGCCACGGAGACCGGGCCAGAGCGAGGCTGCGCGGGCGGCCGCGGCCGCCTGCGCCCCAACCCGCGCATGCGCAGCGGGGCCTGGCCCACGAGGGCGTCGCGGGTGTGTCCCGTCGCCGCGCCGGGGCCACCTGGACCCCCAGACCTGCCCCTGCCGCCCGCTTAGGTGGTGGTTCGGGGGCCGGGGGAAGGAAAAGCCAAATCGTTCCTTGTTTGCCTTTGGAAAGCCGCCCTGCCATTGTTCCGGGCGGATTCCTTGGTTTCCAGGCGCTGTAGGCCAGGAGAGGAGGGGGCAGGAACCCCGGCCCAGCGGTCCCAGACGTTTTCGAAGCGACAGACCCTGGGCCCAGCGCGGGGACGCGGAGGGGACACGGGCTAGCAGCCCTGCCCTCCGGAGCTCAGGCCCAGTCCGGGCTTCCCAGGCCCCGGGGCTGCCCTCCCGGAGCCCGACCTCCCCTGGGGGTGGGGGTGCTGCCCCGGGGCCCCCTTCCTGGGTTTCCTGGTCCTTTTGTTCACGTATCCCCCTCCCCGGATTGAACCAGCAAAGAGCACAAAGCAGAAAATACATCCTTGCCGCCCGCAGGCTCCCTCATCCCGCAGAAAACTCTGAAACAGTCCACACCCGTCCCAAAGTTGAGAGAAACCTGGACGTTTCATAAACAAAACCCGCCCTCCAGCAGCGTGTTTATGTGGAGGCGGCCTCGCGTGTCTGAGGCTGGGGTGTGTGTGCTCGTGTGTGTGTGTACGTGCGCCGGGGACACGCGATCATCTCTCAGGTGTTTGTGGAGAATTTTTTTTCTCTCCAGATTTTGTTTGGTTTGTTTTTAATAAGGGTCAGAGGTCTGGGCTTCTGTGGGGAAGGGGCAAAGGTCATCTCGGATGGCCAGGCTGGGAGGTCCTAGGGGGAGGGGTCGCGGGGCCTGGGCTGCCGGGCGAGGCGGGAGCCGGTGGGAGTCAGCGGGGACAGGCTCCGCGAGCTGCTCCTGGGGTATGGCCCCAGAGAGGACCCGAGCCAGGACTGGGATCTCTCTCCCCTGAGCAGGGCAGCTGTCACTTCCCCGGCCCCTGTCCTGGCCACACTGGCCAAGAGAGAAGGCAAGCGGAGTGGCCCCGGTCTCTGGGGCTTTCTGCATTGGAAAGGGGAGGCTTTTGTTTTTTGTACAAGGCGGACTTCAACTTTCAGCGAGCAGGCTGACCAGATGGGAATGTAGACAGGGTGTGCGGGGAAGGGGGACCGCATGCTTCAAACCTCCTTCCTGCCACCATCGCCTAGCAGCCTGAGCCCCCACTGCGGCCCTGTGCTGGCTGAAGGGAGGGAGGGGCTAGGGCTGATGTTTCTTCTTCCCTCCTTCCCCCACCCCCCTTTTCCAGATGTGAGAAAGGAACCCCGCCCTGCAGGGGAAACTTGTCTGGTGTCCAGAAGACTTAGGATCCACGGTGGAGGTCTGGGTGCCATATTGCCGTCTCTCCTTGAAGGAGAAGATGAACACATAGGGAGAAGGCGCCTGGGAGCTGTCGCTACAGTCTAGAGAAGCCCCACCTTGGCCCAGCAGTAGCCTGTGCTGAGAACCGGGATTCCAGGACCAGACAGTCCTGGCGGTGGATCCCGGCTCTGCCGAAGCCACAGCTTGTGTATCTGGACAACAGGGATAGCGCAGTGCCCGTGTCACAGGTGGTGATGGCTCCTGGAGGTGGTGCACACAAGCTCGTGGCATGGCATCTGGTGCACAGTAGGTGCTAGAACATAGAAGCTGTCATTGGAGCTGGTGTGACCCAGGATGGCCACCTTGGGTCTCTGACACTCTGGGGCTGGCTGTGTCCCAAGGCAGGTTCATCTTTGGTCCAGCCTCCAGGAAAGGAGCACTGGACTGGGGTCAGGAGAAGCCGAGGCCAGGGGTTCTGCCACCAACCCATTGTGTAATCCGAGGCAAGTCCCTGAGCTGCTTTGAGCCTCAGTCTTCCCATCTGGCAAATGGGGATAATAATCACAACCACCATTGATTGTGAACTTACTCAGTGCCAGGTACTCCACCGAGGTCTGTACATTTCCTTATCTAATTCTGCCCTCAAAACAACCAAGTGAGGTAAAGACCACGATGATCCCACTTTCACAGATGAAGGGGCAGAGCCTCAGAGAGGTGAAGTCACTTGCTGGGGACACAGCTGGAAGATGGTGCAGTCGCTGTCACACACCCCTGAGAGCGAGTGTCCAGCTGCTGCTCCTGTCTCTGTTGTTCCCCTGCCCTTCCTGCTCACCCCCTGTACTTTTCGGTGGCTCCGGCCACAGCCCTCCCTTTGTATTTGAACCCTTGGATCCAGCCATTCTGGAATCTTCTGAGTCTGGTGCAGATCCAGCCCCCTCAGTGGGAGACATCCTCAGGGGTAGATGGTGGCTTGAAGAAAGCCAGGTGGGCCCCACATGGTCCCCACAGTCAACCCGGCGGCTCACAGCTGATCGGCCATCCACCGTGTCTCCCCCTGCCATTTACACCGAAGGGTTGGGGTTCCTAACACACCCGGGTGGACGCGTGGCCTCCAGATGGTGCAGTTAATCCCGCTGGAAGCCGTAAATCAGCGAGATTGTCCCAGCTTCCCCTCCCCTCCTCCGTGCTGTCACCTCCAGAAGCTGGTGGGAGAAGCACCCCTCCAGCCCCGCCCTCCCGCCCCGGCCTTTGTTCCTGCTCAGTAGCCGGCAGGACGTGGCCCAGTCACGGTCTCCACGGCCCACGTTTGAATCTCAGCCCTGTCACTGCCTGGCACGGTGGCTTTGGCCAAGCACTTCATCTCCTGTTATCCTCAGTTTCCTCATCCATGAAATAGGGTGGGTCACAGCACCTGCCTGGTCCTAAAGATGGGGGCTGCTGTGTGTGAGCGCTCCACCCTGGACCTGGCTCCCGGGGGGTCCTCGGATATGCTGCTGGTTATAACAAGTTCTTACTCTGGGCTAGGTGTTGTAATGCTTTAGCTCAGTGAATCCTCAAACAAGCACATTATGACCCTTTTATAGGTGGGGAAGCTCCCACTCCGAGAAGGGAAGTAAGTTGCCCAAGGCCACACAGCCAATTAGCAGAACTGGGATTAAATCAGGCAGGCCTGTGCAGCTCTAAAGACCTCGCTGTAACCCTAGGTTCCTGGCCCTCCCTACTGAGGCCCTCTGAGGCTCTCTACCAAACCAGCATCTGCAGTGACAGCATCGTTAGCCCTGCCTGGAGCCGTTGGGTTAATAGGTCCTTAATAAAGCCAGCAGAGGCGTCTGCAGCTTCGCAGGGCAGGGGCCGAGGGGCCAGGTGCAGCAGATGTGTCCTAATGAAAATATCGGGGGGGGGGGAGGGGGAGGGGACCATGGGGTGAGCCGCCTGCTCACGTCTCCAGCTTCCTGACCTCTGTGGCTGAGTCACTGGAGGCCTCCAGGTGCAGGGGACAATCAATTCCATCACTCATTCCATCTATGCTGGCTTGCTTCCTTTCATCCATTCACCCATCATCCATCCATCCATCCTTCCATTCCATCCATCCTCTCCCAGTGACTCATCCTCCCTCCCTGGCTTCCATGCATCCATCCATCCATGAATCCACTCACCCATTCCCTCCTTCCCTTCCTCCTTTCCTTCTCTCCTTCCTTCTGCCCATCTGTCCACCCAGTGTTTACTGAGCACCCGTCTTGAGCCAAGCCTTATGTGACGTGCCCAGGTTCCTCCCTCTGAGGGACTCACATTCTCAAAAGGATGCAAAACAACTAAGCCCAAGTGCACAGGGCACTAGGAGAGGAGAGGGCGTCTCGGGGGCTCTGACACTGGGCTCTGCACACCTTCCTCAGCCAAGCTCGCCAGGTGACCTTGGGCAGATCACACTCCCTGGAGGCCACTCTCTTCTACCTGTTCAAAAAAGGGTGTCCTCGTCCATTCGGCTGCTATGACCTTAGACTGGGTTATTTATAAACAAGTTTATAGTTCACATTTCTGGAGGTTGAGAAGTCCAAGATCAAGGTGCCTGCAGATTTGGTGTCTGATGAGGGCCCTTTCCTCACAGATGGTGCCTTATAGCCTTGTCCTCACATGGTGGAAGGGGCGAGCAGGCTCCCCAGGCCTCTTGCCTAAAAGCATAGATACCATTCATGAGGATGGAGCCCTCATTACCTAATCACCTCCCAGAAACCTCATCTCTTAATACACATTGCAGATAATGGTGTTGTTTGTTTTTGTTTGTTTGTTTTTGAGACAGGGTCTCCCTCTGTCACCCAGGCTGGAATGCAGTGGTGTGATCTTGCCTCACTACAGCCTCCGCCTCCCGGGTTCAAGCAATGCTCCCACCTCAGCCTCCCGAGTAGCTGGGATTACAGGTGTGTGCCACCACGCCTGGCTAATTTTTGCATTTTTAGTAGAGACAGGGTTTCACCATGTTGGCCAGGCTGGTCTGGAACTCCTGACCTCAGGTGATCCACCTGCCTCAGCCTCCCAAGGTGCTGGGATTACAGTCGTGAGCCACCATGCTTGGGGCAGATTATGTCTTGACATATGAATTTTGGGGGTGGGGGAGTCAGGTCATGGCAAAGGTGGTGCATTGTGGCATCTCCTGTTCTGTATTTCTACAATTCCAAGCAGGTGAGGAAGCATCCAACTAACTACTCCCCTGAGAACCCATTCCCACCCTGGGCCCTGGGATCTGCCTCCAACACCTGCAGGGTCCCCGGATTGAGGTCCAGGTCCACTCTGACTGACCCAGACAAGCTGCAGTGGGACTAGCAGAGGTGGGGGCTGGGGCAGAGCACTGGACTCAGAAGCAGGAGACCAGGGGCGGGGCCTGGCTCTGTCCCATGATGTGTGACCCTGGGGAAATGGCATCCCAGAATTGTCCATCAGCTCAGATGAAATACCTTAAAGACTCAGGAAACGTCAGCTGCTGGGGGCATTACTGTTATAATTATTGCTGTCATGTTGTTGCTACAAAAGAAGCTGCTTAGAGCCACTGGCTTTGGGAGACATCATTCATTCGGTGGTTACCATTTGTTCAACCACTCAGTAAAAGTTTATCACTGTCAGGCGCAGTGGCTCACGCCTGTAATCCTAGCACTTTTGGAGGCCAAGACGGGCGGATCACCTGAGGTCAGGAGTTCGAGACTAGCCTGACCAACATGGAGAACCCCTATCTCTACTAAAAATACAAAATTAGCCGGGTGTGGTGGCGCATGCCTGTAATCCCAGCTACTCAGGAGGCTGAGGCAGGAGAATCCCTTGAACCGGGAGGCAGACGTTGCAGTGAGCCAAGATTGGATTGCACCATTGCACTCCAGCCTGGGCAACAAGAGCGAAACTCCATCTCAAAAAAATTAAAAAAGTTTAATACTGTGGCCAGGCATGGTGGCTTACACCTGTAATTCCAGCACTTTGGGAGGTAGAGGCGGGCAGATAACCTGAGGTCAGGAGTTTAAGACCGGCCTGGCCAACATGGTGAAACCCCGTCTCTTCTAAAAATACAAAAATTACCCAGGCGTAGTGGTGGGTGCCTGTAATCCCAGCTATTTGGGAGGCTGAGGCAGGAGAATCGCTTGAACTCCAGAGACGGAGGTTGCAGTGAGCCGAGGTTGTGCCACTGCACTCCAGCCTGGGCAACAAGAGCAAAACTCCATCTCAAAAAACAAAACAAAAAAAAAGTTTATTATTGTGATCTGTGCCATGTGTTGGGCCCTGAGCCAAGTGCTGGGAAGATACTAGATAAGACTGGACCCTACCGTGCAGGGAGGGCAGTGAACAGGTGTCACCTTGATTGCCAGCTCCTCAGTTGATAGAGGCTGTGTTGAGGATTCTGAGACTACATCTGGGCTTACAGGAAGAGAGTGCTGTGATCAATTAGTAATGTCTGCCATGGACACAGGGAGAGGAGTCTATAGTAACGCATTTCCTGGCCTTAACACTAAAAATAGGCAGGATTTCAGACAGGAGACCCTTGTGACTGTGGTTGCCTGACACATGACCGGGGACAGCAAGTCATTGAGCTACTGCCTGCCTCATTTTACCTGTTTGCAAGGCAGAGATGCCGACATGGGACTCATTGCATTTTTAGGAGCTAGAGCTGGACAGGCCAGCCTTCCTGTTTTAACCCAGGCTGCTCTGTACTGGAGTGAGGATCAAGTGTGAGATGCCTCTATATGGAAACACATAGCGCTCAGCAGATGCCTGGTGGGCAGCTGACCAGGAGCTGGAGCTGCGGTGAGAGCACAGGAGAGCTGGGCTTCCAGCTGCTCTGCCGTTGGCCCTGCTTGGGCCTCAGCTTCTCCATATGCTCAGTGGGTGCTTGGAGGGTGGAAGTGTTGTGGGGCCTCTGGAATCCACAGTCTTGTGATACCTGCAATGCTGAGACCTTGGATGGGGGGAGCAGAATGAAAGCGGGGCCCTGGAGGGGAGATGGTGGGAAGGAATGATCCAGTACCCCATATGGAAGCTAGGTGGGCAGAGGGAGCCGGGAGGATGTGGGAAAGGGTGAAGAGAGGCCACCGCTGCTGGATCTTCCCAAGGGCTGTCCAGCTCCGTCAGGGGGCGCTTCCCTGTGCACCCCACATCCCAGGTGCTATCCCCAAGCAAGGAAGGGAGGGAAGAGGGTGGGCAATGTGGGGGCCCCAGAGAGTGTTGGAGGGGCTGAGACCCTGACAGGTGGGCACCTGGGTTCTGAAGAGGCCATGGCAGCAGTGACCCCTGGCCGCAAGGCTTGAACCCAGGAGCAGCACGGGCTGGGGTAGAAGACGCAGGCCAAGCCCCAGTCCTCAGGGAGGAGCATGGCAGACCAGGGCAGCTCCCGGGGAGGCCAAAGTAACCCTCAGACCCTGAAAACAGACTGGCCACGTCTCCCAGGTGGACGCAGTGGGTTCTCCACGAGCGTGACTTGGGGATTTAGGGCACTGAGACTGTGCTACCCACCCTCCTTAAAAATCCCTCGTGGCTCCCAGTTGCCCTGAAGGGGAATCCCAAACTCTTCAGAGGCAGTACATGCTGGTGGTTGAGAGTTGGGAGCCTGAGTCCAAGTTCCAGCCTGGCCACTATCGGCTGTGTGACCACCGGCAACTCACCTAACCTCTCTGGGCCTCACCGGCTCATTGGAGGATGTGGTGAGAGAATGACTGAGATGAGCTTAGCACAGTGCTGGCCACACCGTCACTGTTCAATGCCAGGTGGCTGTGCTTACCACCACTGCTGGCTGTAACTGGCGGAGCATGGCACAGAAGGTCCTGGCCACCTGAACCGCAGTCGGCCTCTCCTTTCTCATCGGCTCCAGCGCCACCCGCCGATGCCGCCCCAACACCAAGCTGCTCTCTGTTCCCTCAACACTCCCTGGTCTTTCTGTGTCACTGGGCCTTTGCTCCTGCTGTGCCCCCGCCAGGAATGCCCTTTCCCCTCCAGGCTACTTCCAGACTCTGTCGGTTGTCAGTTTTCGAGTGCCCTGGGAACCCCCTCACCCACAAGGGTGACTCAGTGCCCTGCGTGCACCCAGAGCTTGGTGTGTGGCATCGGGTCTGTCTCCCGTCTGATTCTGCGACTTCTCAGGCGCGCATGTCATGGCCTATTCATTTTCTTGTCCTCGGTGCCCAGCGCCGCGCCTGTCACACGGTGGGTGCTCCGTAGAGTGGGCTGAAGGATGGAAGCAATCAATCCCCAACACGGTGGGCGTGCTCAGCTCAGGGACGGCAGATCGCTCTCCACTCCGGCTCTGTGTTCTCCTTCCTTAGCCTCAAGGAGAAACGGAACGCCGCAGCACCTCTCCGAGGATGCCGGCGGGAGACGCTTCGCTTCGATGAAATGCTCGGCCTCGGAGTTGGCGCTTTGCGTGAGGGATGGGGACATGGAGGCCCCACGAAGGATCAGCAAGGCCCCAGTGACCCCTTCCTCTCCTCGCCCCTCCCCTGCCTCTTATTCCTGCCCTGAGCAGGCATTGAGCTCCTGGGATTGGGCGAGGAAGGGAGAGCAAGGGGCAGGGGGTGGGTGGACAGCAGGTGCCCAGTCCTACAGGCGCTGCTGGGGTCAGGATGCCACTCTCACCACCCTGGGAGCTGTCTTCAGCACAGGGGCAGCTGTGGTGGGGGTAGTGTGCTCCATGACCAGCCCTGGCCAGGCCCTTGTCCCCACTGCTCTCCCTGGCTACCAGACCTCTCACTGTGAGGCAGCCAGGTCTCCCCGTCCTGGCAGAGGGAAGGCTGTTGCTCCCATCTGGCTCTGCTCCTGGCCATCTGCCCTCTGACCCCACCTGCCCCAGGCTGAGGTCCCCTGCAGGATGCTCGAGTTAAACAGAGTCCGAGGGAGTAGTGAGTCCAGCCCTCCCATTTGGCAGATGACAAAACTGAGGCCCAGGAAGGCAAAGAGACTTGTCAGAGGTCACACCAGGAACCCAGCATTCTGTCTATGGCTTGATGTCCTTCCAGAACAGGAGAAGACCTTGGCTTTGACCTTGAAGAAATAGCAAAACTTGGACCTTGAAGACAGGCGATTGCTATGACTAATTTGTGGCCAGGTGGTGTGACCTTGGGTATGTTACCTAACCTCGCTGAGCCGCATGGTGCTGGTGAGGATTCGGTGAGATGACAACTGGTCAGGTCCTGGCAGGACTCCTGGCACATCCCTGACTCTCAATCAACAGGAGCTTTTGATATGGTTAGGAAGCAGGTAAGCCTCACCTTGAACAAATCCAACTGATGACGTTTGCTTTTATGCAGACATAGCAGTTCCCCCGACCTTTGTGCTGCTGTGGGAGGACAATGTGTGATGGAGAAGGGCCTGCTGCAGGTTTCTCTGGGTATAGTCAGGCAGGACCAGGCGTACATCCTGCTCTGCCCCCAGAAGCTGTGATTCAAGAGAGGGGCTTGGTGTCTCTGGGCCTCATCTTGCCCAACTGCAAAATGGGAGCAATGGCACCTCCCTTTGCAGGCTGCTGTGCCCCTCAGTGAGATAACTTCGGGGTGCAGAGCCTGGTGAGCGCAGGCCTTACAGAAGTCCATCTTCCTCACCAACTAAGGACCCAGTTCCGGAGAAAGTGCTTGCCTGTGGTTGTGAGGTAAGCTAGGCAGACCTGTTCTCAGGGCCTGGGTTTCCTGGGGAGGGATGGGTTCTCAGAGCTCCTGGGCTGAGTGAGTGGAGTCCCCGCAGGAACAGGAAGCTCCGCCCGCCTGCAGCCCTGTCCACAGCTGGTCATCCCTTCCTCCCGACCTTGCTAGAAGCTCGGGACCCACCGGGCCCTCCCGGCTGCTGCTGGGTGCCACGTGGCTGCCCTTTGCCGAGGAGGGGGTGGGGCGGGGGGTGTACATTTTCCAGGCGATGTTTTCCTAGCAGCTCTGAAAATTAATTGGCCTTTAATGTGGCATAGTATTTATTTTAATTAGCAGGAAATTGACCAATTTCTTAATAAGGGGCTTTGTGGAGGCTCTGTATTTGGGGCTGGCGGTGTGTGTGGTGGGGGAGGCGGTGATCAGACAAGAATGACACCCACAGCTCAAGAGGGGATTTTCAGGCACCACAGATGAGGTGGACAGAGTGATGAGACAGAGGGGAAGGGACTGGAGAAACATCAGGGGGCAGTGGGAGAAGAGGGCTCTGAGTCAGGGGACCTGCAGAGGGCCGGGGGACACGGCCACAGGCCTCCGTGGGATCTGACTTCCTGATCTCTGCCTTTGACCTTGGCCTGTTGGGGTCAAATCCCTGATCCCTGTGTCATGACTGTGCCTCCTCCCTCTAGCAACACGCCTTTCCCATTGGAGGAATTAACAGAGCAAATCAGTACCTGTGCAGGATTTCCTAAAGGCCTCTTTTCTTTATTCTTTTCTTTTCTCTTCTCTTTTTCCTTTTCTTTTCTTTTTTTTTCTTTTTTCTTGAGATGGAGTCTTGCTCTGTTGCCCAGGCTAGGGTGCAGTGGTGTGATCTCGGCTCACTGCAACCTCTGCCTCCCAGGTTCAAGTGATTCTCCTGCCTCAGCCTCCTGAGTAGCTGAGACTACAGGCGTGAGCCACCATGCCCGGCTAATTTTTTAGTATTTTTTGTAGAGATGGGGTCTTACTACGTTACCCAGGCTGGTCTCGAACTCCTGGGCTCAAGCGATCTGCCCACCTCAGCCTCCTAAAGTGCCTGGATTACAGGAGTGAGCCACTGTGCCTGGCAGGCTGTATGTTTTCATTCTGACTCCATCATTCGTTCATTCACTCACTCACTCATTCAACAAACAAACAATGGGCACCTACCCACCACGGGCCAGGCCTGCCTGGGCTCTGGGGTTCGATTATGAGTGCACAGACACACTGCCAGCCCTTGGAAGACTCACAGTCCAGGCAGAGAGGCAGACAGTGAAGACAGTGAAACATTGAGCTGGTTCATTGTCATTGCCCTCAGACCCTGAAGGAGAAGTACAGGATGTGTGCGAGAGTGGAACAGGGCCCTGGGCTCCACCCGAGACTCAGGGCAGCCTCCCCTGAGACCACTATGTTTAAGGCCGACCTGAAGGATGAGTAGGGTTATCTGTGAGGCTCCAGCAAAACACAGCATCTCTCTGGGCCTCAGTTTCCCCATTGGTAAAATGGCATCACTCATCACAGCACACGTGCTTAGGGGACCTTGGTGATTCTGCCAGGTCTAAGAAAAGCAACAGGGGCTGCTCGGGAGGCTGAGATGGGAGGATCGCTTGAGCCCGGGAGGCAGAGGTTGCAGTGAGCCGAGATTGCACCACTGCACTCCAGCCTGGGTGACAGAGTGAAACCCAGGCTCAAAACAAAACACAACAAAAACACACAGCCTTGTGACTCTAGTCAAGATCTCCCGCCACCCCCAACCTTGGAGTGTCTTTATGATTTTACGGACCTTTATTGGGGCGGGTCCTGATGGGGAAATTACCCCCCGACGCCAACAACCTATAGCCCTCAGGGGACCTTCCTCACCCCCACTCATTTCCTAAGGGTCTGACCCAGGAGCCTGGGTGCACACAGGGCTCATTCAAGTGAAGAGAAGAAGGGCGCTTACTCCTCTCCCACCCTGGACCCTAAAGGGAGTGAGGCCCAGGGACCTCTCTGCAGCTCCAGCCTCCGGTAACCAGGGGAGAGTGGGCTGCCTGTGGTCCTCAGGCCTGGGGGCCTCATGGAGCCTGTCCAGAATTCTCCAAAGACCTGCCTCAGCCACTGACCGGGGGAAGAAAGCATGGCTGCCCACCTCCAGCTGGCCAACGGCCTGCCAAGCCTCCTGGTCCAGCGACAGCAGGAGAGCTCCTCGGCCCTCTGCCTGGACTCAGGCCCACCATGTTCCTACCACGTTTATTTATTTGAAACTGTTTCTACAATGCTTTATCTGTGCCAGGCACCATTCTAAGTGCTTTAAGATATTTATCCTCTTTATGAAGTAAGTACTATTATGTCCTCATTTTACAGATGAGGAAACTGAGGCACAGAGAGGGCAAGGGACCAGCCCACTTCCCCGCAGGCTTTTGCTGCTGACTTTTGGGGATTTAATTCTCAGCCTTCTTAGGTGTGTTCTGCCTCCCACTCAGCAGGCTCCATCCAGCCCCTGGGCCTTTGCTCACAGGGGTTCCCTCTGCCCAGACACCAGTGAGGTGGATGCTGCCTGCGTAGGAGCTGGCACATAGATGGTGGCATGGTAGATAGCGAAAGGACAAGGACCCTGGGACCGGCCATGCCTGGGATCTGCTGCAGGCAGCTGTGGGATCCGGGATAAGTGGCTTCATGTCTCTGTAGCCGCCCTTCTTCTGGAAAGTGGAGGTAAAACTTTATTCAAAAGACTGTCACAGGAATTGAACACGTGAACCTGTATAAAGTGCCAGACGCAGTGGCCGGCATGCAACTGTTCATTAATGAACATAAGAGTCTCTGCTCTTTAGAGCCAGATATGGTGACCCACACCTGTAATCCAGGCTACTCAGAAGGCTGAGGCAGGAGGATCCCTTGAGGCCTGGAGTTGGAGACCAGCTTGGGCAACATACAGAGACCCTATCTCTAAAAAAAATAAAATAAAATAGATTTTCTGCTTTTTCTCCCTAGCCTGTCCTCTTGCCCATCAAAGCCCAGCTCATCCCAGAAGACTTTGCCCCCTTTCCATGCAAAGTCCCCAGTTACAGGTGTCCCCAGAGCACCTTCTGTCTGTTTCACTCAGCTTGGTACCTGATCATATCCACACTGGCCCCTGGCCCCTGGGAACCCAGGCAGCTGGGAGCCCAGGCCAGAGGAAGGCAGAACCTGTGCTGGGGTTAGAGCCAGGGTTCTGGGCCCAGTAGCTTTGTTAGACAGATATTTATTGAGCACCTACTGTGTGCCAGGCAGAGTGAAGGAGGTAGCCCCAAGAAGCCTCTGTTGGGTGGGAGAGCCCAGTGAGTGAGCTGGCCACCCTGCCTGAGCGGCTGTGCAGGGTGGATGGGTCCAGCTGGTGCATGCGGGACAGAGTGGCCTCTCTGCTGAGGTTGGAGGTGGGAACAGGAGCTGGTGGCTGAAGGGTAGTGTGATGAGCCTGGGTACGTCACGGACTTTGGGACGGAGGGTGAGACGAGTGTGGTCTTCAGGAAAGAGCCGGCCGTGGGATGTGGTCCTCGTGGGGACCCTGAGAGAACTGCATCGAGGGACAAGCCTGAAGGGTGGGACCCATGTCCTTGCTCACTCCACAGGTGCAGAGAGTTCCAGCAAGGTGATAGACGCTGACAAGGGTGAGCAAAAGAGATCTGCCAGGGCCAGGCTCGGCGGCTCATGCCTATAATCCCAGCACTTTGGGAGGCGGAGGTGGGAGGATCACTTGAGCCCAGGAGTTCAAGACCAGCCTGGGCGACATGGTGAGACCTCATCTCAAAAAAAAGAAAAAATTTTTTTGAGGCAGAGTCTCGCTCTGTCGCTGAGGCTGGAGTGCAGTGGCATGATCTCGGTTCACTGCAACCTCTGTCTCCTGGGTTCATGTGATTCTCCTGCCTCAGCCGTCCAAGTAGATGGAATTAAGAGTGTGCACAACCAAACCTGGCTAATTTTTTTGTATTTTTAGTAGAGACGGAGTTTTGCCATATTGGTCGGGCTGGTCTAAAACTCCTGACCTCAGGTGATCTGCCCACCTTGGCCTCCCTGCAAAATTTTTTAAAAATGAGCCAGGCATGGTGTCACATACCTGTAATCCCAGCTACTAAGGAGGCTGAGGTGGGAGGATCACTTGAGTCCAGGAGGTAGAGGTTGCGGTGAGCCATGATCACACCACTGCACTCTAGCCTGGGCAACAGAATGAGACCCTGTCTCAAAAAAAAAAAGAGATCTGTCCTTTCAAATGATGTTCTGGTGGGAGATGGAGGGGAGCTAACATCAACTAAGTAACCAAATAAACAAACAAGATCATTGCTGAGTGTGAAGAATGGATGAAGCCAATGACCCCAGCGTAGGTGGGGAGACAGAGCTGGAAGCTGCAGTCAGATGCTGGGACTTTCTCCTCAGGTGGGTGGGAGTGGGAGCCACGGAGGGCTCTGAAGCAGGGGCGTGGTGAGACTGGCGGGCGGCGGGGGGGTTAGATGACACCTCTACTGCTGCATGGGGAACTGGAGTAGGAGGAAAGGCTGGGAGCTGAGGGAGCATCTGAACAAGACATGGTGGCTGGGGTCAGGCTGGGGGGGGTGGCGGTCATGGGGATCTGGAGAAGAGCGGGTTTGAAAGCTGTCTTAGAGGTCAAGGGACAGGAGTTGATGACGATGGTGAAGGCTGTGAAAGGTGAGGAAGAGGAAGAGATGAAGTCGAAATTTGCTTTCTAGACAGGACCTTGGGGTGACAATGGTGCCATTTGCCTGTGTGGGGAGGTTGAGGAGCTCAGCTTTCAGCCTGCCCAGTGTCCGGCGCCTGGGATGGTCTTAGCAGGAAGGCCCTGCAGCCACCGGTGGCCACAGCATCTGAGAACCCTCGGAGAGGTTGAGCCTGCCTTTGGGGCAGAACGGAGACACGACCTACAGCCATGGGTACCAGCTGCCTGAAGGCCTCATCTGATTCTGCATTTCCCAAAGCAGGGCTCGGGACATCCTTCCCTCTTAGTATTCTTGACTCATCCCGGAGCATCTGCAATGCCGAACATTCTAGAATCTTGAGGACTTTTCCTGCAGCTTTGAGAAGCCCCTCAACGTCGCTGCCCTTGCCTCACACATTGCTCCCGTTGTGATCCGTGGATCACAGGCTCCGATTGCGAAGGGGAGAGTCTATTTCTCAGGGGAGGAATGGACCCCTGGTTGGCTCAGCTCCATGTCCTCAGCTTTGGAAATCACCGTCGCTGTTGTCTCCTGCATGTTGGCTTCTCGGGAACGCCCCCACTCCTGGTCCTGTTGGAAGTGATGCTTGGGGTTGAGACTGTGGGGTCCTGAGCTGTGATCCCCACAGGCATAGCTTTGGGTGGGGAAGTCCCTGGGGCTCCCTTCTTCTCTTTGAGGACCCTCCCCCTCAGTGAGGGGCTCTATGTCTATTTTGTTCCTACCACTGGGGGCTCAGCAGAGACCCAGCTGGGCTCTGCCGCTGGGCCTTGCAGACTGATGGAGAAAGGGGCGTGTGTGTGTGTGTGTGTGTGTGTGTGTGTGTGTGTGGTGTGTGTGGTGTGGGGTGTGTGTGTGTGAGAGAGAGAGAGAGAGAGAGAGAGGAGAGAGAGAGGGAGAGCGCCCGCCTGAAACCTAATTGTCCGCTGTCTAATCCATCAGCCGGAGGACAGCTTGCCGGCCCCTCCCCGGCGGGCTGATAAATGCCGTCCAAGGCCCCCTGCGCCAGAGCTGCCTTAATTGGTATCAGGACGTGTCTGGACTCCGTCCACCAGGCCCCTGCCTTCATCCCCTTCTGCCACCTCCTCCTCCACCCCATTGGCCTCTAGCCCCTGGCAGGGCTCACCTGCCGCCCACCCCTGGGGAAGGTGCAGCAGCTGAGGCCACAGCCCCAGGGAGATGGTGTGACACCAACAACGACAGCTCCGTTTATGTGGGACCTACTGCTTGCCCAGCTATGCTGAAGAGCCCTCTGCCCACCCTCCCCCGTCCTCACAAAGCCCTGTGAGGTGGGGGAACCACCCTCCTTCCCCTTCCACCCATGCAGGAGGTGGCTCCTGAGCCCTCCACATTCCTGGCCCCAGGCTGGGTGCTGGGCATGCACAGGGACCAGGACAGATTCAGGGCCCACCTTTGCAGGGCGCTCCTCTATGACTGGCAGGAAGGGGCTCATTCCTAAATGGCCTGCTAGGGTTTAAGGGTGAGTGAGTGTTGACCCCTTGCCCATTTGGGGAAGTTCAGAGAAGTTTGGCAACCTGCCTAAGGTCACACAGCTAGAAAAGAAGGGAGAGCAAGCTGGCCTCTGAAACAACCACAACTGCTTTTCAATGCCAGCTGTGTCCAAATCACTCGAAGTGTGAGTTAGAAACCCAGGGACCCCTCTGGAATTCTGCTTTTGGGTCTGAGTGCCCCAGGGACCTGTGCGGGAATCACATTCTCTCCAGGTGAGCAGGCCACTCAGGAACCCTGTTGAGTCTCCACTGATGGATAGTGGAAAATCAGGAAGGGGCTGAGTGGAGAGGGAATGGGATGACATTTCTTTCTTTCATTCATTCATTCATTCATTCATTCATCCATCCATCCATCCATTCAGCAATTGCCTTGTGCTGGGCTTTGCTCTGGATGCTGGCAGGACTGGCTACGCGATTTGCCGGGCCCTGTGTAAAAGGAAAATTCGGGGCGGTAAAATTACAATTATTGAGAATTTCAAGATGGTGACGACAGAACAGTCAGCCATGTACGGGGCCCTGGGTGACTGTGGAAGTGGCTCTACCACAGAGCCAGCCCCGCTGCCGGGGAGACCCTGCAGGGAGACAGCCAAACCAACGCGCCTGAGAGCCCCGATCCTCGTCTGGTCCCCATCCCCTAACTGGAATTCTGCAATTAACAAAAAGTCTGAAAAACCGAAGTCCTTTTGTTAAGATGGTGGTAAATTCATCTGGAGGCAAAACCTGACCTCAGCTGACAGGAAGCTATTTATAGTTTTATTTATTCCCCTTGATGTGAACATTTGTACATTTCACTGCAGAGCTATTAACATGTTTGATTATGGGGACTGCCCCAGCCCTGCTTAAGGTGTTACCTAATCTATGCTATAGGTATCGTTTTACACCTCTACACGGAACACACTGAGTCCCTAATGCCTCTGGCTCAGAGGCTTAGGAGAAGAAATCTGGACCCACATAGGACCTATACCAATATCTTGTATGGAATGATCACTGCGTACCTGTTTTTTTTTTTTTTTCTGTATCATCCAAAAAATGCATGGGGCAGGGTGAGGGTCTGTCAATGACCCCCATACCTGGTCTGCCTGCCTCTTGGGTGGTGGAGACCTGCTTTGTGCTAGCAAGGGGACTCCTGAGAGGGCTGCGGGGGTGTCCCTCTCAGGGTCCACTGGGATCTTTTATTTAGTATTAAGGAGATTGGGGGAGGTATGAGGCCAAGCAAGAGAACAGCTTTCTTTCTTTTTTTGAGAAGGAGTCTCGCTCTGTCACCCAGGTAGGAGTGCAGTGGCGCGATCTCGGCTCACCGCAAGCTCCGCCTCCCAGATTCACGCCATTCTCCTGCCTCAATCTCCCGAGCAGCTGGGACCACAGGGGCCCACCACTATGCCCGGCTAATTTTTTTGTATTTTTAGTAGAGATGGAGTTTCACCGTGTTAGCCAGGATGCTCTCGATCTTCTGACCTCATGATCCGCCCGCCTCGGCCTCCCATAAGTGCTGGGATTACAGGCATGAGCCACCGCGCACAGCCAGATAGCAGCTTTCTTAAAAAGAGAAAAGAAGATGGCTTTATTGATTACAAATACATATATGTTTATTGCACAAAAATTAACATAAAAGGGGAAAGTAACAATAACCTCTCCAAAGTACCTACTGATGATGTTTTTGTGGCTACCCTTCCAGATTTTTCTAGATATATGACCGACTTTTTGAAGGTGGGCAGACAGTTCCCAGGGTTTTGCAACCTGCTTTTTTTCTCCTTTGCGGAACAATACATTGCAACCATCTTCCCATGTCTAGGTCGTCATTTCTCAGGAGGACCTGAACGTCCGTGGTAAACACGTCCCATAACCAGCTCGAACAACCCCCCTTGTTGGACACTGTTTGATTCAGCTTCTTATGAATACGCAGTCCCCGAGATGGCATCCTTGTGCACAGGCCTGAGTCTTTCCTTGGGTCAGGTCTATAGATGTGGAGCCCTGGGTCCCACGCGGGGGGTACGGCTGTCACCCTGAAGATACCGCAGATCGCTGACGTCACATTCGCCATCCCGCCCCCAGCAGCGCCGGTGGGCCCCTCTCACCCAAATAACCATTCTGTATCCTTAGGAAGAGGGGCCTGTCCCAGCCAGGCAGGGGATCATGCCAGAGCAGCCCCTCTGCAGCTGTGGGGGAGGCGGGGAAGCCAGCCAGAGTACCATGTGGACAGCGCAGGCATCAGGGACCCTTCAGCCACCTTGGAGTGGCTCCCTTCCCTCTGCCTCCAATTGCTCCCAACCCACAGTTCCTGGCCCCATGGCAGCCCCTTGGCTGCCGCCCCCAGCTGGGCCTGAGCCACCTTGCCTGGCACTCTGGCTCTCTCTTCTCAGATGGGGATATAGGCTGGACTCCAGGCCCCATCACACCCTAATCACTTGAGCTTTCTCCTGATTTGCATGTCCTTAAAGCGCCTTGATTAATACTCCTTCCTCAGCTCGCCCAGCTCCAGCCACGAAGGCTCTGATTGCAAAGTGGCCTCAACTCCTTTAAAAATAAAATAAATCCTCCCTAATGCAACCAGAGCCCATGCTTCCCTGAACGTTAAGAGATCTGGAGGCATCTCCCAGGAGCCTCATCAGCTTGGGAACACTGGAAACTTCTGGAAGGAATCAGGTCATTTCTCTACCTGGCAGGCCAGAGGCCGTTCTCGGCACTCTTTATTGGCTGCTCACCCTTCGGGCTGAACCTGAAACATCATGGCGGTCATTGGAAGTAGACACCGTCTTCTCCCTTCCAGAAAATAAACTGAGCCTCAGAGAGGGCAGGCTGCTTGCTCAAGGTCACCCAGTCAGGCCGTTTTCAGCTCAGCTGGTGTTTGAATTCAGCACTGTCTGATGCCAGCCAGACCTTTAACTGCCACTCTTCACTGTCTTGTTAAAAGCAGGCTGGGCCTGGAGCTGGGGCTAGGGATGAGGATGAGGCTGGAAAAAGCAGACACATTTAATGAGGTGGCTATGACATCCAGCCCTAGACATCCCTGAAGTGGATGAAGCCGGCCTCACCCTGAAGAAGAGCATCCAGGAGCCCCTCTGCTGTTCCCCAGCTGTATGATCTTGATATCTGTATGTTCTTGATATCTGGGCATGGGGTGAGGCAGGGGTACTGGGTCCCGCTATAACCGCTACAGGACCTTTTCGGCATGATGCACGGTGCAGTGGGCGCACCCCACAGTTGTACCCCGCATTTCCCGCTCACGGCTCTAACCCTCAGCTGCATTCCAGTCTGTATCACCAGAGCCCAAAATGCAGCCTGGGGACTCTGGTTGCTCTCCCCTGCTTGGAAACCCTCTGTGGGGGTCTCTGTGGGGGCAGGATGGCTCCCAGGGTGGCAGGGCACAGAGACTTCGTTAAGCTCTCTGCCCTCCCATCCTCCTCGCCTCCAAGCAACTCCCTTCCTGGCCTGCCGCGGCTCTTCCTGCTTCTCATTAGGGCAGAGTTGCTGGGAGCTGCAAGGTTTAAAATGCTGTGAGTGTAGCACAGTGTTCACCTTTCATCTCCCCAGTTGAGCAGTTTCCCAAGTACTGCTTCTACCATTCCTCTCTCCAGCTTCCTCCTCCCCATCGCTGGGTCTTCGGGGCCTGTTGCAAGGCCCCTGGGATGGCCTGGACTTTCCTATGAGTTCCTGTTGTCCCTGGCCATCTCTGAGCTTGTTGGGCTGACTGTCCAGCTGAGCTGAGCGTTGCTGTTCCTGGCAGGGACCTGCCAAGCCACTGGGCCTTGGAGCAGGTGTGCACCCACGGTCCACTGGACAGAGCCTGGCACACCCTCGCTGGCCTCCAGAACACAGCGTGCTCAGGGGCCATACCGCCTGGGGAGCTGTAACACACTGTTCCAGCTCCTCTGGGGACACCTTAGCAGGTGGGGCAGGGACAGCAGGAGGCACAGAGAGCCTGGGAACATTCTCCCAGTGCCAGGCCCTTGGGACCCAAAGTGCAGGCATCTGGAACCATGCTCGCCTGCCCCTGGGCCATCCACCCCCACTGCCGTTGATGCTGGCTCCTGGCAGGGGCTGCCTCTCCTCCCTATTTTCTGGGCTACCAGCTGGGCCTGGGTGCATGAGACCTGAAGGATTCTTGGGCATACTCCCAGGGACCTTTGCAACTCCCAGAGAAAATTGGGGGACTGATAACAACCATGCCAAGTTTTTATTACAAAAACAAAATGAAAACCACACACATTAAAAATCTCACCATCCGAACGGATCATTTGAGGTCAGGAGTTCGAGACCAGCCTGGCCAACCTGGTGAAACCCTGTCTCTACTAAAAATATAAAAATTAGCCGGGTGTGGTAGCGGGTGCCTGTAATCCCAGCTACTCGGGAGGCTGAGGCAGGAGAATCGCCTGAATCCTAGAGGCAGAGGTTGCAGTGAGCCGAGATTGGGCCACTGCACTCCAGCCTGGGTGACAGAATGAGGGGGATCACTTGAGCCCAGGAGTTTGAGATCCACCAGGGTAACATAGTGAGACCCATTTCTACAAAAAATAAAATTATTTGGGCATGCTGGCACACGTCAATAGTCCCAGCTACTCAGGAGGCTGAAGTGGGAGGATCGCTTGAGCCCAGGAAGTCGAGGCTGCAGTGAGCAGTGATCACACCAGTGCACTGTAGCCTGGTCAACAGAACAAGACCCTGTCTCAAAAAAGGAAAAAAAAAAATTCTCATCATCAACTATCCCATCATTTCATGAAATAAATTTCATTTTAAAGCCCAAAAAGTATGAAGGACATAATCTTAGAATAAAGGAAAATCCTCCCCCAAAAAGCACATCTGGTGACCACCACACACCGTGTCGCATGCTGGAGGCCTGAGAAAGCTTTGCCACAGCCAAGCACCAGGCACTGAGTCCTAATGGAGCACTTGGGATCATCTGTCCCAGGGTCACTGTAGCCATCAGTGCCTGGCAAACACTTTATGCAAAACAATGGATTTTCACCCATGTCCAAACTGTGGTCTGTAGGGTCTGGGATCCTCCCTCAGGCCCCAAGATGGATGAATCTGCCAGAATTTGCATTAGTCTACAGACAACAGAAAACTCCACCAAGCATGGTTTAAACAAATGAAAAGTTTCTTTCTGTGTGTGGAATGTGTTGAGGGAGGTGGTCTGGGGTTGTGGCAGCCTTGATACAAGAGTTCCCAAAGATCCAGGTATCCTTGGCTTCCTCCTTGCCACCTTGGTGTCTGGCTTTTGTCCTCATAGTCATAAGATGCCTGCTCCACCTCCAGCCATCACGTCCACATTCCAGGCAAGTATATTTTTCTTGGAATCTTTGCCTTTTAATTCAGGAAGGGAAACTATCCTCGGGATCATCTGCCTTCATCTCATTGGCCAGAGCTGGGTCCCATGCTCACCACCAGCTGCAAAGGAAGCTGGGAAATTGAGTATTTTAATTTTCTGCATTCTATGATAGAAGAAGGCCAGTGGGAAGGGGGCTGGAATGCATGTTTGAGAGACTGCACAGTTTACTGGAAAGTCTCAGCTGTGTTCTAATGGTGGCAACCTTCAGAGTCCGTGGCATCTCCCACCCACCCCAGCATCTCCCAGCTGTCCATCATGGGCTGATTCATTTCATCCCACCCTCAAGTCTGTGTGTGGAATCACGGGCTCCCATGACTTACTGTGGTCTTCAGTGCTCAGTTACTTAAGCAGGAATAGGGGGAGCCTGGTTCAGCCCCCAAGCCTGGGCTCCTTCATCTCTCTGGACTAGGCCTGATTTCAGTGATAACAGTGTTGCTTCCCACCTGTCGTTGGGTTTCTGGATCCAAAAGCACCCGGTTTCGAAGTCTGTCTTCAAAGGAAGACCCCCAGATAGAGTTGCCGGATAAAATAGAGGACACCCAATTAAATGTGAGTTTCAGATACACCATGAATGAGTTTGTGCTGTAAGTATTTGCATGGGACATATCGTACTTCAACTAAAATGTCACTGGTTGTTTATTAGAAATGCACATTTAACTGGGTGTCCTGTTTTTTTGTTTTGTTTTGTTTTGGTTTTGGTTTTTTTTTTTTTTTTGGAGATGGAGTCTCCCGCTGTCACCCAGGCTGGAGTGCAGTGGCGCCATCTCAGCTCATTGTAACCTCTGCCTCCCGGGTTCAAGTGATTCTCCTGCCTCAGCATCCCGAGTGGCTGGGATTACAGGTGCGTGCCACCACGCCCAGCTAATTTTTCTATTTTTAGTAGAGATGAGGTTTCACCGTGTCAGCCAGGATGGGCTTGATCTCTTAACTTCGTGATCCGCCCGCCTCGGCCTCCCAGAGTGCTGGGATTGCAGGTGTGAGCCACTGCGCCTGGCCTGGGTGTCCTGTATTTTTATTTGTTCAATCTGGCAACCCCGCCGTCGGAGTCAGCCTCGGAACTGAAACAGCTGAACTGAACCGCTGTGCAGAGAGTGCTGCTCCTGGGTTGGGCTGCACAACACTGGCATTCTGACAGGCCAAAGCAGTTACATATCAGCACTTACATACAGTCCAGCCTCATCATTTTCACATAAAGAACAAATGGGGCTCCTGCCACAGCTCAGCCTTTTGGAGACAGAATGGGGTAAACGGCAGGGGGATTGAATCCTCACTCCATCTCTTCCCAGCTAGGAGATCTTGGGCCAGTCACTTTCCCTCTCTGAGCCTCACTTTTTTCTCACCTGTAAAGTGGGTGTGGTCACAGTGAGGACTCCTCGAGGCCTGCATGTCCAGAGCAGAACCGAGCCAGGCAAACAGAACCAGCGTCATCGTTATCCCTGTGACTTTCTGCAAACTCCAGCCTGCCCTGCCTGTCTCCTGCAGGCGGCTACCTCTGGGCAGGTGCAGGTTTCAGGGTGCATATGGAGGGGAAGTGATGGTGGGGGTACCCCGTGTTTGCAGAGCTGGCGGGAGACCACGGCATTCCTATGGCCCATGTCCCCTCACCCCCGCCCCCCTGCCCCAGCGCTGCTGAACCTCGACGTGTGTGTCTGAAGGTCTCCATCCGTGCCTCTCCAGACGTTGCCCACCTTCCCCTTTGCTGGGCAGTTTGTGTAACGCGGCCAGCAGGCACCGCGAGGCCTTGCTTCCTCACCTCTCGCCCGCTGTCGGAGCTCCATGAGTTGAGCTTGACTGTCCGGGGAGTGGAGCCACCTCTAGCAGGTACTTGGGTGTACCTGTTATCACCCATCTGTCAGCTGCCGCTAGACAGCAGAGGGAGCCCAGCATGGGGGAGAGAGGGGACACTCAGAGGGTTGTCTGAGCAGAGGTGGTTCTTTCAGAATCAGAGGAAGGTTGTTGGGTCCTACTCCTTCCCCCCAAACCCCTCAGAGCGAGGATCCTGACCGTCCCTCTTTCTAGCTGCGTGACCCTGGTTGAGTGGGCTCCTCACAGGTGAGGTTCAAGGAGGGGCGGGGCGTCTTGCCTGGAGGTCTCCCAGATGGGGAATCCAAGCCCTAAAAAGGCATAATAACTCGGAGCTGTGTTTCCACCCCGACCCCGCCCCCCGCTCCCCGCAGAGTACTGAGCCGGAAAGGAAGGAGGGAGACTGAGGCAGCTCGGAGTCACTGTAGTGGGTGTGAGGAGTGCACTGAGCCCTGTGGGGAGGAACGAGGGAGGACACAGCTGGCGGGTGCCTCAGAGCCGCCCCCCACGCTAGGCTGCCTTCAGGCAGCCCCTGCAAACTGTGAACCCAGAAAAGCCTCTCTCTTCCTGGCCCCCTCCTCTCCTTCCTCTCATCCCCCCAACTTTGCAGCCTTCCCTGGCTTCCTCCTTTCATTGGAGAACAGGCAGACGCTCACCAGGGCCGGGTGTTCACGTGTGTGCATATGTGCCAGTGTGCACACGTATGCGTGCTCCCATAACATGCATGTTTTTCTGAGGGTGTGTGCACGCGTGCGTGTGTGCATCGTGCGGTGTGCGTTAGGTGCACACGTGCATGCGTGTGCCTTATGTTGTGCGTGTGAGTGTGTGTGTGTGTGCGCGCGCGCGCGTGCCTGACCGCGGCGTGCGTGCCGGCGGGAGGAGGGGGCGCCGAGGCCGGGCAGGGGATTTAAAGCTGCTTTCGCGGCTGCCGGCGTGAGCGCTCGTGATAAACAGCCCGGAGCCGAGCCGCCGCGCAGCCGGGCGGGAGGCTGCGTATCAGAGCTCCTGGCAGGCTCGCAAAAAGCTGTCCCCGGCCCGCCGCCGCTCTATCAGCCCACGGAGGGAGGGCGGCGGGGGAGGGAGGGAAAAAGTATTTGCTTCAGCCCTTAATCACGGAATTTGAAATCCCAGCGAGTCGGTGCCATTTATTTTCAGAGGCTGTCAAGGCTGGTTTCAGCATTTAAAAGAAAGGAGGATAAAACGCATTTGCATTTCTCCCCCACTCTCGCTGCGCGCTCGCCGGCGCTCCCCCTCGTTCCCTGCGCAGCTCGCGGGTCGGGCGTTGGCGGGGAGGGGGAGGCCAGAGGCTTTTCAAGGCGCTGGGGGCTCCGGCCGGCCCGGTGGGGGCCTCCCCCCGCCAGAGTCAGGGGTGTCGGGCGATTCCGGGGTGGGGGCCCGAGTCTGGTCCAGCGGGGCTCTGGGTGGCAGAGGGGGGAAGGTTAAGCGGGGCTGCTGGCTTGGGGAATTTGGGGCCGTCCGCGGGGCTCTCCTCGGGCTCCAAGCTTTCACCCCAGAAAACAGCCCTGAACCCCAAATTTGCTCCAGCCCCAGGGGGCCCTACCTGCCCTTCCTGGCTTCCCCAGTGGAAATCTAAGGTACTGGAGGCTTCCAGGGGAGCCAGGGCACCCCTAGGACAACCCCCTCTCTCTGCAGATGGGGAAACTGAGGCCTGGAAACAGAGAACGGTGGGACCAAGGTCACATGATGGCGGAAGGAGGACAAGGAAGGAGGCTGACTGCGTATCCAGCACGTGTTCCGTGCCAAGCCTGTGCAGGGGCCAAGGACCGGGGTCTCTGGACAGCGCCGGTTGCTGGGTCCCACGCTGGGCGACAGGGCCTTTGCAATCAGGCCGACAGGGTTTGAACCCTTGCCGCGGCACTTTCCAGATGGCCTTGGCCACTGTCCCCTCTCTGACCTTCAGATGGAGCCCATGGCACCTCCGGAGGGGGTGTGTGCTTCCAGGACCAAATCCACTTGTGCGTGGTTAGGCACGAGGTGGGGGGAGGCGGCTCAGCCACCGGGACCTGTCCTGCCTCCACCCTCTGTGCAACCCCTTTCCTTGCCTTTTGTCTCTGTTGCTTTTGGGGGGTGATTAGCCGCTAGCTCAGCGGCTAGAGGATTCTCTCCCGGAAAAGGCTCCGGAGTTGAGGCCCAGACCCCCAGGGCAAGACGGAATCTGCTCCCCAGGGCACTAACTGAGACTCGGTTCCCTCACTGGTAAAATGAGAAAACTCACTTATGGTCAGGGGTCCCCGAGTTAATGCCAGTGAATTCCTTGGCAGAGCATCAAGCACTTGGAGAAGCCCCCACCCCCGGTCATTGTGATGATGGTTTGTTTGTTTGTTTGTTTGTTTTGAGACGGAGTCTCGCTCTGTCGCCCAGGCTGGAGTGCAGTGGCGCGATCTCGGCTCACTGCAAGCTCTGCCTCCCGGGTTCACGCCATTCAGGTGATGATGTTTTTTATTTATGTGCCCACCTGCCCCACTCCGTAGGGCCCCTCGAGGCCAGGACTGCACCGTTCATCTCGGAATTCGCTTGTTCCTAACTTAGGGGAGTGGCGCCGAGACACCGTGTAGCGCCCATGCCAAGGAGGAAGCGAGACAGCAGGAGCGGAGGAAAGAACCCCGGGCTGTGTTGAGGAAGCCTCCTACTTTTGCCTGAAGTGAGGTTGTTGTTGTTGTTGTTGTTGTTTTTTCCACGTGCCTTATTCATCCACGTAACCTCAGCCTCTAGTGCAGCGTCCTATTTTTTGGCTTGTATTATTATTTTTAATTGGCACATAATAATTGTACATATTTATGGGATGCAGTGTAATATTTTAGTACACATATACAATGTGTATTGGTCAAATCAGGGTAATTAGCACATTCAGGGTTGGAGTTTTTCTGTCAATACAGATACTTATAGAAACTTTTTTTTGTGTGAGATAGGGTCTTGCTCTCTTGCCCAGGCTGGAGTGCAGTTGCATGATCACAGCTCAAGCCATCCTCCCACCTCAGCCTCCCGAGCAGCTGGGACTACAGGCACAGGCCACCAAACCCGGCGAATTTTTTATTTCTTCTAGATATAGAGTCTCACTATGTTGCCCAGGCTGGTGTCAAACTCCTGGGTGCAAGTGGTTCTACCACCTTGGCCTCCCAAAGTGCTGGGATTACAGGTGGAAGCCACCACGCTTCCCTAAAAATGCCAGTCAATATTATATGTCCTGTTTGGCAATTTATTGCACCTCATTATTTTTCCTGGCTGCGTAGTATTCCATTGTGCACATGTACCTGTATGTGGTTATCCAATCCCCAGAGGATGGGCACATAGGTTGTGTCTCGTTTTGTCCTCTGACCTCAGGGCTGCAGAGAACAGGCTGGCCTCATACAGCAGGCATCATTATTGGTGTCAGTGGGGCCCCTGTTCTGATAGTCACAGAGAGGCACGGGTGGCTGTGGGAAGCTCTATCCCCTTTCATAGGGAAAGGCAGTTTAGGGCTCTGGAAAGCCAGGGCTGGGAGGGAAATGGCGTCAGGGAAACCAGCATAGAAGTCCCTATCTGGCCATCTTGGCGGAACCCAAAGCCTCGAGTCCACAGTGGGCACCTGACTCAGCAGGGAGGAGGGTGGGAGGCCTAGAGCTTTGTGGCAAGGCAGGCAGGGCTTTCCTTCTTGATTCCTTCCTTCCTTCCTTCCTTCCTTCCTTCCTTCCTTCCTTCCTTCCTCCCTCCCTCCCTCCCTCCCTTTTCTTTTCTTTTCCTTTTCTTTCTTTCTTCTTTCTTTCTTTTCTTTCTTTCTTTCCTTCTTTCTTTCTTTCTTTCTTTCTTTCTCTCTTTTTCTTTCTCTCTCTCTCTCTTTCTTTCTTTTTTTTCTTTTTTTTTTTTGAGACAGAGTCTTGCTTTGTTAACCCAGGCTGATGTGTAGTGGTGTGATCTCGGCTCACTGCACCCTTCACCTCCCAGGTTCAAGCGATTATCCGGCCTCAGCCTCCCAAGTAGCTGGGACTACAGGTGTGCACCAGCACAGCCAGATAATTTTTGTATTTTTAGGAGAGATGGGATTTCGCCATGTTGGCCAGGCTGGCCTCAAACTCCTGGCCTCAAGTGATCCACCCACCTCGGCTCCCAAAGTGCTGGGATGACAGGTGTGAGCCTCCGCGCGTGGCCTCCTTCTTGATTCTGTTGTTTGTGCCTCAAAGGGAATATTCAGAGTGTGGCTCATGAAGTCTGGCCAACCTCCATCGGTTTGCAAGCTCTGGCACCTCGGAGCCTCCGTTTCCCAATCTATAATAAGAGGACAGTAATGGCACCCACCTCACAGGGCAGCTGTGAGGGCTCCATGAGGGAGTCCAGGCAAAGCCTTTCAGCGAGTTTCCTGAAATGCTGTGAGGTCTCAGGGAAGGCTTGCCATCGTCATTATTGTTTCTAACGACATTTTCAGAAATCTGAATGTAAAAAGACCTTCTCTGAGTTGGGTGTCAAAACCAGAAAAAGTCTGTGGTGGGATGTGTGTGTGTGTGTTTCCTTCTCACACTGTCCCTTGCACGTGGGCCCGGGCCCCTGCCTGGTTCTCTCTTTCTCACTATCTGGGACCCCCTAGACTAAATCCATCTCTCCAAGAATCACTGTCTTGCCCCCTCTGTCCTTCTGAGACCTGGGTGGCCTGGGGGGAGAAGCGCCCACCCCCCAACCCCGTCCGCACCACCACTTTCCCATCCAGCCCCACCCTCAGCCTCCTTAATACAGGCTCACCTGGGGCCTCAGTGCCCAGTCCTCCCAGCGCCCGCCCCAGCTGCACTTGAGTCCTGGATCTATCATCAGCCCTTGCTGTGGGAAGTGGCTTTAACCTCCCTGGGCCTCAGTTTCTCTATCTGTAAAATGAGGAGCATAATAAAAAGAACATAAGGTTTTTCTGCCCCCTGCCCACCCCTGCTGAAACAAACAAGCAGACAAGAAATTCATAACCCCCCAGAGGCACTTAGAGCCTGGGAGATTCAGCCGCAAAGGAGTGATCACAGGGTCACAGGGTCCTGGGATGCACAAGGCTCCTTCTCTCCCTTTCCTCCAGGAGGAGTTGGATTTACTTCTGTAAACCCCTGCCCTCCCTTGACCCTGTGCACTCTGGGGAGCACCTAGATTTGCAGGCACGGTGGAGGCAGAGCTGAGCTGAAAGGTGGGGTGTGGGCTCCCCCAGAGCAAGCTCTTCCGGCACCCTGGTGGGATGTGCAGCTGCATTGCTGGCTCAAGACGCCCCCACACCCAACTAGGATCTTTTTTTTTTGAGACGGAGTTTCTCCCAGGCTGAAGTGCAATTGGCGCGATCTCAACTCACCGCAACCTCCGCCTCCCAGGTTCAAGCGATTCTCCTGCCTCAGCTTTCCATGTACCTGGGATTACAGACATGCACCACCATGCCTGGCTAATTTTTGTATTTTTAGTTAAGACAGGGTTTTGCCGTGTTGGCCAGGCTGGTCTCGAACTCCTGACCTCAGGTAATCCACCTGCCTCGGCCTCCCAAAGTGCTGGGATTACAGGCGTGAGCCACCGCGCCTGGCCTCAACTCAGATCTTTAACTCCACTACCATTTGTGAGTGTTCCGCGTGGGCTACATCCTAGGCCAAGGATTTTCTCACCCTGGCCTCAAGAAGATGGAACGGGGCAAGACCTGAGAAGCATGTAGACCTTCAGGATTTTCTCAGTCTGTCAGTTAATCTTGTTTATGATCGATGAGCAAGTCTCTCTCCCTCTCAAAGCCTCAGTTTTCTTACCTATAAAATGGGGCTACATGAGGAGTCAATGAGCTAAGGGTGTGAAGCTGCTGGCACAAAGCCCCACACACGTAAGCCTTAACCAGTGCCAGCCGGATGATAGATGGTGCCGTTGTGCCCAGCAATTCCTTCTCCTAAGCAGGTTATACCATCCTGTCCCCAGAACGTCCTTCCACGCCCTCTGACGAGGCTTGGCCATGTGACTTACTCTGGCCAGTGAAATGTGAGCAGAAGTGACCACACATCAGTGGCCAGCAGAAGCTTTAAAAGCTACACCTGTAGTCCTAGCTACTTGGGAAACTGAGGTGGGAGGATTACCTGAGTTCAGGAGTTCGAGGCTGCAGTGAGCTATGATTTTGCCACTGCACTCCAGCCTGGGTGACAGAGTAAGACCCTGTCTCAAAAAAAAAAAAAAAAAAAGGCTGGGCACAGTGGCTCACGCCTGTAATCCCAGCACTTTGGGAGGCCGAGGCAGGTGGATCACCTGAGGTCAGGAGTTCGACACCAGCCTGGTCAACATGATGAAACTCCGTCTCTACTAAAAATACAAAAAAAAAAAAAAATTAGCTGGGCGTGGTGGCCTGCGCCTGTAATTCCAGCCACTCAGGAGGCTGAAGCAGGAGAATCACTTGAACCCAGAAGGTGGAGGTTGCAGTGAGCCGAGATCGCACCATTGCACTCCAGCCTGGGCAACAAGAATGAAACTCTGTCTCAAAAAAAAAAAAAAAAAAAAAAAAGAGGCGATTTGACCCAGACATGTTCAGAGGGAAGATGACATGGAGACCCCGGGGAGAAATCAACCATCCATAAACCAACGTGGGAGGCCTGGAACAGATCCTTCCCTACGGCGCTCATGAGGAACCAACCTGCTGACACCTTGATCTTGGATTCCCAGCCTCCCAAACTGTGAAACAATGTGTTTCTGTGTTTCAGCCACCCAGGACTTTGTGACCACAGCCCTAGCAAACGAATACGCCGCATTTCACAGGGCCCTACAGACAGGAGATGGGATCTAAGGGAATTAACCTACTTGCAAGCAGAAATGAAAGGGAAAGAGAAAATCCAGAAATGTTGGATTTGCAGGATTGAAAAAGGCAACTATTCCTCATCTCGGTCCAATGAAAGAGCAACTAAGTGAGTGCTCCAGGCGCCCAGTGCCCAAAGGTCCATAGTCCGTGGGAGGATCCAGACACTGTCACGTGCAGGAGGCCACCTGTGCTGCAGGAGGCTGAGCTTGGGTGCTGTGCCCCCAGCTGGGAGAAGGCTGGGGTGGGCCAGGGAAGCTGTGCTTGGGCACGAACCACTTATCCCCGAGTTGGAAAAAGGTGCGATCCAATTCTCCACCCCATCCTGCCAGTTCATCACCCAGACAACCTAGAGTGAGCACCCAGGGCCATTTTTGGAAAATCCTGCTCTTTTGCATAATAAGTGGGCAAAACAGACACAGTCCCTGCCCCTCTGGCAGTTTGTCGCTTCTGCAAGACTCAAGTGCCAAATGACATTTTAGAAAAAATTTCTGACATATTTGTGCTTGGAACACACAATATGATCTTGGAGCAGATAAGAGTTTTAAATTTAACTTTGTCTGTCCCCAGAAATGTATTGTTTGAGAAGTCTAATTGTGAATTTTAAGCTTTCTTTCTTCTTCTTCTTCTTCCTTTTCTTTTCTTTTCTTTTTTTTTTTTTTTGAGACAGGGTCTTACTCTGTCACCCAGGCTGGAATGCAGTGACGATCCCAGCTCACTGCAGCCTTGACCTCCTGGGCTTAAGCAATCCTCCTTCCTCAGCCTCCTGAGTAGCTGGGACCACAGGCATGTGCCACCATGCCCAGCTAATTATGAATTTTAAACTTTCTGTGAAGACTCTTTAAAATGGATACTCTACAAATAGTCAATAAAGAATATTCTGGGCTTAAGAAAATAATAATAATAAAACTAAGAAACACTCTGTGTGATAGAGCCCAGTTAAGACTCAGTCTCAGGGTAAAGATCATACCAAGGGTGTGGCCATCACGCCCTTTGTTGAAACCTCAGAAAAGCTTGCAGGCCCACAGTTCTGTCTAGAAAGCCATGTCTAGAAGAAAGTTAGGTGTGTCTTTTTTTTTTTTTTTGAGACAGAGTTTCGCTCTGTCGCCCAGGCTGGAGTGCAATGGTGCGATCTCAGCTCACGGCAACCTCCGCCTCCCGGGTTCAAGTGATTCTCCTGCCTCAGCCTCCCGAGTAGCTGGGGTTACAGGCATGCGCCACCATGCCCGGCTAATTTTGTATTTTTAGTAGAGACAGGGTTTCTCCATGTTGGCCAGGCTGGTCCTGAACTCCCAACCTCAGGTGATCCTTCCACCTTGGCCTCCCAAAGTGCTGGAATTACAGGCGTGAGCCACCGCACCCGGCCTTGGGTGTATCTTTGGCAAAAAGAGCTGAGTGACAACAATTGGGCAAAAGTTACAAAGTTTTAAAGAGGGTGGCACTGTCCGCAGAGCTGTCAGCTGGATTAAAAGAGACTGTGACCGTCAACAACACAAAACCACTTCTGGGCGCCAACGGGGAAGCAGCCCGAGGAAGCTGCTCAGCCCCCAGGGAAACCCTCTTCTCCAGGGTCCTCATCCCGTGTGGTCAAGGAGGTTATAGAAAAGGAGGCCTCCCAGAGGACGGCCCAAGGGCAGGAGAACAGGGGAGTCGGGAGTAATTTCCAGAGAGCACCATGGGGCCTGGTCGAGGGGTTTCTTTCCCCAGGGCAGGTGGCACTTGCCGAATCCACCCAGCAGGACTCAGAACTCATGAGGACCAGCACTTGCTACTGCTCCACCCCTCTCCTTTCTTTTTTTTAAATTTTGTTTTTGTTGTTGTTGTTGCTTGTTTGTTTGTTTGACACGGAGTCTCACTCTGTCACCCAGGCTAGAGGGCAGTGGCACAGTCTCGGCTCACTGCAGCCTCTGCCTCCTGGGTTCAAGCGATTCTCCTGCCTCAGCCTCCTGAGTAGCTGGGATTACAGGTGCCCACCACCACGCCCAGCTAATTTTTGTATTTTTAGTAGAGATGGGGTTTCACCATGTTGGCCAGGCTGGTCTTGAACTCCTGACCTCAGGTGATCCACCCGCCTCAGCCTCCCAAAGTGCTGGGATTACAGGTGTGAACCACCACGCCCGGCCCTTTTTTAACTTTTAAGACAGAGTTTTGCTCTGTCGCCCAGGCTGGAATACAGTGGTGTGATGACAGTTCATTGCAGCTTCAACCTCCCAGCTCAGGTGATCCTCCTGCCTCAGCCTCCTGAGTAGCTGGGACTACAGGCATGAACCACCATGCCTGGCTAATTTTTGTATTGTTTTGTAGAGACGGGGTCTTGCTATGTTGCCCAGGCTGGTCTTAAACTCCTGGGCTCAAGCGACCCCCGCACCTTGGCCTCCCCAAATGCTGGGGTTACAGGTGTGAGCCACCACACCGCCTCTATTCTTCTCTTCTCTTCTCTCCTCTTCTCTTTCCTTCCTTCCTTCCTTCCTTCCTTCCTTCCTTCCTTCCTTCCTTCCTTCCTTCCTTCCTCCTTCCTTCCTTCCTTTCTCTTTTCTCTCTCTCTCTCTTTCTTTCTTTTTTCTTTGCTCTCACTGTATCACCCAGGCTGGAGTGCAGTGGTGCAATCTTGGCTCACTGCAGCCTCCACTTCCTGAGTTCAAGCAATTCTCATGCCTCAGCCTCCCAAGTAGCTGGGATTACAGGTGCATGCAACCATGCCTGGCTAATTTTTGTATTTTTAGTAGAGATGGGTTTCGCCATGTTGTCCAGGCTGGTCTTGAACTCCTGGCCTCAAGTGATCCGCCCACCTCAGCCTCCCAAAGTGCTGGGACTACAGGCGTGAGCCATTGCGCCCAGTCTTGTTCTTCTCCTTTCCAACGGAGAGCGTTTGTGGGTCATCCTATTCCACCATTGTATGTTGAGTGTATTACTTTGCCGGGGCCACCATAACGAGATACCACATACTGGGTGTCTTGAATAATAAAAATGTATTTTCTCACAGCTTTGGGGGCTGGAAGTCCAAGATCAAGGTGCCAGCAGGGCTGGTTTCTTCCAAGGCCCTCCCTCCCTGGCTCGCCTGTGTCCTCAGGTGGCCTCCTGCCTGTGCACACCTGCCTGACGCCTCAGTCTGTGAGTCCACATTTCCTTCTTATAAGGACACTAGACACATTGGATTAAGGCCCACCCTGACGACTTCATTTTAATTGAATTGCCACTTTAAAGATTTTATCTCCAGCCAGGCACAGTGGCCCACGCCTGTAATCCCAGCACTTTGGGAGGCCAAGGAAGGCAGATCCTTTGAGGTCAGAAGTTCCAGACCAGCCTGGCCAACATGGTGAAACCCCCTCTCCACTAAAAATACAAAAAAACTAGCCCACGCTAAAAAATTACAAAAAATTTGAAGATCATTTGAGGTCAGAAGTTCAAGACCAACCTGGCCAACATGGTGAAACCCGGTCTCTACTAAAATACAAAAATAGTAGTCCAAGCTAAAAAATTAGCATGCAACACCACGCCTCTCATCCCAGCTACTCGGGAGGCTGAGGCACAAGAATCTCTTGAACCCGGGAAACAGAGGTTGCAGCAAGCTGAGATCGCATCACCGCACTCCAGCCTGAGCAACGACAGAGTGAGACTCTGTCTCAAAAAAAAAAAAAAAAAAAGATATTATCTCCAAATACATTACTTTGTAAAGTACTGAAGGTGGGGGCTTCAACATATGAATTTGGGTGGGGAGACAATTCAACTCATAACAGTGTGTGAGATCAGAAAATTCCTCCTGCTCCCCCCGCCACCCCATTTACAGGTCTCCTATAGAGAGAAGCGTTGACTGGGGACACTCGCTGCTTGCGTTTTGCTGGTAGCTGGGCTGGAAGGTCCACAAAGGTTCACTTCATGTGAGTGGCACCTCAGGGCTCTTCCACAGGCCCTTCTCTCCATGCAGCTCTCTTGGGCTTCCTCACAGCATGGCGGGGTTTTTCACGGTGGCTGGCTTCCAAGAGGAAGCACTTCAAGCTGGGTGAGAGCAGATGCCTCAAATCTCTGCAGCCTCAGCCTCGGAAGTCACACAGCGTCGCTTCTGCTGCATCCTGTTGATGAAAGCCAGTCCTGGAGTCAGCCCAGATCCAAGGGGAGGAGGAAAAGACTCCAGGTCTTGCTGAGAGTAATGACTAAGAATCTGCAGCCATCTCCAATCCACCACGCCCATGCAAGAGACGGGAGTGATATTTGCAACCAAGATGGTGAACGGCAGCAGATTGGTCACTGTTTCCAGTTATTCACCATCCCCTCAGTGAGAGGATTATCCATCCTGCCCCATTGCTACGTGACATGCAGAGCATCCAGTGCTGGGTACACTTCCCCTCCCCACCAAATCATGTTTGGCCACGTGACTTGCGTTAGCCAGTGAATCCGGAGCCCAAGTCCTAGCAGGCCATTCAAAAGAGAAGCTTCAAGAGCCATCACGTGGGTTGGCCAGCCTGCCTGCACTTTTCCCTTTAAACAGAGCTGCGTTTTCTAGAGAGAGGCCTCACACAAGCCTCCCTGTTCCACAGAATACAAATCCAATTGGTAAGTCTTCTATCCATCTTAAGAAACCTTTACATTTTTAAATCTCTCCATTCTCAAATATTCAAAGCCCTTAAATTCATTTATTTTTCTAGAAGTAACACCTGACAAGTTTGATATGTCAAGGCACCACCCGTTCCTTCTTAATCCACAGGAACTCATTGAGGGTAGGGAACCTGGGAGGTCACCACAGCCTGTAAATCCAAGCCTGGATGTAGTGAGTGTCTGGGGTGGCCAGGCTTTCTGCAGGTATGTGCACATTGAAGGCCAAATCTCAGCTTTGAACTGAGTCCCGAGCTTAGGACTCCTCCTGACTCTCTTCTGGGAACACTGTGGCTCAGAGAGGTTAAGTGAGTTGCCCAAGGCCACTCAGGTAGTAAGTGGCAGGGCCAAGACTGGACCCCAGGGCCATCTTGCTCCAAAGTTCCTAACCACTAGACTCTCCAGCTCTCACCCTGTACGTGGGCTATAGATATTTGGTTTTATTTTATTTTTTAATTTTATTTTGAGACAGGGTCTCTCTCTGTCATCCAGGCTGGAGTGCAGCGGCACAATCATGGCTCACTGCAGCCTCGACCTCCCTGGGCTCAGGTGATCCTCCTACCTCAGCCTCCCGAGTAGCTGGGACCACAGGTGCACGCTACCACATCCGGCTAATTTTTGCTTTTTTTTTTTTTTTTTTTTTTTGAGACGGAGTCTCGCTCTGTCGCCCAGGCTGGAGTGCAAAGGCACAATCTCAGCTCACTGCAAACTTTGCCTCCGGGGTTTAAGCTATTCTCCTGTCTCAGCCTCCTGAGTAGCTGGGATTACAGGCATGCACCACCACACTCAGCTAATTTTGTATTTTTAGTAGAGACAGAGTTTCTCCATATTGGTCAGGCTGGTCTCGAACTTCTGACCTCAGGTGATTTGCCCTCCTCAGCATCCCAAAGTGCTGGGATTACAGGCGTGAGCCACCGTGCCCAGCCATTTTTGCATTTTTTTTTTTTTTGTAGTAATGAGCTTTTGCCATCTTGCCTAGGCTGGTCTCAAACTGCTAGGCTTAATCGACCTGCCCACCTCAGCCTCCCAAATGCTGGGATTGCAGGCGTGAGCCATGGTGCTGGCCCTAGATATTTGTTAAGTGGATGAATAAACTACCCAGTAGTTCCTTTGGAAACCTGAAAGGTTTTGGATGCAGTGATAGAGGTGTTCCAATCTCAAGGATTGGCTAAAAGCTATAGGAACTTGGGGTGGGGTAGGATACACTGAATGGGGTCCACTCTCTCCCCAACAATTCCTCCTCTGCCCTCAGAGGAGAATCTGGTGTTTGTAATGCAGAATCTGGAGAATGTGTCAAAATGATAGTGACACTGACATTTACTGAGCGATTGCAATGCCCAGCCCCCAGCCTCAGAGCCCTCCCTAATTTTACTCCTTTACACTTTCTCAGGGATGTGGTGAGGTTACAGACCATCATTATTCCCATTTCACTAGTGAGAAAACTGAGGCACACAGTAGGCTGAATCCGTGCTTCCCAAACTATCTGTGATGAAGGAACTTCGAGAAAAAATGTTCCAATCTGTCAGGAATGATATTTTTATAATATACACAGTCACAATGGGATGTAGGCAGTGTCAAATTGCTATGAAAGTTGCTAAATGCTTATCCTCAGTTCTATAGTTAGCGTGTCGTGTCCACAAACAGTGTGTGGCCCAGCACTGATCCTCGGACCGCGCCTTGGGTAGCGCGGGGTCAAGTCACAGCGTGTGACTCGCGGGGCCAGGATTTGGACCCAGAGGGTCTCGCTCCAGAGCGTGGGCTCTGAACCACTCACCAGAGGGGCATGGATCATGAGGACGGGCGGGGAAGGGTCTGCCCACTGAACACATTACATAACAAATATTCGAGGGAGAAGGGGAGAATGCAGGCTGGTGTCAGGACTGTCAGGCAGCCTCCAGCATGCGCAAAACAACAGCCAGTCTAATGGAGAGAACCGGAGCAAGGAAACGGGCGCTGGTGAGAGCTGTTGCTGTGGGGTTTGAATTCGGCCCCTTTGAGGCTCTTCGGGAGTCACAAGGACATTCAGAAAGTTCGTTTAAATGACTTGTGACTGCTGGATTATCAGGTCCCAGGAGGCAGCGACTGAACTACATGGAAGCCCAGCTTTTATTTGGGTTACACGGGCACCAGTCTGGGTTTCCACACATCTCTCTCCACTCCCAAATAAGTTATTTATGCTTATTTTATCACTTTTTTTTTTTCTTGAGATGGAGTCTTGTTCTGTCACCCAGGCTGGAGTGCAGTGGTGCCATCTCAGCTCACTCCAACCTCCGCCTCCCGAGTTCAAACGATTCTCCTACCTCAGCCTCCTGGGTAGCTGGGATTACAGGCGCACGCCAACACATCCGGCTAATTTCTGTATTTTTAGTAGAGACAGGATTTCACCATGTTGGCCAGGATGGTCTCGAACTCCTGACCTCATGATCCGCCCACCTCGGCCTACCAAAGTACTGGGATTACAGGCATGAGCCACCGAATCTGGCCATTTTTTTTTCTTTTTTTTTTTGAGATAGGGTCTCACTCTGTCACCCAGGCAGGAGGCCAATGGCACAATCTCAGCTCACTGCAGCCTCGACTTCCCAAGCTCAGGCAATCCTCCCACCTCAGCCTCTTGAGTAGCTGTGACTACAGGCACACAACACCACGCCCAGCTAATTATTTTTGTATTTTTAGTAGAGACAAGTTCTCGCCTTGTTTTCCAGGTTGGTTTCGAACTCCTGGGCTCAAGTGATCCACCCGCCTCAGTCTCCCAAAGTGTTGGAATTACAGATGTGAGCCAATGTGCCCAGTCCCCTCCCAAAGAATTTAAAACACCACTAAATGGTTACCTCCTGAGGGTTCAGTGAATACTCCTTGGGTTAGTGAAGAATGAATACACAGATAAGTGATCAGCCATAAAGTCATCTTCCATGTCCACTGTGTGCAAGGCTCGAAGCAAATGTCAGATACAGAGGACCAGGAGGAGACCCAACCCCTCCAAATACCAAAGGGGGCCAACCAAAGAGGGTCATCGATAAGGGATGGGATTAACAGTGGTTGTATTAGGCCGGGTGCGATGGCTCATGTCTGTAATCCCAGCACTTTGGGAGGCCAAGGCGGGTGGATTGCCTGAGGCCAGGAGTTCGAGACCAGCCTGGCTAACATGGCAAAACCTCGTCTCTAATATAAAAAAAAAAAGAGTGAGTGGTTATATTTTCTTCATTGGATTCATCTATATTTTCTACAATATCTACAATAGGCATGCATTACTTATGTAATAACAATGAGATTCTTTTGGCAAAAATAAAACAGTTCCCACTTTAAGCCTGCCCCTAATTCAGCTGAAGAAAAGACGGTTGGCCCATTGAGGGTAAGGATACCACAGACAAAGGTGCTCAATAAATGTCTGGGTTACATTTTAGTCACGCACCAGGAGCAGAAAGGAGGAAGAGGCCTTTTTGAGAAGGGTTCCTTTTCTTTGTCTCTTTCTCTATCTCCTGCCCCTGCCGGTGCCGCCACCCCTAGTGTGGAAGCTCGCTGTGGACAAGGTCAGACTGCCTGGGGCTATTCCCTCCACTGGGGCAGGGTCTGTGACAGCCGCAGTTGCCCCAGGATGGCTGGGCAGGGTCGGCTCCTGCCTGGATGGCTGACGTCTCCTTCCAGTTCTTTGTTCAGTTTCCAGGGGGACCGGGGATGGGGAAAGGCAGGCAGCACAGCCCACGGACCTGCAGGGCCACAGCAGAGAGGCGCTGCTTCACGTCCCCCTGGGCCTCCGTGGCCCTGGCCCTGCACACAGCACGGCTGCCTCCTCCCTCCGACTTATTTCCGGTCACCTGGCTGGTGGGTCCCTCGGGGCAGAGCGCAGGGTCCCCAGCTTTGCTCCTCGCTCTCCTCCCAGCTCCTGCCTCTCCTCTTTCTGGCTGCCTCAGTGGCTGCTCAAGGTCAAGGAACAAACAGATAAACCCTTTCTCTGGAGCCGGCTTGGAGAGGACGCCTCCAGCTACAATCCAATTCTGAGTCAGGGCCAGGGCTCTCTCTTTCCTGTGAATGTGAAGACAGGAAGGAAATTTTCGCAGCCATAAAATCGGTAAAAATGTTTTGTAGGCAGAGAAGAGGCCAAGCAGTTGGCTTTGGTTTAAGGCACAAACAGCAAACGGGAACGGTCAGACCCAGGGAGGGAGGGCCTGGGGGGTAAACTCTAATATTCAGGCAGCCAGTGCAAGATTTTTTGTTGCCCCAGGGCCAGTCAGGTGTTGGACGTGGTGTGGAGGACACGGACTTGGTTCCCAGCTCACGGGGACGGGATGATGTGGGGGTCTGACCAGGCAGTTGAAGACTCGGGACTCTTCTAGGCTGTTAGCCAAGATGGCCCAGGGGCAGGAGCCAGGACTGTGGATTCAGAGACGCAGTGTGGACGGCAATGAACTGGATGGCTCTCATGTCTTAGAGGGATGAACCTGGAGCCCAGAGGAGTGGACATGGGCCAGCCTGGGAAGGGTCATTCAGGCTGTGGCGGGGATTTAGGACTTTATCCAGAGGGCAGCGGGAGGCATGACAATGGAGAGGGGGACGTGGCCCAGCTTATGTGTTAGAAAGACTCCTCTGACTGCACTGTGTGTGTGGCCTGGAGGCAGGAAGGGCAGAGAGAAGGCGGCTGCCATTCCCGCCGATGTAGGTGACCAGGCAGGGCGAGGATGGTGGAGAGTCCAGGTGTGCTGCGGGCAGAATCATTAGATGCTGGTGACTGGATATGGCGGGGTGCTGGGGAGAGAGGAAGGGGATAAGGCCAATACTCAGGAGCCCCAAGAGGAAGAAGAGGAGGAGGAGGCTTTAGGGGGAGGTTTCATATTTTTTGTGTTTTTGTTTGTTGATTTGTTTTTATAGAGAGACAGGTTCTCACTTTGTTGCCCAGGCTGGTCTCAAACTCCTGGCCTCAAGCAATCCTCCCACCTTAGCCTCCCAAAGTGCTGAGATTACAGGCATGAGTTACCGTGCCTGGCCACCTGTATTTTTTATCTCTTGAATATTTGGGGGGCTCTGGCCAAGTACATGGGGCAGGACACCAAGAAGGATAAGGCACAGCCCTGCCCAAAGAAGCTGGAATGCACACACGGCAACAGAAAGCTTGCAGGGGTGGAACTGCAGGTTTTAACTATGAGCATATTGGGAGTTCAAAGGATTGGGAAGCCTGGAGGGACGTGGGGGACAGGCCTGTTTGGAAGGGCCGGTGGTAAACAGCCAGAGGACGAGGACCTGGCCTTCTGTACCTTCCACGTTCCCTTCTCGCTTGGCCCTGCTCCATGCCGGGCAGGTGGTCCCAGCTCCACGGCCTGGCCCTGCTGCCCACTCCAGCCTAAGTAGCGTCTCCTGTGCTCTGGTGGGCCACCCGCTCTGAAGTGACTGCCAGAATGCAACTGGATGGCCCTCAAGAGGCCTCTTGCCTCCTGTCCTCTGTTGGGAATACCTTCTCTTCCTCTCTAGCCTAGGAGCCTCCGACTCATTCTCCTGTCTCAGCGTAGGTTTCTTCCTCCTAAAAGCCTTTCCTAGCCCCGAAACTGGGCTGAGTGCACCTCTCCTGTGCTGAAGAAATGTTCTTTGGATGGAAGGATGGAAGGATGAAGGGACAGAGGGATGCGGAGATGGAGGGATGGAGTATGGAGGGATGGGGGATGAGGAGATGGGGGATGGGGATGAAGGGATGGAGGGATGGGGATGAGAGATGGAGGGATGGGAGGATGGGGGATGGAGGGATGGGAGAATGGGGGATGGAGGGATGGAGGGATGGGGGATGGAGGGATGGAGGGGTGGAAGAGGGGGGATGGGGGATAGAGGGATGGAGGGATGGAGTAGAGGGATGGGGATGGAGTGTGGAGGGATGGGGGATGAGGAGATGGGGATGGGGGATGGAAGGGTGAGAGGGTAGAGGGATGGGGAATGGAAATATGAGGGATAGGGATGGAGGGTGGGGGATGGAGGGATAGGGGGATGGGAGATGGAGGGATGGTGGATGGAGGATGGGGGACTGGAAGATGAAGGGATGGGGGATGGGGGATTGGAGGATGGGATGGAGGGATTGGGGGATGGCAGATGGAGGGATGGGGGATGGGAAGATAGGGAATGGAGGGATGAGGGATGAAGGGATCAGGGGATGGAGAGATGGGGAATGGAGGGATGGGGGATGGGAAGATGGAGAGATGGGGAATGGAGGGATGGGGGATGGGAAGATGGAGGGATGGGGGATGGGGATTGGAGGATGGAAGATAGAGGGATGGAGGGATCAGGGTATGGAAGGATGGGGGATGGGGGATGGAGGGATGGAGGATGGGAAATGGAGGGATGGGGATGTATGGTGAATGGATGAATTAATGGATGGATGGATAGGGGGATGACTGGAGATCTAGACAGACAGGCAGTTGATGGATGGAAGGGCAGACAGGCAAGTTGGGCAGGTGGAAGGGCAGGGGAGGAGTGGACTGGACAGAGGAAAGGGCAGGTGGTTGGTGGTGGAGGTGGAGGTGGTGGGTGGAGGTGGTGGAGGTGGTGGGTGGAGGTGGTGGAGGTGGTGGAGGTGGTGGGTGGTGGGTGGTGGAGGTGGTGGGTGGAGGTGGTGGAGGTGGTGGGTGGTGGGTGGTGGGTGGTGGAGGTGGTGGAGGTGGTGGGTGGAGGTGGTGGAGGTGGTGGAGGTGGTGGGTGGTGGAGGTGGTGGGTGGTGGGTGGTGGAGGTGGTGGGTGGTGGAGGTGGTGGGTGGTGGAGATGGTGGGTGGAGGTGGTGGAGGTGGTGGTGGGTGGTGGAGGTGGTGGGTGAAGGTGGTGGGTGGTGGAGGTGGTGGATGGTGGGGGTGGTGGGTGGTGGAGGTGGTGGGTGGTGGAGGTGGTGGATGGTGGGGGTGGTGGGTGGTGGAGGTGGTGGAGGTGGTGGGTGGTGGAGGTGGTGGGTGGTGGAGGTGGTGGAGGTGGAGGTGGTGGAGGTGGAGGTGGTGGAGACGGTGGGTGGAGGTGGTGGGTGGAGGAGGTGGTGGGTGGTGGAGGTGGGTGGAGGAGGTGGTGTGTGGCAGTGGTGGGTGGTGGAGGCGGTGGGTGGCGGAGGTGGAGGTGGTGGATGGCAGTGGTGGGTGGAGGTGGTGGGTGGCAGAGGTGGCAGTGGTGGGTGGTGGAGGTAGTGGGTGGCAGGGTGGATGAATGGAAAGGAGACAAGGTTGGCTCAGGCAGGCTGAGGTTTGCCCTATCTCTCCATCCCCCCACCATGGATTGGCAGAATGAGTAGGAATCTTTCTCTCCTGACTCCTCCTCAGACCCCTCAGCTTCCTCAGGGCACACCCTACACTGGATGGGACCCACTGGGCACTGCAGCCGGAGATGTAACTGGCACCAGGAACCTCCCTCCATCTTATCCGTGTCCCACAACTCTTCACCCGTGGGTGTCTTTTTGCCGACTGGTCTGATTACTGGCGAGAACCTGGTGTTTGGGGATGAAAGAAGTTCAGGTCTCCTCTACACATCCATTTTCTTCCTTCGTCCTTTCTCACCTTCTGCCTCCTCCTCCTCCTCCCATGTCTTTCCAGCAAAGCACAGGATACCCAGATGGCTTGGGCCAGGTTGAAGGCACAGCCATAGCCAGCAACCAGCCACCCGAGCCCTGCTGCCTTCGGCCCCAGCTGGCCCAGCCAGCGCGGGTCCCTGCTGCCTGGTGCCCACCCCACCCACCCGGCAGCTCCGATTTTCAGCTTGGGTTTGATCGGCTGCCAGGATCTCCCAAATGTCAGCTGCAACGTTAGCATCTTTAAGAGAGCGCCCGAGGCGATCTTTAAGCTGGGAGGCTGGGGCCCCATGCTGATGAGAGGAGTCTGCTCTGAGCTGACAGCTCTGCCTCCTGCCTCCCCAGCCTCGGTTCTGGGAGCCTGTGGCCCCCACTCCTTCAGGCTGGACGGCAGCAGGACTCTTTTTTGAGCCTGGGTGAAGCAGGGCTTTGCCAGCTGAGATCAGTCCCTACAGCAGCCCGCACCAGGGAGCCCCAAGGAGGAGGGGAGAGGCCTAACCCAGAGAGGGAGTGGATGCATATTTGTTAACTGAATGGCTGCATGAACCTCCAAAGCTGCCTTAGAGGCGAGTGCTGATGGCACTTTCTGCCCTGCCATCACCTTCAGGGGGAGATGCTCAGGGTGGGGACACAGGCAAAGGTGCCAAACTCTGGAGTCAGACCGAGGGGCCGGGGCTGGTGTCCCAGATCTAGCCTGTGGGAGCTGTGTGACCTTGGAGAAGTTGCCGGCCCTCTCTGAGCCTCAGCTTCCCCATCGGTGAAGCGTGTGTGCTAGGGGATAGAATGCCAGCTGCATAGAGTTGTTGGGGAATCCAGTGAGATGAAGAGATGGGAACACCTGCTACCTTGCAGACACATAGTAAGTACTCAAGGAAGTCAGTCCCTTCCTCTTCCCCCCTCCCTTCCCTCTCCTCCCCTGCCCTTCCTTCTCCTCCCCCAGGGCTTTCTATGCCCTGTCACTGAAGGGCTGAAGCGCTCTCACTGTTTAAAGCCTCCATGTTTTCCCTTCCAACCCTCAGAAGGACAGGAGCGATTATTCTTATTCTGTTGTCAAGGGCCACACAGCAGGTTGGAAGCAGATGTGGAGGCTGCCCAGTTCCAGACCAGCTTGTCCTGCTAGTGCCTGGTCCCAGGACTGGCTCAGGTGCCCATGGCATGCTCCCCTGTGCCCTGATAATCGATGTCCTTTTGCAGGGTGGTGAGGCTCTGAGAGTGAGCTAGTGGCTTGTTCTTTTTCCACATTTTTGAGGCCTCTATCTTGGGGCTGAAATACCCAGGTGGAGAAGTGAGTGACTCCGGAAAGGAAGGAAAGAAAAGAACCCAGAGTCTAATTCCCACCCAAGTGGAGGTGAGGCGGGAAGAAGGGGGGCTTGACCCTCTTACGTGGGAGTTGCAGCCTTGGTGGGACCTGTCAGAACTGGTGTGCTAAGCCAGGGGTGGGAGTCAGTGACTTCCACAGGGACAGTATCAGCAGTCAGCTCACAGAAGCATATGTTTCAGAACCAAAAGGTGTAGGAGCAAGGCTCAGAATAAAAATAAAATGAATGGATGGTGGGCAGTGGTAGGTGGATGGATGGAAACATGCGTGGATTGAGAATGGGTGAATGGGTGATGGTTGGCTGGATGGATGGATGATGGATGGGTGGGTGAATGGAGGGTGGATGGCTGTATGAGTGGGTGGTGAGTGGATGAGTGTGTGGAAGGGTGAGTGCATAGATAGGTGGATGGATGGGTAGATGGATGGATGGATGAGTAGATGGGTGGATGGATGGATGGACGGATGGATGGATGAGTGGAGGGATATGGGTGGGTGGTGAGTAGATGAATGTGTGGATGGGTGGGTACATAGACAGATGGTTGAATGGATGGATGGTGGATGAATGATGGATGGGTGGGTGGTGTGAGTGGATGCATGTCTGGATGGATGGGTGCATAGATAGGTGAATGGATGGGTGGATATGTGGATGGATGAGTGGATGGATGGATGGATGGATAGATGGGTGAGTGGAGGGTGGATGACTATATGGGTGGGTGGTGAGTGGATGAATGTGTGGATGGGTAGGTATATGAATGGATGGATGGATGGATGAGTAGATGGGTGGATGGATGGATGGATGGGTGAGTGGATGGATGGGTGGATGAATGGATGAGTAGATGGATGGATGGATGAGTGGGAGGGTATATGGATGGACGGATGGATGGATGGATGGATGAGTGGAGGGTGGATGACTATATGGGTGGGTGGTGAGTGGATGAATGTATGGATGAGTGGGTATATGGATGGGTGGATGGATGGATGAGTAGATGGGTGCGTGGATGGATGGATGAGTGGACGGAGGGGTGGATGAATGGATGAGTAGATGGGTGGATGGTTGGATGGATAGATGGATGGATGGATGGATGATGGATGAGTGGATGGATGTGTAGATGGGAAGATGGATTGGTGAGTGAGGTCTTGGATAGTTGGGTGGTGAGTGGATAAGTGAACGGACGGGTGGATAGAAGGGTGGGTGGATGGATGGATCAGCAGATGGATCAGCAGATGAGTGGGTGGAGGGGCAGATACATGGATGGGAGGATGGGCGGATAAATAAGTAGGCAGGTGGAGGTAGCACTGGCATACAGCAAAGAGCACACTGTTTGAGACTCAGAATTCTATTCATAGCAAAATCCGACATGGAAAACATCCACACTCCTGAATCTGGAAAAATCTGGCTGATACAAGTCGGGTTGAGACCATCTCTAAGGTCAAGGAAAAGTGGATTCTGATCCTAGTTCTCATGCTTGGTTCTGTGAGATCTGAGGCAAGTCACCACATCTCCCTAAGCCTCATTTTTTTCTATCTGAAAACGGATATAATAGCAGCATTCACCTTCCAGGATAGCCAGGACATCCTATGATAAAACGCATGTGGGTCTGGCGTGGTGGCTCATGCCTATAATCCCAATACTTTGGGAGGCCATAGCAGGAGGATCACTTGAACCCAAGAGTTTGAGACCAGCCTGGGCAACATAGGAAGACCCTATCTCTACAAAAAATTAAAAACAAAACAAAACAAAACAAAAGTCCCAGCTACTCGGGAGGCTGAGGTGGGAGGGTTGTGTAAACCTGCGAGGTTGAGGCTGCAGTGAGCCGTGATCATGCCACTGCACTCCAGCCTGGGTGACAGAGCCCGACCCTGTTTCAAAACAAAACAAAACAAAAACCACATGTGAGGCCCAGAGCAGGGCTTTGCGGGTGCTCAGGGAGGCAGAGTGGCTCTTGCTATCACCTCGATCCCTTGATCCAAACCACTCCTGCTTGTACAAACAAGTGTCACTTGTCCAAAAGCCTGGGTGCACAAAGGTTTCCCACAAAGGGAAGCTTCCAGAGAGTCAAGAACCCTGGGGAACAGGCAGGCTCACAGCCACGGCTGCTGCCTCCAGTGCGGTCGTTCTGTGGCCTGAGAGCGTCACGTGCTCCTCATCCTGGACCATCAGGGGCTGGCGCACCCATCAACAGCTGGGTGACCCTGGACCAGTGGCTTCACGCCCCTGGTCTTGGTGTCCTCACCTGTGAAACACGGGCCTGAGAGTTACCGAGGAGCTATGCAGTTTGTCTCCATATCACCATCTGGCTTGCCCCTAAGCCCCCTTTCGCCCCCTACCCCCACAGGGGCGAGGTCAGCACCCTCTGCAGCTGGAGCTTTGAATGTGGAAGCCTGGGGGAGGTTCTGGGGCTGACATGGGTGCTGAGCTGGGATGAAAGCACAGAACGCCTGGGGGGAGCCCCTCTCCCTCTCCCAGACTTTGCTCCCAACCCGTCCTGAGCTCCCCTGCTGGAGCCTCGAGGCAGGCCGAACTTTGCAGCCCTGTCTGCCCACGGTCCCTCCTGCTGTGACTCCCTGCAGCCTGCATTTCATAGTCAGTAGTGGGGGTGGGGGATCCTTGCTGTGGGCTGGAGAAGTCATGGGGCCCTCCTCACAGTGGAGCCTTAAGAGATTGCCCCTATAGCCCCTGCCCCCGGGGGACCCCGGATGCTTCGCTGATCCAAGGGGCACCCACAGAGTCCATGGAAGATTAGGCAGCCCCAGTGACGAGGTTGTTGGATCTGTGCCACTCAGACCTGAGCTCGGGAGAGGTGCCCGTGCAGAGGGGGTAGGATGGAGGTGCCCCAGGGGCAGCAACAACAGAAGGTCCCAGCTCCCTCCAGCCCTGGGCTACTTCCTCTCCTTCCCCAACGGCTGCAGACTCTGGTTAAAATGGCACCTCCGCCATCTGTCGTCCCTCCCCCACCCCGTGGGCACGGCTGTGACGGGGGGCTGGCTGGCCTCGTAAACAGGCGGCTGGCGGGTCCCCAGGGCCGGCGGGTGATAGGGCTTGTGCTGGCACCGAGGCCCAGCCAAGAGCTGGAGCCGGAGAGGCCCCAGGGCGGCCGAGCTGGGGGGGGTAGGCAGGATACCAGGTAGCAGGAAGGTTTCCGCGCCTGAGGGGGCCTGGGTGGTGCCCCAGCTACCTGGCCGCTCCGGGACCTGTGGGGCCCCTTCTCCTAAGTATGCCCACCCCATCCCCAGCATCTCCAGTCCCGGCCCTCTCACATTCGCCTCACCGCGCTTCTGCTGCGCTTAGAGAATCTTAAATCAACACTGGGGTGTGAGAAGCTCCATGGAGCCCCCTAACTCCCCCGCCACTGCAGCGTACACCATGCCGTGGGGATCCTTGCTTTACAACCAGGGAAACTGAGGCCAGAGATCAGGGAGGTGGGAAGGCTGGGCGTGGACCAGAACTTTCCTCCACCTGGTTGCCAGCTAGTGGCGGTTGTGGGGTGAGGGGCTGTCCCAGGGGCCAAGCTCGGGGCCCTGACACTGTAAACAAGCCTCCCAGCCTCAGTTTTTCCATCTGGGGAATGGTGGAATCAAGGCGGCTGCGGAGGCGGGAGGGCTGTCCTGTGAGCCAGAGAGCACTGGGGACCTGCCGTTCTCTCACAGTCCCCTCACCTCTCCACGAGGGAGGACTCGGGGGAGCATCCCGGGAGGGGCTAGGGGTGGGCGCCAGGGGTGCCTGGGAGGGAATCTGTCCGGGTCAGTTCCCTGGCTACCCCTCCCTCCCCCTACCACGGTGCTGCCGGCCGCCCCCTCCTCTCTCCCGCCTTCTGACTGCCAGCTCCTCCCCGCAAAGCCCTCAGACCCCAGCTGCAGGGATTTACAGCTTTGACCAGCAGCTCAGCCTCCCCCTGCTCCTCCTCCCTCCTCCCCCGCCTGCATCTCCCCCCTCCAGCCTCCCTCCCTCCTCCTCTCCATCTTTCCCCTCCATTCTCCTCCTCCCTCCTCCTCCCCCCTCTCTCCTCCCCTCCCTTCCTCCCTCCGCCCTCCCGCTCCCTCCCTCCCGCTCTCCGGGGGAAGAAAGGTCACCGTGCAGCTGATTACTCAGAGCTCAGTTGCTGTAGCAACCGGCGGGGGAAGTGGGACAGGCTGGCTTTGAGGACGCGCGAGGTCGGCCGCGGGCGGCTGGAGCCGGCGCGGGCCTCTGTGCGCCGCGAGAGGGAGGCCGCCTGCAGCCCGGCTGCTCGGCCGCCGCGGGCCCGGCTCCGGGGGTTCAGTTTTAATGAAGAATCCCTGCTCCCTTCTCGCGCCCCTCCCGCTTTCTGCCCACCTCCCTGGGGTCTGGAAGGAGAGGGTCGCCCCTCCCCGCTTTGGCTGCTAAACTCTCTGGCTCTCCCCCCGGCCGCTGCCTGGGTTCTGGTGGCTTCCTTCCTCCTCCTTGTCTGTCGGAGCTCAAGGGACAAGCCCTTTCCCTGGCGCGTGCCTGGTGAAACCCTCGCACCCTTCCCCACCCCCACAAGCCTTTGGCATGGCCTGGGAGACTCCGGGCATCTTCAACCCAGCCAGGGACAAGGGTCCGCGGAGGGTCTGGAGCCCCTCGTGGGCCTGGTGCCCACGGAGTGCCCACCCCTGCCCTCCAGGAGCCCCTGGGAAGGCAGCACTCTGTTCAAGGAGGAAGCCAGACCCAGCTACAAGGGAGGGACCCTCGGCTGATGCAAAGAGGCCGGAGCCCGCATCCCAGCACCGCCCCCGCCGGCTGTCTGCTGGTTCCTTCTCCAAGGCCTTCAGAGAGGATCCCTGAAGCTTGGCAGGGACAGACACAGGTTCTGGAGTGGGCTGGGCCTGAGTTCAAATCCCACACTCCAGTGGGACCCTCATCCACCGCTGATAGGAATGAGAAGTGGTTCGACTACTTTTGGAAAACATTTGGCACTTTTAAAAAAGTTGAACATACTCTTACCACGGATCTGACCATGGCACTCCGAGGCTTTTATCTCCAAGAAATGAAATCTCCACCGGCGCAGTGGCTCATGCCTGTAATCCCAGCACTTTGGGAGGCTGAGGCGGGCGGATCTCTTGAACCCAGGGGTCCAAGACCAGTCTAGGCAACATAGTGAGACCCTGTCTTTACAAAATATTTAAAGACTGGACGGGCGCGGTGGCTCATGCCTGTAATCCCAGCACTTTGGGAAGCCGAGACGGGCGGATCACGAGGTCAGGAAATCGAGACCATCCTGGCTAACACGGTGAAACCCCGTCTCTACTAAAAATACAAAAAATTAGCTGGGCATGGTGGTGGGTGCCTGTAGTCCCAGCTACTCTGGAGGCTGAGGCAGGAGAATGGCCTGAACCCGGGAGGTGGAGCTTGCAGTGAACAGAGATCATGCCACCGCACTCCAACCTGGGCGACAGAGCGAGAGTCTAAAAAAAAAAAACATATATGTATATATATATGCCGGGTGTGGTGGCTCACGGCTGTAACCTCAGCACTTTGGGAAGCCAAGGCAGGTGAATCACCTGAGGTCAGGAGTTCAAGACCAGCCTGGCCAACACGGTGAAACCCCATCTCTACAAAAAATACAAAAATTAGCCAGGCATGGTGGTGCATGCCTGTAATCCCAGCTACTTGGGAGGCAGAGACAGGAGAATCGCTTGAATCTGGGAGGCGGAGGTTGCAGTGAACCGAGATCATGCCACTGCACTCCAGCCTGGGCAGCAAGGGCGAAACTCCGTCTCAATTAAAAAAAAAAAAAAAAAGAATTAGCCAGGCATGGTGGTGCACACCTGTAGTCCCAGCTACTCAGGAGGCCGAGGTGAGAGGATCGCTTGAGCCAGGGAGGTTGAGGCCGCAGTGAGCCAAAATTACGCCACTGTACTCCAGCCTGGGCGACAGAGCGAGACCATGTCTCAAAAAAAAAAAAGAAAGAAAAGAAAAGAAAAGAAAAGAAAGAAAAAGAAAACAATGAAACTCACCTCCACACAGAGCCTTGCACATGAGTGTTCACAGCAGCTTTATTTGTAAAAGGCGGAAACTGGAGACAGCACAGTGTTGCTCCGTCCCGCAGGCAAAGGGAGCAACAGGTTGTGGCACATCCGTCCCATGGAAGGCGACTCACCAACAGGAACGACCGTGCACACAGCACCACAGCACCATGACCAGGAGAGGAGCCGGAACAACCGTGCACACAGCACCACAGCACCATGACTGGGAGAGGAGCCGGCAGCCACCAGCAAGGCATGGGGGATTGTGTCGGTGTGAAGTCCCGGAAGATGCGTGCGAGTCGGTAATGACAGAAAGCAGCTCTGTGGTTGCCTGGGGATGCTGGGGTCCAGGAAGGACTACAAATTGGCAATGGGAAACTTTTTCTTTCTTTTCTTTTCTTTTTTTTTTTTTTTAAGACAGGGTCTCACTGTCGCCCATGCTGGAGTGCAGTAGCGCAGTCATAGCTCACTGTGACACCTTCATCTCCTGGCTTCAGGTCTCAGCCTCCCAAGTAGCTGGGATCATAGACACATGCCACCATGCTTGGCTAATTTTTGTATGTATGTATGTATGTATGTATTTATTTATTTATTGTAGAGACAGGGTCTCTCTGTGTTGCCCAGGCTGGTCTCAAACTCCTGGTCTCAGATGATCCTCCTACCTTGGCCTCCCAAAGCACTGAGATTACAGGTGTGAGCCACTGTGCCCAGCCAGCATGAGGAAACTTTTGTTGGGACAGGAGGCAGTGGGGTGGGGTGGGGGTGGGTGTGTTCACCGTCTTGATGGTAGTGATGGTTTTAGGGGTGTGCTGCACCTGTGCCAAAGCTCATCAAGCTGTGCGATTTAAATATGTGCAGGTATCCAGTGTCCATTATGCCTCAATACATTGAAAAAGCAAATTCCTGCTCTACCATGTTGATGTTGGGTGGGTCACCTCATTTCTCACTCATGACAATGGAAGAAGGATGGTACCAGCCTCCTGGGTTGGTTCTGAGAATTCAGTTACACAGTGTTGGTAAATTGTTCGGCTCCATCCTGGGCAAATCATGGGTGCCTGATCCAGGGCAGATAACAGGACTGTAGGACTGCAGGACTGCAAGACAAAGCTGCTTCAGCTCGACCTCCACCACTCCTTCATGGCCTCCCATCAGAAGGGGAGCCCCTGCTCCGTGCCAGGCCTGGCCACTCCCTGGGTTAATAAGGGGGGAACAAGCCCTAACTCCATCCTCGTGGGCTGGCTGGGGTGACAGAGACAAACAGTGACAATTACAACCTAGGGAAGAGCGTTCCAGGCACGTGCAAAGGGCCTGTGCTGGTGGGACTACGGCACATTCCCGAATCCACAGGAAGGGCCTTTGTGGCTGAAGTGGGGGCAGCATGCAGGGCACAGACTGGCCCTGCAGCTTCTTGTGGGACCTGCTCAGGGGTGAGCACGGGGCCTTGTGAGGGTGCCAAGCCCCTGAATGCGGCTTGGAGGAGGCTGTGGCGTTGGCTCTGTGTTGGTGGAAATTCCAGCTTCCCTCTTCACTGCCATTTACTTCCTGTAAGCCTCAGATTCCCTGTCTGGTGAATGGGGGTAAGGACCCCCAATGAGATCTGACACAGAGCTCGGTGTTTGGAGGTCTGGGTTATGTCCACCTCCCTTGCGTCTGTCACACTGTGTTATAGTTTTCAGCCTTTGGGTAACTTTCCCAGCCCAACTGTGGGTTCCCGGGGGCAGCGCCTGCAGCCTCTCCTCTCTGAGCCCCTGCACTTGGCACAGAGGCACAGCCCAGGGACCCAGTGACTATCTCAGGAGGTGAATGGAGTCCCCTGTGTAGCAGGAACAAAGCCCCTGCCTCCACAGGGTTCACTGTCTGGTTGGAAGACAAAGAGATGACTTCTTCCATGGTGGGCAGGTGCGGATCCCAGGAGCTCTCCAGAGGTGTTGAGACCTTCATAACCTCCACCCTCAGCTCCTGGCTGGGGCCTTCTCTCAAGTTTAGAGCCAGCGTGGGCTATTTTCTTGGTTTTCTGAGCTGTAATTATGAACAGCTTTGACCAGCCGGTTTTCATCCTTTGCTCATTAGAGAATGAAGCCTCAGTCGGGCATTGTAGCTCACGCCTGTAATCTCAGCACTTTGGGAGGCCGAGGTGGGAAGATCACCTGAGGCCAGGAGTTCGAAACCAGCCTGGCCAACATGGTGAAACCCTGTTTCTACTTAAAAAAAAAAAAAAAATTAGCCAGGCATGGTGGCACATCCCTGTAATCCCAGCTACTTGGGAGGCTGAGGCAGGAGAATTGCTTGAACCCTGGAAGCAGAGGTTGCAGTGAGCAGAGATCGCACCACCACACTCCAACTGGGCAACAGAGCAAGACTCCATCTCAAAAAAAAAAAAAAGAAAAAGAGAGAATGAAGCCTTGAAGAGGAGGGGATTTTCTGAAGCCCCAGAACCAGCTGCCCTTATTGCCTTACAGACAATCCCATCCCCCACCGGAGCCAGCAAGGTGGGATGGGGTTGAACTAAGATTCCCACAGGGACCAGGCCAGGAGGGGCTTGGCCAGCTCCCACTCCATGCCAGAGAGGGGCATGACTGGGCCAGGTGACATGGCAGGACCAGCCCAGAGCCCACCTTGGGGTCCCATCCCAGCTCATCTCACAGGGCTGGGCCAGGCTGCAGATGCTCTAGATTCGTTTCCTGCAGCTGAGGCTCACACCAGCGCCTCCCAGATTTGTGCCAGGGGAGGAGGATAAAGCGCTAGGTTGAGACCCAGTAGCGTTTGCCAAGAAGGAGGGTTCTGGCCTCGGAGTGGCTGGGGTCTCCATGGCCCCCTTCCAAGCTCCCTTCACCAGCAGAGTGGCCATGCACCCTCCCCTCCCGTCAAAGCCACAGCCCTGACACCACTGAGCCTCTTGGACTCTCTCCAATGACATGGCTGAACCGGCCCACCCACGTGGCCAGCCCCACGCCTGTGATTTCAGAGAGAAGCTTAACAGAGATCTCACCAAATTCCACCCCCTCAGAGGCTGACCCAAATGCCCATGCTCTGTGACCACGGCCATCTCGCTGCCCCTCTCTGAACCTCCTCTTCTGAAAACTGCCTGCCATCACACTAACCTGCCAGGCACTTTTGAGCAGCTGATTTCACAAATCTTAATTATTATTCAGATGTCCGCTTTACAGAATAACAACTGAGGCCGGAGAGTCTAGGTGGAGCGCCCAAAGCCGGCCAGGTGGTGGGCAGTGACGTGGGCAGCCAGAGGCCTGGGCTAGTGCCTGGATTCCCATCCCAGCCGCACTGTGACTCAGCGGCCTGGGGCGAGTCACCCACCCGCAGAGCCTCGGTTTTCTCCTCTGTAAAGTGGGGGTGATAAGGGCACAGAATGAGCCTGAGCAGGTGCAGCTCTCAGCACAGGGCGTGGGGTTCTGTGGGCAGTGCCCTCCAGGCACCTCCTCCCTTGGTGGTGATGGATCAAGATCGTTCATGGAACTGTGTTGGGAACATATAGATGAGGAATTCCATTTGCTATGACAATTATTATTCAATGGCTTCCCGAGTCAGGAATGTAGGTCCTGCCCACGCAGGAGCTGTGTCTCTGGTGTGAGCTCCAGGGCCCCTCCTTCTCTGCCCTCCACATGTAGCCGGGAGGTCTGAGCAGGTCTTGTTTTTCAGCAATCCCCCCGCCCTTCCCTGGAGGGAAGGCGATATCCACAATTCCTTCCTGAGCACCTACTGTGTGCCAGGCATGGAGAGGCACCAGAGGCGAAGACGGGCCCAGTGTGGTCAGGGGTATAATGGGGGCACCAGGGTCTATGGGAGGCTGGAGGCAGCCCCTGACCTTGCCTATTGTTAGGGGGAGGGAGCACAAAAGGCTTCTAGAAGAGCAGGTCTAACCTGAGACCCAAAGCTTGAATAGGAGTCAACCAGGCTGAGGGTGTGGGATGCTCTGGCAAGGGGCACGCAGTGTGCGCAAAGGCCTGGGGCGAGAGGAACAGGACTCATTAGAACACGGCTTGCAGGCATGTTCGTTTCAATATCCCACGGGGTGGGAGGGGTCATGGGGAGCCATGGAAAGTTTTAGGCAGGAAGTAACATATTCAGAAGCACCTTCCAGAAAGACTGCTCTGGCTATCCTTTGGAAGAAGGATTGCAGGGCAGAGCAGAAGCAGGGAGGCCACCAAGGTGGCTGCTGCAGACATCTGGATGATAATGGGGGTCTGGACCAGGGCGGCAAAAGTCGGGGAAGGGAAGTGATTAAAAAGATGTAGGCCAGACGCAGTGGCTCACGCCTATAATCCCAGCATTTTGGGAGGCTGAGGCAGGAGGATTGCTTGAGCCCAGGAGTTCAAGACCAGCCTGGGCAACATAGCAAAACCCTGTCTCTACAAAAAATACAAAAATTAGCCAGGTATGGTGATGTGGTCCTGTAGTCCCAGCTACCTGGGAGGCTGAGATGGGAGGAACGCTTGAGCCCAGGGGGTTGAGGCTGTAGGGACCTGTGATGGTGCCACTGCACTCACTCCAGCCTGGGTGACAGAGTGAAACCCTGTCTCAAAAAAAAAAAAAATAAAAATAAAAAGAAGGTATAGAGGGTAGATCTGACAGGACAAGAAAGTGAGGGTCAAAGAGGGTGGGCCATGGGCTGGATGGGGGGCCATCTCTGAGGCAGCCCATAGAAGAGAAGTGGGTAGGGGGACTCTCCATGGCCCTGAGTCCCCACAGCTCTGCTGGGTTCCTCAGTACAGTCCTGCCCCTAGAACTGCCCTTCTTAGGCTGCAGCGGGGAGCTGCACTGGATGGAAACCCACAGGTCTGTGGCAGGTGGAGGCCTCATGGGTAGACAGCTGGCAGTCCTGGGGCCAAGTCCCAGGACATGGGGTCCCTGCCTGCAGCCAGCAGAGGACAGAAGCCTCGGCCTGGACTTCCCACTTCCCGGATGAGGCATCCCAAGCTCCGCAGAGGAGGAGGGCCTTGCCCTGGGTGGTGGGGGTTTCTCTCAGCCCCCCATTCTTGTTCCTTAGGTTTCCTCGTCTCTGAGACGGGTAGATGCAGATGGACAGACTCAGCCACCCGCCCCAGAGGGCCTGGCAGCTGAGCAAACACTGCACGGGGCCTTGATCGGACACAGGAGAATGAGGGGGTGGGGGGTGGCAGCGGTCAGAGCCCACAGGCCCCAGGAGAGTTTGTAGAAGAGAAGTGGAACAGCAGTCCTGGGGGTGCCCAGCCTATGGCTGGTTCCTCACCCCAACCCCCTGCCCTCCTCACCTCACCCGCTCCTTGGTTCCAAGTGCTGAAAAGTTAAGCTCCCAAAATGTGGGGTCCTCCATGACTCCCTCCCCCCATACTCAGTCATAATCAAGTCCTGCTCCCTCTGCCACCAAATCTGTCCCCCCTCTCCCCCCAGCCACCCCCAAGTACAGCTGGACCATCTCTCCCAGGACACCAGCCTCCCTGGGCGTCCTGCCTCCTTCTTCCCTCCCACCTCCTCAGTGCAGCCCCAGGGAAGCCTAGGGACCCTTTAAAGATGCACTGGGCTTGCGTCAGGCCCCGCGTGTCCAGGCACCGGCCCCACCCAAGGCTCCACCGAGGTCATCTCCCAGCACTGACCTGCTCCTCCTCGCAGCCCCTGGTCTCCTTCTATTTCCCACAGTTCCGCCCCTTCCTCTCCTCCAGCCTTGCACTTGCCACTCCTGCCACTTAGGTGTCCCCAGCTCTTCCCAGGGCTGCCCCTACCTTCAGATCTCAGCTTGGACGTCACCTCTCCCAGGAAGGATCTGGCCCAGGCCGCATGCTCTGCCTTCCCTCCATCATTGCAGTCTTCAAAACGCTTCTGAAACCTGAACTACTTGGGGCTGCCCTACAGGAAGCTCCCTGAGGGCAGGTGCTGGCCTCTCTTGCTCGCCTGTGTGCATTGTTGTCAGGTGCCTGAGTGAAGGAGCACATAAATTGGCAGCCGCTGCCTTAGGGTCGGAGAAGGCTCTGACTTTGCAGCCAGTGGGTGGTCACAGAATGCAACACCAGTGGCACATGTGCAGGTGTGGGTGTGTGTATGTGTGAACATATGTGTGCATGTGTGTGTGCAGTGTGCATCATGTGTGCAGGTGGGGAGTGCATATGTGTGCAAGTGTGCATGTGTGTCTCGTGTAGGTGTGTGCACAGTGTACAACTGTGTGCAAGTGTGTACAGTGTTTCTGCATGTGTGCAGAGTGTACCTGTGTGTGTGCGTGTGGACAGTGTGCACCGGCGTGACACTGTGTCGAATGTGTGTGCACAGTGTACCTGTGTGTGTGCATGTGGACAGTGTGCACCGGCGTGACACTGTGTCTAGTGTGCACCGTGTACCTGTGTGTGTGTGTGTGGACAGTGTGCACCGTGTACCTGTGTGTGTGTGTGGACAGTGTGCACCGGCGTGACACTGTGTCGAATGTGTGTGCACAGTGTACCTGTGTGTGTGCATGTGGACAGTGTGCACCGGCGTGACACTGTGTCTAGTGTGCACAGTGTACCTGTGTGTGCATGTGGACAGTGTGCACAGTGTACCTGTGTGTGTGTGTGTGGACAGTGTGCACCAGCGTGACACTGTGTCAAATGTGTGTGCACAGTGTACCTGTGTGTGTGCATGTGGACAGTGTGCACCGGCGTGACACTGTGTCTAGTGTGCACAGTGTACGTGTGTGTGTGTGTGGACAGTGTGCACCGTGTACCTGTGTGTGTGTGTGTGGACAGTGTGCACCGGCGTGACACTGTGTCGAATGTGTGTGCACAGTGTACCTGTGTGTGTGTGTGTGTGGACAGTGTGCACCGGCATGACACTGTGTCGAATGTATGTGCACACGTGCACACATGTCTAGACTGCCTGAGTGCAGCCATGTGTCCTTTCCTGTCGGTAAGGAAGAGGAACCAGGGGACAGATCCTGGCATGGGGACACAGCCACTGGCTGTTGAGATGTGCCAAGCCCTCCAGCCTGGAGGCCAACGTCCTGGCCCTGGCCCTTCCCTGCTGAGGGACCCTGGCCCTGACCCTTTCTTCTCTGTGCCTCCACGGACCACAGGTTACATGAAACTCCCGTGAGCAGTGCACCTGAGGAAAACTGCAGCTTCCCAGCCGGTCCAGAGACTCGTTCTGCTGATGCGGAGGGGCCCAGGAATGCCAGGAATGGGCATTTAGCAACCCCTCCCCCTTCCCCATGCAATTGTGACGTGCTCCTGGGAGCTGTGACACTTGGTGACCTGGCCCCTCTGAGCCTGTTTTCCCACCCATCAAGTGGGGATAAAAACAGGACTGCCCCAGGAGGTCACTGTTAGGGTCAGTGAGCTGGGGCTCCAGGAGGGCCTGATACACGGTAGGTGCTTCATCCCTGGGCACTGGGGTTGCTCCTGCTGTGCCCAGGGGTGGCGAGGCTGCCAAAGATGCTGGAAGGGTCTGCAACCAGAGTAGGGTGGGCGGGGCTCTGGGGCTTCTGGATGGCAGGGACTCTTTTCCAACACAAGCTGCACCCAGGCGGGGATGCGTAGCTCGGTACCTACAGGGAGGGTGTGAGGTCGCGAGGCCCAGAGCCACTCTCCTCCCCTGAGAACGTGGTCTCAGCCTCGCCGCACTGTGTGTGAAGCACCCCCTGCTCCTCCCAGGCACTGGAGGTCCTCCCACCCCACGGCTTGCTCCTTGGTCTGAGCATCACAAGAGAGAGAAGATGTGGTTTGGGCAGGGACTCCTGCACAGAAGAAGAAAAGAAAGCCAGAGATGTTGCTTCCTCTGACCAAGGTCACACAGCGAGTCCAGGCTGAGGCGAGGCAGGGCTTCTGGTCTCTGCCACTCAGTGGGACCCAAATCCGTGGGGAGATGTGCGGGGAAAGGGGAGCAGTGGAGCTGCATGGTCTGGGGCGGGACAAGTCAGCCACAAGCACCTTGGAGAAAATTGACTTCTCATTCCTTTATTCATTCAACAATTATTCATTGGGAGGCTGAGGCGGGCGGGTCACTGGAGGTCAGAAGCTTGAGACCAGCCTGGCCAATGTGGTGAAACCCCATCTCTACTAAAAATACAAAAATTATCCAGGTGTGGCGGTGTGCACCTGTAGTCCCAGCTACTCAGGAGGCTGAGCAGCATGAGAATCGCTTGAACCCGGGAGGCAGAGATTGCAGTGAGGTGAGATTGCGCCACTGCACTCCAGCCTGGCAACAGAGCGAGACTCCATCTCAAACAAAACAAAACAAAACAAAACAATTGTTCCTAAAGGGCCCCTTGTGAGGCAGTAAAACCCAGGAGGCCGGAAGGCAGACACTAAGGATGGGGTTAGAAATCCAGGCATGGCCAGGACAGGCACTCCCTGCAGGTGGTCCCTGGGTCACAGTTTTGTATTTTGTTTTGTTTTGTTTTTTTGTCTCACTCTGTCTCCCAGGCTGGAGTGCAGTGACGCAATCACAGTTTACGGCAGCCTTGACCTCCCCAGGCTTAAGTGATCTTCCTACCTCAGCCTCCCTAGGAGCTGAGTCTACAGGCATGCGCCACCACCCCCAGCTAATTTTTGTATTTTTCATAGAGATGGGGTTTCGCCATGTTGCCCAGGCTGGTTTTAAACTCCTAGGTGAAAGCAATTGGCCCTTGTCAGCCTCCCAAAATGCTGGGATTACAGGTGTGAGCCACAGTGCCTGGCCTCCCTGGATCACTGGATAAGACACCTAAGTGTTTTTTGTGCCTTAACTTGCTTATCTGTAAAGTGGGGGTAAGAACAGTCCCAGGTGCTGGTGAGGGTTGTGCACATGGCATGGGGCCCGGCACAGAAAAAATGCTGGCTGAAGAGGCTGGTATTGCTGTACTATCAACAACGAGCACACGTTTGCAGGTTTCCACAGTACGAGTCGCAGTGTGTATAGGAAAGGGTATCAGATGCAGAGGAGGGCATTGAGAGAGGAGGGATTGAGTCATCCTAGGGAGGTTGAGGGGCACCTGAGCAGGGTGTTGAGAGCTCTATAGGAGTCCATCACACCAAGAACTAGGAGAAGCTCAGCCACTGGCAATTCCTAAAAGGGCTTGAGGGAGCTGGTGCCAGCCTTGCTGGGACTCCAGGAGCCCTGAAGGGTGGGTGGGGAAGCCATTCTAGGAGTCCCTACTGCTGTCCTCTGAAGGACTTCCTGTGGCAGGTGGGCCTCCTGCTGTCTTCTCTGACTGTTTTCCACCCTCTGAGGGAAAGGGGGTGAACCACCCAGCCACAAGACTGGAACTACTGAGGCAGACCCCAGAAAGTCTGCTACCTTGTGTAGCCCAGCGTCCTGATGCCTGGAGGTCCCCCCATTCAGTCACCAGGGGACAGAACAGTGTGGGGGCTGAAGCCAGGCAAACAGGGTTCAAAACCCAGCTGTGGCATCTTGCAAGCTGTGGGACTCTGGGCAATCTTCATCTCTCCGTGCCTCCCTGTTCTCATCTGTAAAATGGGAAGAATGATTGCACCTGCTTCATAGGACCAGAGTGGGGATTCCATGGATTCATGCCTGACATGAAGAGCTCAGCCCAGCATCCCTAGCACATAGTAAGTGCTCAATAAATGGTAGCCCCTTCCCAGCATGGACTTAACTCCTGTCCTGAGCCGGTTGTGGAGGCCCCATACAAGATAAAGAGAAGAGGCTTGTTGTCTTTGGGGATAAGGCTCTATTCATTTTCTGATCAACAATGTGTATTCTTACTGTTGAATCAACAGTATTAAATAAAAAAGAAAAAAATCAAAATGACAATGTGTATTCCATCTCCCGTCAAACTGGGCCCCCTATACTTCTGGCCTCCTCACCCTGCCTCTCTGCTGGGCCCAGAGCCCCCTTCCTGCATCCAGGAAGCTCACTCTAGCAGCGTCCTGGCCACACCGCATCTTCTCACAGTTTTTGAGCTTGGAAGGCCTTAGGGAATATGGGGTCCAGTCCCTCCGCAAGTACCCACGTATGGAACTGGGGCTCAAGAGTAAAGACACTCGCCAGAGGCTGGGACTTGAATTCCAGTGCCCCTGCCCAGGTCCTTTAGATCGCTACTGCTGTGGGAATTTTGAGAGGAGCCCCTTGGCATGGGATGAGCCACTGTTCCTTGGGCTGGAGTTCCATGAGGGCAGGGTCCATGGCTGTCTTGCTTACTTTGTGGCCCCTGGGCCCAGCATAGAGCCTGGAACCTGTGAATGAATAAGTGAATGAGCGAATGAACAAATGTGGTCAGAATCCATCTGCCTCCCAGAGCAGGATTCCAAGAGAAGCCCACTTTGGGCACAGCCCCTGTAGGGTCACCAGCCCCAGCCCAGTAGACGGGGTTGCCAACGGCTCAGAGGCTTCCAAGAGTCTTCCAACAAAAGGATCAAAGGAAGCAGATGACAGGAGGGCAGGAAATGGCTGCAGGGAGGGGTGGGGGTGCCGAGCCCCCTGCCCAGGCCAGGATGAAAGAGGTTCAGGAAAAGGACACAGATGGACCAGCCGATGGGGGGATGGGGGTGACAGGATGCGGGCAGAGGGCTCAGCTACTTCCCTTTGCACAGAGGATAAACTGATGGCTTCCCCTCAGTCCAGGACCCTCCTATATGCCTGCAACCACCAGCACCTAGTCTTGGGCCCGGCCCCTGGGGGGCACTCGGAAAATGTGGATTCACTGTGTGCATGCATGCATGAATGAATGACTCAGTGGCTCATGCTGAATCCCAGCACTTTGGGAGGATTGCCTGAGGCCAGGATTTCAAGGCCAGGCTGGGCAACATAGCAAGACCCCTGCCTCTACAAAACATTTAAAAAAAAATATTAGCTTGGCTGGGCACAGAGGCTCACGCCTGTAATCCCAGCATTTTCAGAGGCCAAGGCGCATGGATCACCTGAGGTCAGGAGTTCGAGACTAGCCTGACCTACATGGTGAAACCCCATCTCTACTAAATACAAAAAAGTAGCTGGGTATTGTGGCGAATGCCTGTAATCCCAGCTACTTGGGAGGCTGAGGCAGGAGAATTGCTTGAACCTGAGAGGCGGAGGTTGCAGTGAGCCGGATCACACCATTGCACTCCAGCCTGGGCGACAGAGTGAAACTCTGTCTCAAAAAAGAAAGAAAGAAAGAAAAAGGAGGAAGGGAGGAAGGAAAGAACTTTTATCAGCCATTCCTGGCCTTTCCAGTAGTCAGGCAGTGTGGGTCAGTCCAGTGGATTTTGACATGAAAGGGCAGAGCAAACTCCTGCTGTAGTTTCAGGGAGAACAATAACAGTAACAATTGCCCAAATAAGACTCTTACTACAGCCAGTGGCTATTGAACAACTGCTAGATGCCAGGTGCTCAAAATATCTGTGTGTCATAGCCCCATTATCTCAATGACTCCTTGCCATTCTCTGTGAGGGCCACGCTAGCCCCATTTTACAGATGAGGCAACTGAGGCTAAGAGAAGAAGGATGCTTCTCTAGGTCACCCAGAAAGTAAATGACGGAGGTGGAGAGTCAAATTCATCTAGCTCTGGGTAAATGAATAAATGGCTAAGCGAATGAAGGACCCATTCTGCAGCATTCACCGTGAATCCTCACCACACCACGCCGCCCTTCACCGGGCACGAGTTCTATGGCAACGAATGAAAGAATCACAGTCCCTGCTGTCACGAGATTCCTTGCCTGGAGGGCAGCACTCCAGCCAAATAATGACTTCATCATGATTTTGGAAAGTGTTGGGAAGGAGAAAGCCAGAGTGCATAGGGCGTGCAGGGGACCTGCCCAGTCTTAGGGGCTCAGAAAAGGCCTAGAGTGTAAACTGCCAGACGGGAGGGCGTTGCCTGCTGGGAGATGTGCGTGGGAGGCAGAAAGTCAAGGTCTGTGGCATGGATTAGAAAAACAATAGTCATAGTCGTGATTGGAGCAGGCACTGTCCTTTGAGCCATTTCTCCCCACAAGTACCTTGCACGGGTTATTTTATAAATCTTTACAATAAGATGGAGACGTGGTTCCCCATATCATTCCCACTATAACGGAGACTCACACAGCTGCTAAGAGGAAGAGCCACGGTCTAGGTCTATCTGATCTGGGGTCTCAGCTCCTGATCCTGAACCCAGTGTCTACAGAGCAGAGAGACCCTCCCTCTCAGCTCCTGGGTGAGCTGGCCCTGCTGGGATACTGTGTGCACTGGAGGTCATGCTTCCCCTTCCTGTCACCCACCAGTTCTCCTTGGGCTGTGGGAGCTTCAGGTGCAGAGGGGAAAATTTAGAGAGGGGACATTTCTGAGCCCAAATTGGCTGGCACTGCCTTAGGAAGGGGTGGAACACAGACGCCTGCCTGAGCCTCCAGGAAGAACCCCACCACTCCCCACTGGAGGCAGATGTTGCCATGGTCCCTGGAGGCAGCCGTGGGGTGAGGGTGCAAGGCCCCCAATGTCACTCTTGTCTCTTCCTGGGCTACAAGCCCTGAAGACAAGGCTGCTTTCCTGTTCTTTCTTTGAAAGGAGGGCAGAACTCTGAGGTCTTCGCTACACTGGGCTGTGAGGCCCCGAGAGGACGGGCTGGGAGTTGCTGTTTCTTGGTGCTTCTCCTCATCACCTAGAGGGTGTGGGGCGTGGGGTGGAGACCCCCAAAAAAGCAGCCAGAGCAGTTCCAGGGCTTGGCTTGCAGCCTCCCTTGGGAAAGTGCAGGCACTCACCTGCAACATCAACACCAGCTCCTGTTCCCTGAGCACCCTCCACGCACCTGGCCTGTGCTAGGTGCTTCCCGAAAGATCTCCATGAATCCTGTGGGACACATGCTGTGCTGCTGGCTGTTGCCCAGTACCCATTTTGCCACCTCCCCTTTGGTAACAGAATGGCCCTCTCCCAGGTTGTAATGAGGCACATGACTGCCAGGCTAAGTATTACCTTTCCCAGCCTCCCTTGCAGCTAGGTGTGGTCATATGATCAGCTCTGGCCAATGAAACACAAGCAATGAGCTATGCACCTTCCTGCCAGCCAGTAAAAGAAATTGGTAGCTTCCACCCCTTTGGTTCCCCAAACACACACTCACAGAGAATGGGGAGGGAGAGGGGCAGCCATCTTCAAGCTTGTGGACAGAAGCAATCCTCCAGGGATGAGAGAGATAGAAGGAGCCTGGGCCCTGGACCGGCTCCCAGGGCAGCCTCCCATCCCCTAGACTGAAAGGAGGAAAACCTCTGAAATGAGAGAAATCAGCTCCTGTCTCCTGTAGCCACTGTTACTCAGGTTCTGCTACAGCAGCTGGGCCAGCATCCTAACCCAGACCCCGAGCCTTCGAGAAGGAAGACTATGGTTAGCTGGGAAGTGGTAAAGCCAAGACTTGAACCCAACCCTGAGAGGGCTCGGTCCAGAACCTACATTCAAAGCCTCGGGGCTGAGCTGCTGCACATAGCAGGTGCTGTACGCAGGATTTTCAGGTGGACCATGAGCAAATGAGTAAATGGCCCTATGTGCTTTCCGAGGGAGGATCTAACCTGGAAGAACTGATTGTTTCTGGGCCCTAAATGTCACCTGGTTT